>NC_000024.10:18988697-19598245 GCF_000001405.40 Homo sapiens
CTTGCAGTAAGTAGTAGGCTATTAATAATTAATTCTGTAGGAAGTTAAAAGTTTATATAAAGATGTCTGACTGCATGCGGGATGTTGCCCTTGATTGCTATTTTGTACAATATAAAGGGTGGGTGAGGGAAACAAGTCTATTCAACGACAAAAAGGTCTTTTCAAGGACAAGACCAGTTGAAAGCTATGAAATTACTATTCTTAGAAGGACTGATCCTTTATTGTAATTATCAGCAAAATGAGGGAATAGAGGTAATAGTCTTCATTTATTAGTTGGATACTGAATAAATTTGGATTAGACAGAATCTGTTGTCCCTGTAAAGAAAGATGAACTGGTGAAGGAAAGACAGTTGGATCAGAAATTAAAGGACAGTGGAAAAGTTTGAAAGCACTGCCATCAGTAAGAAGAACCACAGTTGATTATACCTTATAACAAGGATTACAGGGAACACTGAGAACCAAGCTGAAACTGGTAACCATCAATTCAATTAGTATTTCCCATCCCTGACCTGCATTCTGAGGGATGTAGAATAATTCATTTTCCACACTTACTTTTTTAAAATTTCAGCAATCATATGTTTCTTAGAGTTATGTTACACCTGACTTTTTTCATAGCTTCTGTTTTTATTTAGGTTGCTAGTAACATCCTCTCAGATTTCTTTAAATATATTAGGTATGTGAATTTATTCTGTCCTGTTCCTGAACACCTCAGTCTCGCCTGCTCTGGCTCAGCTTTTACATTTGTGTTGGTCATTGTCTTTACTGTTGATTCTACACATGCATTCCAATGATCCTTTCAGAAAAGGGGCAGCATAGCTGAAGGGTTTCCTCATGTTTTCTGCACAGAACTCTTGTCTGCCATATTTTTCTTAAGAAGGGCTGGAGAGTGGTATGTCATGGTCTATCGCTTAAAAAAAACAAACTCACACCAAGACCAATGGAGCAGAACAGAGCCCTCAGAAATAATGCCACACATCTACAACCATCTGATCTTTGACAAACCTGACAAAAATAAGCAATAGGGAAATGACTCTCTATTTAATAAATGGTGTTGGGGAAACTGGCTAGCCATATGTAGAATGCTGAACCTGGATCCCTTCCTTACACTTTATACAAAAATTTAATCAAGATGGATTAAAGACTTAAATATAAGACCTAAAACCATAAAAACCCTAGAAAAAAACCTAGGCAATACCATTCAGGACATTTGTATGGGCAAAGACTTCATGACTAAAACACCAAAAGCAATGGCAACAAAAGCCAAAATAAATAAATGGGATCTGATTAAACTAAAGAGCTTCTTCACAGCAAAAGAAACTGATTATCAGAGTGAGTAGGCAACCTACAGAATGGAAGAAAATTTTTGTAATCTATCCATCTGACAAAGGGCTAATATCCAGAATCCACAAAGAACTTAAACAGATTTACAAGGAAAAAACAACCCCATCAGAAAGTGGGCGAAAGATATGAACAGACACTTCACAAAAGAAGATATTTATGTGGCCAACAAACATATGAAAAAAAGCTCATCATCACTGGTCATTAGAGAAATGAAATCAAAACCATAATGAGATACCATCTTATGCCAGTTAGAATGGCGATCATGAAAAAGAGAACAACAGATGCTGGACATGATGTGGAGAAATAGGAATGCTTTTACACTGTTGGTGGGAGTGTGAATTAGTTCAATCATTGTGGAAGACAGTGTGACGATTCCTCAAGGATCCACAACTAGAAATACCATTTGACCCAGCAATCCCATTACTGGGTATATACCCAAAGGAATATAAATCATTCTACTATAAAGACACGTGCACATGTATATTTATTGCAGCACTGTTCACAATAGCAAAGACTTGGAACCAACCCAAATGCCCATCAATGATATACTGGATAAAGTAAATTTGGGACATATGCAACACAGAATTCTTTTTTTTTTTTTTCTTTCAGCCATTTCTTTTTATTTACAGTTTGTGTTCAATGCAAATCAATTCCATAAGAAGTTACTATGAATCAAAGCGTAAATACACAAACACAATATACAATCCAAAATAGATGTACAGCATTCTGGAATAAAGCAAAAGAGTGTTCATTCACACACACAGTAGCTTCAAAACGGTTCGATCTGTTTGTTCTCATGTAGTTTTGTAAAGATGGAAAAAAAGGACTTTGGTCATCAAGACTACTGTGGCCATATTAGATTACTGGAACATCTAAGCATCAGTGTGTGACCATGCGAACAAAAGACTTCGGGGAGTGTCTATTTTTAAAAAGGTTTCTGTGTTTCGAGGCAGTTGTAAAAGATTTACTGCAGAATCAAGCCCACTTTTAGGCTTAGGACCAGGTTCTAACTATCTAAAAATATTGACTGATAACAAAAAGTATTCCAAATGTGGCTATTCTGATCCATAGTTGTTTTTTAAAGAAAAAAAAGTATATACAGAAAGAGTATAAAAGTTTGTGAATTTAATGCAAATTAGCTTCCAGTCTTCACTTCCCAAATACTTGATTTGTAGTTTTGACTCCTTTACATTTTTGCCTTCTTAATTTCAAGATTTGCAATTTTGCCTTCAAAACAGATCTTTTTTTTTAATTGTAAAAAGTATTCAACATATGCAGAAATAAAAAGCATTTTGATGGCTGGGCGCGGGGGCTCAAGCCTGTAATCCCAGCACTTTGGGAGGCCGAGGCAGGTGGATCACCTGAGGTCAGGAGTTCGAAACCAGCCTGGGCAACATGGTGAAACCCTGTCTCTACTAAAATTACAAAAATTAGCCGGGCATGGTGGCAGGTGCCTGTAATCCCAGCTACTTGGGAGGCTGAGGCAGGAGAATCGCTTGAGCCCGGGAGGCAAATGGTACACTGATCTGAGATCACACCACTGCACTCCAGCCTGGGCGACAAAGTGAGACTGTCTAAAAAATAATAATAATAAAAAGCATTTTGAAATTAGTCGCGGTCAATGCAATTCTACTCTTTGGAATCCGTTTAGCTAAATGAATGTAGTGCTCTTGTTGAATGGAAATAGGTGATAGGAAATGCCTACCATTTGACTCAATATGGATAATCAAGAGTTGCTCAGGCTGCTTGGATCTGGGGGTAGATTCTCATTCATCATTGCCCTGGCACATGTCAATTACTACATAAAAGGTCAAACGCAATGTCAAATCCAAAGCCTCAGGAGGAAAGTGAGTTCAGTTCCCAAGAGAACAGCAATAGCTCAACAATGTAAAACTTCATCTAGAGTATATCGGCATTAAATAAGTGCTGCCGAAACAATACGTTGAGGAATTACAGTAACACCTGGAAGTTCCTTCTCATGTACATATAAATAGAATCATGGAAGCTTTTTATATTACCTGTTTTATGGCCTTATAGAATTAATGAACCAAATGAAAACTGAATCTCCATTCCACAATCACATCCTTTATTTCTATTCTTATTTTCAAGGTAGTATTAAGTGTCCATATTTCTCAAGCCACATTCAAGGAAATCATGTCTTAACTATTTTGGATGTTGCCTCTCCTTCATCTTGTACATGAAACTCCAGCAGATTTAATATTGGCATCCATCATCTAGTCAAACCTCTCACATGTTCTTCAAATCAATCAAATTTGGGATTCTCAACATTTTCTGTGTCAATAAAAGGTGTGGAATTAGTAGATTCGATGAAGACCTGTTTTTCCTTGCCACATTGGACTTCCAGACGCCATTTGGATTGGGTTTAGAAGATGGGGAAGTTTAGAAGACGTTTCTTGGCCTGAGTCTCTTAAGAGTAGAGATGCAGAAGAGAGAGTGAGACCACGAAGAGACTGGCTGTTGACTGCAGGGCACCACCAGCCGCCTTGGTGGTGGCATTAGTTGGATTTGGGGCCAACCCAGTGTTGGAAGTACTCTGGGAGGAGTTACTTGAAGTTCCAGTTGTTGTTTCACTGGAATAAATCTGCGTGGGTAGGAGCAGTGCCAGCAGCAGCAGCCCCAGCCCAAGCCTGGCCACCATTGCTCTGCCCATGTCCCCTACGTCGGTGCGCGGCGCGTCTAGCAGGATGCTGGGTGCTTGGAGAACCGCTGGCTCCGGGCGGGCGCAGGCAAGGTGGGGAGCGCGGCGAGCCGGCGAGACCCTGGCCGACGGGACCCGGGCGCCGCCTAGCGCGAACCCTTCCCGGCTGGTCGGCGCTCCTCGCAGGCGGTGTCCCGGTCCGGAGCGATCTGCGCGCTCGGCCCCGCGGCCGCGCCCTCCCCGAAGCCCTTGCTTTGTTCTGTGAGCGCCTCGTGTCAGCCAGGCGCAGTGAGCTCACGGGGGCGTCCCGGGTCCGCATCCTCCCAGGAGCTGGGGAGCCGCTCGCTGGGCGCGGACCCGCTGCCTGACGCTGCAAACTACACGGTTTCGGTCCCCCGCGCTCCTGCCTGCGGCGGGCGAGGAGGAGACGGCCCACCCTAAGGGGACCCCCTCCGCGGCCCTGAAGCCCCCACCCGCAACACAGAATTCTATGCAGCCATAAAAAAAGGATGAGTTCATGTCCTTTGCAGGGACATAGACGACACTGGAAACCATCATTCTCAGCAAACTAAGGCAAGAACGGAAAACCAAACACCTCATGTTCTCACTCATAAGTGGGAGTTGAACAATGAGAACACATAGACACACGGAGGAGAACATCACACACCAGGCACTGTTTGGGGGTGCGGGGGTAGGGGAGGGATAGCATTAGGAAAAATACCTAATGTAGATGACGGGTTGATGAGTGCAGCAAACCACCACGGCACATGAATACCTATGTAACAAACATGCACGTTCTGCACATCTACCCCAGAACTTAAAATATTTTTTAAAAATCTGTAAACAGAAGAGTCAGTCATCTAAAACTGATAAGTCTTCTTTCATTTCTAGAAGACATACTATTTTTCTGTTGATATTTCATTTATTTTCTATTTTAATGTATGTGAGTCATTAACATAAAGGTTTGTAAACTGCTTAGAGCTCGTTCAAGAATGCATGTGAAATAATTGATGCAAGTCAGGGCATGGTAGCTTATGCCTGTAATCCCAGCACTTTGGGAGGCTGAGGCCGGCATATCACCAGGTGAAGAGATCAAGACCATCCTGGCCAACATGGTGAAACCCTGTCCCTACTAAAAATACAAAAATTAACTGGGCATGGTGGTGCACGCCTGTAGTCCCAGCTATTTGGGAGGCTGAGGCAGGAGAATCATTGAACCTGGGAAGTGGAGGTTGCAGTGAGTTAAGATCATGCCACTGCACTCCAGCCTAGTGACAGAGTGAGACTCCATCTGAAAAAATAGTAATAATAATTGATGCTAATAAAACTAGTAATTTTAACAGCAATTCTAAGGGGCATCCTGTTCTCAGGGCAGCACAATCCTCTGAGAACTCCCCAAATGGTTTAGTGCACTCCACTCAGCAGAAGCACGGGTGAATCAGACACTCAACGAAAATGAAGCAATGGCTCAGCAGAGACCATCCACGTTTCTTCTCATTTCCTATGAAAAATACAAATTTGGAGCTTTAGATGGGTGGGTGGCTTCCCACCTAAAGAATGAACTCCTAAACCTTCTTTGCAGCTGTTTAGGATCAGGTGACTGATTATGGCCAGCAGAAGATAAGAAGGGACATGTGTTCCTTTGGGTCCAATTACTTACTGGGCCCTTGCTTCCCCTCCCCTGTGGGCCACTGTGGAGGTGGGGCAGTTACTGGGACCCAGCCTGCAAACTTACATATGAGGGATGACAAAGCTGCCCTTGTACCACCAACCTGGTCTATTGGTGAGGGTGAAAAACTCTTTCAATTTAAGGTGTATCAGTCACATTTCAGTACAGGAAACAGATGCCATCTTAGACCATGTAGCAGAAAGTGACTTCAAACACAGAATGAGATGTTTCTAAAATCAGAGGAAAAGATAAAGTTCATGACTGAAGATCCAAAATTACTCTCCAAAATATTGGTCCTTAGAAGACCCAGGACAAGGATCACATCTGACACACATGGTTTGGAGAACACCATGCACACAGTGCCTCCCATCCAAGCCCTGAAGCTAGAGAGCAGCAGCAGGAGCTTAGACCTCCCCAAGCATACCTGCCCACAGAAAACACACAAGCAAAAAGATACTTCCTCCTCACTACCACCTTACAAGCTCTGTGAAAGTACGTTCAATGTTAAAGCAAATTCACATGGCTTTAAAGAGACTGTGAAAGATATCCGCAGGTCAGCTTTTTCTCTCTCTCTTTCTGTTTTTTTTTTTTTTTTTTTGAGATGGAGTCTCATTCTTCACCCAGGCTGGAGTGCAGTAGCGGGATCTCGAGTCACTGCAACCTTCTCCTCTGGAGTTCAAGTGATTCTTGTGCCTCGGCCTCCTGAGTAGCTGGGATTACAGGGGTGTAGCACCATGCCTGGCTAATTTTTGTACTTTTAGTAGAAATGGGGTTTCACCATGTTGCCCAGGCTGGTCTGGAAATCCTGACCTCAAGCAATCCACCTGCCTCAGCTTTTCTAAAGAAGAGCAGCTTCAGAAAGGGTGGACTAATGGTTGACCATACTAATTTACCGCACTGCAAGTGTTACTGTAGCTCAAACTGTGTATTAACTATTAACAGCGAAATTCATTTTCAACACAAGCTAGTTTACACAAAAAGAAATATTCTCTAATAACCTGATAATTATGAAACTTCTAGTAGAATGTCTGATATGTACTCAGATGATTCCAGGAATAGGGTGAGTTTGAGAATGTAAATATTACATTGTCATGGTAATTTTCAAAACATGAAATTTTCATACATCAAACTACTTTTGATACATTAAAATTAAGAACAGGTTGGCAAGAAGCTCATTTCTATACACACATCAGCATTTACAGGAATGCATTTCATCTAGTATAGTCAACATCAGATGACTGAATAAAGACACAATAAGGAGAATGTCATTTGAAGCTTTTCATGGTAACTTAAAAATCATTCTGAAGTTTTCAATAATATAGGAAAGCCTCTGCTGTGAGGTCGAGGGCAACAACTTGGTCGCATTACTTAAAGGTCATTAAAATACATCCTTAATCCTAACATGTGGTTCATTACAAATGAAGTTGCTTTATGTTCAATAAAACTAATTAAATGTAAGTGGTATTGTTTACTGCTACATGAAGCTTTTGAAATATGACATGAAATAAAGCATGTCATGATTTATTGAATATTGCTGTGGCCTTGTGGTCTTTAATAAATTTGCTTGAGCATAAAAGCCAGAAACATATTTCTCAGATGTCTATGGTTTCTGAAAACTGCGCCTCCAGACAGCTATGAAGCAGAAACTGTACCTGGCATTACAGGATCTGCAGCACTATTATTACATGACTCTTACAAATTTTAATTCTCTGACCATATTAGGTGCTCTGATAATCCAACAGAATTGATAAAGTTTCTTGGCTGCTTCCTCAGCTCTTCAAGATGGGCTCTCAGGTCTCTAAGTTTACTTAACCTGGCTCACACCACGGACACAGTCTTAAGTGACACAACTGGGGATACACAAAATAGGCTCATGGCCTGATAAACCAAACAGGCTCATGACCTGGACGGTCCATTTGACCCAGAGGCTGCGGGTAATTAGTGTATGGTTAATGTGGCATTTGTAAGCCAGGAACAAGGAGACATAAAGGGTAAACTTCAGAAGTTAGAATGTTTTGAAGGCATGAATATTACCCAGCTTATCCTGTCCTGGTGGCTACTAAGGTGTTTGTAAATCAGGATGAGGAGGCCAGGAGCAAAGCTAAATGCAGAGCTAAGGAAAAGGCAGACTGGCTGGAGACAGCCTTAGTTGGACAAGAAACGGGTTTTGTGAGAAGACATGGTCATGGTCAGAGTAGAGGACAAGCTAGGCAAAACCAAGAAGCTAAGCCAGGACAAGGGTGCCAACCTAAGCTTGAGAGAGATCAATGTTCAAGATGCACGCAGATGGGACACTGTAAGAACGAATGCCCAGAAAGAGAAAAGGAAAGAGGCAACAATCAGGGAAAAAACGGCTGGCCAGAACCCACCGCCACTGGTCAAGGGGTTCAGAAGTCAGACATGGATTTAATTGGACTGGCAGGAATCAATGATTATTATGAGGACTGAGATAGACCAGGCTCCATTTCATTAGGCCCGGAGGAGCCTATGGTCTCAATGGAGGTAGGGGGCCAGAAAATGGACTTTATGGTTGATACTGGTGCAGAGCACTCAGTAGTAACTCAAGCAATTGGTTCACTGTCTAAAAATTATTTCAATATAATTGGAGCTACAGGAATAATAGAAAGAGGCCTTACTTCAAATCTAAAAGATGTGTGATTGGAGGACAGCAAGTCCAACATGATTTTTTATATTTGCCAAATTGTCTGGTCCTCTGTTAGGAAGATAATTGCTCCAGAAATTGCAAGCACAAATCTCCTTTACTTGAGAAGGGGAAATGACTCTAAACCTAGGTCAAAGAAGACATGATAATGACCCTTACCATCCCCACAACAGAGGAATGGAGACTCTATGAGAGGTGCAAAATTTGTAAAGATGCATTTTGCCAGCAGGAAAATGAGGCAATGTATAAGGAATTGTTTCTCAACCTGGCAGGGGTCTGGGTGGAGGACAGTCTCCCAGAGCTAGCCATAAATCAGGCCCCCGTAGTGGTGGAACTGCTGCGAGACACTTACCCAGTGCAAATTCGTCAGTATTCCATCCCAGTAAAAGCCACCCATGGGATTACAAAGCATATAGTCCGGCTCTTTAAATTTGGGATAATAGAAAGATGTGCCTCTCCTTGGAACACTCCATTGTTACTGGTGTTAAAGCCCATAGGAGATTACTGGCTGGCACAGGATTTGCAGGCCATACATAAGGTTGCAGCTACATTATATGCCATTGTGCCCAACCCATACACAATGCTTGGGTGAATTCCTGCTGATGTTGCTTGGTTTACATGCTTAATGTTTGGATGCATTCTTCTGCATCCAACTGGCTCCTGAAAGCCAGGGCATCTTTGCCTTTGAGTGGAGCTCATCACAGTATACTTGGACCAAACTCCCCCAAGGATTTAAAAACTCCCCAACCATTTTTGAGGAAGCACTAGCCTCAGACCTGAAGGCTTTCATGCCACCAAGTGGCCACTGTGTACTGTTGCAGTACATAGATGATTTATGCACCCACAAAAGAAGAGTGCTTTCAAGGCACAGAAGCCTCCTTCATGTTCTATGGGAGGCTGGCTATAAGATGTCTAAGGAAAAGGCACAAATCTGTGGCCAAAGAGCAAATTATCTTGGCTTCGACATTTCTAAAAGGCAGTGTTAAGGGGGGATGTGAGAGAAAAGAGACTGTGCATGGCATTCTTCGACCTGACTCTAGACAACAAGTGAGGGACTTTATAGAGGCAGCTGGCTTCTGTCACATTTGAATTCCAAATTACTTGTTCTTGGCAAGTGTGAGGCTTGCATTGTGTGAGGCTACCAAAGGGTGGGGTAAAAGAACCCCTCTGGTAGGGAAAAGAGCAGCACATGGCCTTCAAAGAAATCAGAAAGCCTTGATCCAGTCCCCAGCATTAGGACTGCCAGACATGACAAAGCCTTTTTACCTGTATGTCCATAAAAGAAAAGGAATAGCTACAGGAGCCTTGGTACAAACACTAGGGTCATGGTATCGGCCCATGACATATTTGCCCAAGTGACTAGACTTCGTGGCTATGGGATGGCCACTCGGTTTCAAGGCATTGGCAGCCACTGCCCTGTTGGCAGAAAATGCTAACAAGCTCACGTTTGGACAAAGGTTGATAATTCAGGTACCCCATACAGTCATCACCCTGATGGAGCAGAATGGGCATCGCTGGCTTTCTAACCCTCAGATGTGAAGGACTTTTATGTAAAAACCCCTACATAACCTTGGAGACTGTGAATACTGTAAATCCAGCCACACTGCTGCCAAAAGAATAGGCAGAACATGGAAAGCCACCGTTATGTGGCCCAGAGTATCACTGTTGTGTGGAAACAGTGGATGAAGTTTTCTCAAACTTAAAAGACTTAAAGGAGCTGCCCTTACAAAATCCAGATGTTGAATTCTGATGGAAGCAGCTTCATATCTGAAGGTGTCAGACCGGCTGGACATGCAGTGGTAACACTGAATTCAGTAGCCGAAGTCTGCCCTCTGACGGTCGGATCTTCGGCCCAAAGAGCTGAGCTAATAGTTCTCACTAGAGCTAATACTTCTCACTAGAGCATTGCTCTTGGCCAGAGGAAAATCAGTAAACATCTATAATGACTTAAGGTATGCTTTTGCCACTTTGCATGCCCATGGAGCCATATATAAGGAAAGAGGATTATTAGCTACTGAAGGAAAGGAAATCAAAAATAAAAAGAAAGTACAGCAGCTCTCAGAAGCCATATGGGCTCCAAAAGAAGTAGCAGTCATCCATCGCAAAGGGCATCAAACAGGAGGAGGTGATGAGGCTAGAGGAAACAGAAAGGGGGACAGAGAAGCCAAAGGAGCTGCAATGACAGAGGTAACTAAGATGGAAGAGGAAACCCTTACCATGCCTTTACTGGAGCTTTCCCTTATGGAACCCCCTAAGTACTCCTTTAATGAAAAGGCTTCGTTTGAGCAGGAGAGTGTAAGTTACCAGAAAGGAGGTTGTCAGAAATTCTCAGATGGGAGGTTTACCATACCAGAAGTAATACCCCCCGGTTCATAAAGCAGTTTCATCACGGAATGCATGTGAGAAAAACTGCATTAGAGACTCTTGCAGGACAGCCTTTCTATGTGCCACGCCTAACTGCCATCACTAGAGCCATTTGTGAGCAATGTTTAACTTGTGCCCAAAACAATCCACAGCAGGCCAACAAGGCCCCCAGGGATTCAAGAAACTGGAGCTACACCCTGTGAAAACCTCTTTGTGTACTTTACCAAGCTGCCTCAAGCCAGAGGCTACCGGTATATGCTAGTGTTTGTCTGCAGTTTCTCAGGGTGGGTCGAGACATTTCTCACTAGGACAGGGAAAACTCGGGAAGTAACGAAGATCTTATTAAAGGACATTATTCCTAGATTTAGGCTGCCTCTAATTTCAGGATCAGACAGTGGTCCAGCACTTGTGGCAGAGATAGTACAATAGCTAACACAGATGTTAAAAACCAAATGGAATCTGCATATAGCTTATCACCCACAAAATTCTGGAAAAGGTGAAAGAATTAACTGGACACTTAAACAGCTGTTAAAGAAGTTTTGCCAAGAAACTCATCTAAGATGGGATCAGGTGCTGCCCATGTTCCTTCTCCAAGTCAGGCGCACCCCTACTAAATTAACTGGGTATTCACCCTATGAGATAGTGTTCGGCCAACCACCCCCAATCATAACTCAGTTAAAAGGGGATTTAAAAGAAATTGGGAAATTAACCTTAAGAAGATAAATGCAAGCCTTAGGTGAGGACATGCAGGAAACAGAAGGGTGAGTAAGAGAAAGAATACCTCTTAGCCTCAGAGATGCAATACATCCCTTCCAACCGACTCTGTCTGCATCAAATGATGGAACCCAGCCATCTTCGAGCCTTTATGGGATGGTCCCCATACTGTGACCTTATCTACCCCCACTGCTGTTAAAGTTGCAGGTATCACACCTCGGGTTCATCATAGCCAGCTGAAACCAGCAGTGACCGCAACTCAGGACCAGTGGCCCAGTCAACAAAACCCAGACCACCTGACATGGATGATCCTGAGGTGAAACTAAGCCACTGCTGACAAGGACAACTGCCCTACGCTGACCACACCAGAGGCTGGTTGGTCCACACACGGCTGAACCTTAAGGAAACATCAAGCCATGCTCTTGTCACACATCCAGAAGCTGGCTAGTCTACGCATGGCCGAAGCCTGAGGAAGTCAACAACACAAAAGTAAATGTGGATTTAATTTACAAGCATACTGGATTGAATTTACAAGCATAGTTAATACTCGTACCTGTACTGATTATTTTACTGTCATGTTATCTTTGCAAATGCTGCCAAGGTTGTTACCCAGAAGGGTGCTCACGCATAGTATAAGTTTAATCATGTTAGTAATATTGAAGCCACTGACACTTGCACCTATGGTTACAAAAGGGGACCAAGATGACTGTCATCACTGCATGATAGAAGCCTGGTCCAGAAAAGGTATGACTAAAACTATGTTTTGCCAGACCTACTATAAGTGTACAGGGACTCATACAGGAATTTGTGTCTATAACCAGACTAGTTACTCAGTCTGTGATCCCAGAAATGGGCAGCCCCAAGTATATTAAGACCCAGAGTTCGTGCCCTAGAACTTCTGAAGTCCAAACTGGTGAACCCCTAATGCCATCATATACAAACCCCACAGAAATCAGGGTCAGTAAACCTGTAAACAAAAAAGAAGTATTCCCTCACTCGCATAAAGGCCCTGTCTCCATATATTTTGATGCCTGCCAAGCTTCACATCTCAGCAAACTAAATAATATTGGGACCATCTGTAAAAATCTAGGACAAGAAAGAGTCAGCCAGCAGAGCCACCAAGGCCATAACAGAAGAATCCAAAAAGGAGTGCCCTGATTGTGATAATCAGTGGACCACACGTGAATTTATCAGCACCTATACACAGGAAGTGTTGCTCTGTTTGCCAGCCAAGAGGTGAAGATAGGGTGCACAACTGGAACTTGCAACCCACTCAATCTGACAATACTAAAGCCAAATAAGCCTTTCTGGACTGAAAGGCATAAATTTAGGGCTATTAACCTTTGATCAGGCAAGAAATCTCCTAGGACTTGGTATTCCTCTGGTCATTACCAGGAAAACCCAAAGGATCCAAGTTCAAGTTAGCCCAATGCAACACTTTAGGTTTTATACATCTTTCAATGAACACTTTAATCCTGAAGTATCAAAAAATCAAATTCCTCCTATATCAGCTGAAAACCTGTTTGCTCAGCTAGCTGAAAGTATTGATAACAATTTAGGAGTTACTGTATGTTATATATGTGGAGGTACTAATATGGGAGATCAATGGCCCTGGGAAGTTAAAGAATTGATGTCACAAGAAAATTTTACCTTGCCTGATTTTGTTACACAATTCAATGCAAACCAAGCATTTGGCTACTAAGGAACCTCATCATTGGAAAATCTTGTTATCACCTGTTGGGACAAGGCCTTTCAGAACCAGGTAGGGGAAGCAACTTGCCTAGGTCAACAACATTTTGAAGAATCCGAGAAGAGAACACAATGGAGAAGCTTTACAGACAATTCTTCTGTGTCAGACTTTAATCGCTTTTTGCAGTTCCCAGCACTAAATCAATCATGGTACCAATTAGATGCTCCAAGTGTTTGGAGAACACGTGCAGGGTTATATTGGATCTGTGAAACAAAGGCTTATCAATTACTACCCCATAAATGGACAGGACCATGTGTATTAGGAACAATAAGGCCATCCTTTTGCCTACTCCCACTGCAGCAAAGGGAAGATCTAAGCTATCTGGTCTATGATGAAGGCAGAAAAAGAATTAGAAGAACTGTGTTTACAAAAACAAATACTGTGGAAAAAATAGAGACTAACATTAAAAAAGACATTAAAATAGGGAGCTAGAAAGATAACGAATGGCCCCCTGAACAAAATTATCAAATACTATGGGCCAGTCACCAGGGCACAAGATGGGTCATTGGGACACTGTATTTCTATTTATATGTTAAACCATAACATATAAATAGGTTAAATCATAAGGTTTCAAGCAGTTCTGGAAATTAGTCAATAAAAGAGCCCGAGCCTTAAGACTTGCTAGCCATACAGGTGACCCAGATGACAGATGTCATTTATCAGAAAAGGTTAGCACTGGATTAATCTTTTAGCTTCAGAAGGAGGAGTTTGTGGAAAACTTAACAAATTGCTGCTTACAAATTGATGACAATGGAAAAGTTGTCATGGAAATCACTGCCAGGATGCAAAAGTTAGCTCATGTTCCGGTCCAGAAGTGCTCTTGTTGCAAACTGAATTCACTCTTTGGAGGATGGTTTTCACAGTTTAGAGGCTTTAAAACTTTAATAATCGGCTTTGTAGCCATAATAGGTGGATGCCTACTGCTTCCCTGTCTCCTGCCACTTCTCATCAGAAGCATCCAATCCACCATAGAAGCAGTAGTAGACAGATACCACCACCCGAATAAAGGCTCTGCAAAGTACCAACTGGTATCCCAGGATGAGTATGTACCCACTCAAGAAGAAATAGTTAACAGTGGTGCTCTTTACTAATCTACATTTGTGCTGAGCACCAAAGGGCAGAAATGAAGAATGAATTAATGATATCAACTATAACTTAATAGTAGTAGTGATAGAAATTTTAAAATCCTCTTAAAGTTGCTGCAAAGTGTGAACCTCCTTACACTCAAGTTAAAAGAGAAAACAGCCTGTCTTCTTTCTGCGGTCAGTGGATCTTATCTATACTCCCCAACTTCACATTCCTACAAGTCCAGTGAGTTCCTGCTTACCTCCCTAGCACTGCTGCAGGAGCAGAAGATCAAGAAGTTTAGGTTGCAAGTTTAGGTTACAAGTTTTTCTCAAGATGTAACAAATGTCCTAATGCTTGATTAACTGCCTGTGTTTCTGGCTTCTGTAACTTGCTTCCCAACTCACGTAGCTCCTGACTTAAGATGTTTAAAATGAGGAAAAGTCCTTTGGTCGGGGCTCAGATTTTCTGGACGTATGTCTGGCTGAGCCGGTGATCATCTTAATAAATTCTCCTGAACATTTTTCATTCTCTCCAGTCTTTGATTGTCCTGCAACAATGCCACTCATAAAAATAAGAAACCATTCTTGTAATATTGAAGATAATAAAATGTTACTTCCTGTAATCATGGCAAAGAGCATTACTCAGAGTTACAGATAACAGTATGGTAAAATTGTAACTATTTCATTTAGGTGTAATCTACACGCAAGAAGCTGCACATATTTAAAGTGTAAAATTTGGTTTTGATATTTGTATATGCCTGTGACCACCTCCATCTGAAGGTACTAAACATTTCTATTAGTCACAAAGAGTTCCTGTACCCCACTTGCATCCCACGCAACCCTGCACTCTTAACCTTTTTCACTTGCCGATTGGTTTGTACAGAGTTTTATATTAATGGAACCATACACCAAAACTCTTGGCTTGGTTGGTTTCTTTGGCTTTTTTTTTCCTTTTGGCAATTTCTTTCTAATACAGTGCTTTGATTCTACACTTTCTTTTCTACTGCACTAGGCAAAATTAAATCTATTACAAAATTATCCTTTAGTGAGACTTAACTCCCAAGTTGTCTACTGCCAGTGAACCTACAATTCTTAGAAATTTCTTCAGCAGGAAGACAAAGAGGGTGGGGCTTTTGCGCAAGTGTTACCCCAAACCAAAATCTCCACTCATTTAAGGATTCATAGTCTTTATTATCCTCCCATTTATCCTGGAGAGATTACTTGAGGATGCACACAGGAAAGAAAATAACACAAAGAAGAAACATGTAACACTAAGCCAGAAACAGTAGCACTAATCCAGCAATCAGTTCCAATTACATTAGAAAGTCAATAGGCTGCAAGAATGTCTCCATGATAAAACTTAATTTATCTTAATAAATAGTATGAGACTAATAAGTTAATAAGGTAATGCCACAGATTTATTCTGCAACATAAAAAGGCAAGTAGAAAACACTGGGAAAGCAGAGTGAGGAGGGGAAAGAATTGAGGAGGGAAATGATGACACAAACGCAGGCTGGAGTGAGACATCATTCTGTTCAGATCGTAACAGGTAATAATAATAATAATAACCTACTTAATCTTAACTCTAAAACAATTATCTAGCCATAAATAGTAAGTGACATGATTCAACTTCCCTCTCCTAGGTCTTTGCACATCAAGTGGAAACTGTAGGAAACAATATTTTAATAATCACAATACTGTCAATGCAAATTACCTGGATCTTTTCAATTCTAGCTACTGACAAACATTTAAAAGTGGTTAAAATGATAAATGAACACTGGTGGACAAACAACCTTCTAAACACAAAACAAAGCCTGCAAGTGCATAAAGGAAATTATATATTTTAAGAAGAGAAAACACACAGGCTGGGCACAGTGGCTCACGCCTGTAATCCCAGCACTTGGGGAAGCCTAGGAGGGGTGGATAATTTGAGGTCAGGAGCTCCATACAAGCCTGGCCAATATAGTGGAAACCTGTCCCTACTAAAAATACAAAACAAAACAAAACAAAACAAAATAATAATTAGTCAGTCATGGTGGCACACACCTGTGGTCTCAGCTACTTGGGAGGCTGAGGCATAAGAATTGCTTAAAGCCAGGAGGTGGAGGTTGAAGTGAGCAGAGATCATGCTACTGCACTCCAGCCTGGGTGACAGACTCAAACTCCATCTCAAGGAAAAAACAAACAAACAAAAAATTTGCAGAGATACACAATTTCTAATATGAGAAGAAAACCCATAACATAGTGCTGAATAAATATTCTACTAGAAAAAAAAAAAAAATATATAACATTATCCAACCATGTAAGAATGTGGCCAGGGGAAGGTACTATTACAAAGGATTTATACCAAAATGTTCATAATAGCCAGTGCACACTGGCAGGTTATGAGGGTTTTTCTTCCACTTTGTGATTTATGTATTATTTTAAATGCACATATTACTATTAAGAATCAGGAATAAAAACTGACGTCCACCTTTTTTTTTTTTCCTTTTTCTGAGACAGAGTCTCACTCTGTCGGCCAGGCTGGAGTGCCGCGGCACGATCTCGGCTCACTACAACCTTGGACTCCCAGACTCAAGCAATTCTTCTGCCTCCGCCTCCCGAACAGCTGGGACTACAGGCGTGTGCCACCATGCCCGGCTAATTTTTGCATTTTTAGTAGAGTCGGGGTTTCACCATGTTGGCCAGGCTGGTCTCGAGCTCCTGACCTCATATAATCCATCCGTCTTGGCCTCCCAAAGTGCTGGGATTACTGGCTTGAGCCACTGCACCCAGCCAACGTCCACCTCTTTTTTAAAGGAATGCCGCCTAAGGAAGGGAAGGGACATCTAAACTTGGCAGAACGGCAGGTATCCAGGCTCTGCAAGGCAGTCACAGGCCGGTGGAGGCTAGTCTTCTCAGCAGGTAGATCCCTGCTGACAAGCAAATTCTCAATACACAAATACCTGTTTGTTTTAGTTTAATTATAATTTGAAATGTCACATAATTTGTTTCATCCACAAGGAACTTAATATTTCTCAGTAAAAATTAATCAAGGATTTCTACAGGCCATGTTGTGGCAACTAATATGAGACTTGCCCTCCCACAAAAACAATTATAAATCTTGTCAATAGTAAATGGACAATATTTATAAAATACCTGTTTTCAGAGATTAGATACTGTGACCTCAGGGAGAAGAGAAACAAAGCCACGTGTCCCACATAAGCCCAGCTTCCTACATAAAAAATTTTAACATTTTATAGGGCAGAAGCCAGGTGGAGGGACGCAGCTGCTCTGAATTTAGAAGGCTGAGGCCAGAATTTAGGGAAACTGACAGCATTTGCAAAATACTGAAAAGGGGCAAGGAAGAAAAAGAATTGCAGAAATACGCAAAGTGTCCTACTTGAGTATTACTGAGTGCTAGTATGCACACCATACAGGATAAGATTATGTCTGGCCAGGTAAAGGATAACCAGTTAAGATCAACCTGAGCCACCCGCAGAGACTACAGAGTTGGAGAGAGATCAAGTTTTGACTAGCCAGAGTTTAGAGGCATCTCTGAACCAGCAAGGATTTCAGTAGATATCAGAAGAATCCCAGCAGGATCATGCTCTAGTAATAGGATTAAATTAGCATTACAATAAAGCAGCCCACTCTAACAAAGTTTAAGAACAAGCCTTGAAGAGATCAAGTTGACCCACAAGTTGCTAAACTAATTTAATAAAGATCAAGATGTTTTAAAGACAAAAATAAAAATTTCAGACATTAAATATAACATTTATATACTCAGTATGGGCCTATTACAAAGGGCAACAAATTTTAAACAGAAACACACCCTAAAATGACATAGACAATGGACTTAACAGACACAAAATTAAGCATTATAAACTGCTGAAATATTTAAATGAAGCCATATACATATTAGGAAAGAATTAAAAAGGTATTTAAACAAGAACAATGAGAGAAACCCATGCAACATCCAGTGATTACAACACCTGGAATAAAAAAATGCATTGGGAGGGCTTAACAGCAGACTAGATACTAAAAAAGACAAATATCACTGAATTTAATGACAGAGGAGAAGAAACTATCAAAATGAAATTATGGAAGGAAAAAAAAAAGACTGAGAAAAAAGTAAAAGAGCTTCAATGACATGTGGGAACATCAAGTGGTCTAATATTTAGTGTTATGTCCCAGATAGAGGAGTTTGGGCAGAAGGAAATAAATTAAACATAAAGGCTGAAAATCTTGAAACTGGATAAAAACCATGAAACTCCAGATACAAGAAGCCTGGCAAATGGAATCAAGACAAATCAAAACACATCCTACCTAAATTTCTGAAAGCCAGTCAAAACAGGAAAAACTTTCAAAATACCCAGAGAGAAAGGCACAGAGGATAAAGAAGAGGCATGGTAAGAATGCCTGCACAGATTTTTTCGGGGGACTACAGAAGCCATAAAAGTTCTGAAAGGCAGAGATACAAAATAAAGACTGTCAAATGAAAACTTCAAAATATTTTTCAAAGATGAAGGCAAAATAAAGACAATTTTCCAAGAAACAAACCTGAGATAATCTCTAGCAGACTTCACTACAAGACATGTTGAAAGAAGTTCTTAGTACTAAAGGAAAATGGCAGGGAATGGAATCCTCGATCAACCACAAGAAAGAGGAGTCTCAGAACAGGTAAACAGACAGGTAAATGCAAGATTACTTTCATTTTTTACTATCTTTAAAATATGCTTAACTACTTTAAACAAAAAATAGTAATGCACCATATGTCTGATAATACGTAGAAGTAAGATACACAACAAATACAAAGGATGGGAAGGAAGCTGTGGACATCTACTGTGCACGACTTTGACACCATAAGTGACACAGAAAAAAGATTGTGATAAGTTAAAAACATATTGGAAACATGACAAGGACACAAAGCAGAAAAATGCACATAGCCAATTAGCCAATAATAATTAAATGGAAATATAACACAACACCCAAGAAGAAGAAAAGAAATAAAGGACTGGGATAAGTAGAAGCTAAACAGTAAAATGATTGACTTCAGTTCAACCATGTTAATGATTACAATAAATGGACACCATAAAAATGCAGCAATTCTTAGAATAAAAAAGCAGTAGCTACCTTTATTATGTTAAGAAACACATTTTAAATTCAAAGAAACAGATACATAAAACATAAAATTATGGATAAAGATATATCATGTAAACACTAATCAAAAAAAGAGCCAGAGTTACCACAGTAGGAAAGGAAAATGTAGATTGTCTCAACAAAGGATACTACCGGGAATAATGAAAAAAGGTCAATTCAAGAAAATACAGTAATTTGGAATGTGTATGCACCCAGTAACAGTGCTTCAATATATGTAAGGAAACAACTAACAGATTCAAAAGGAGAAATAGTTAAATTTACAAAAACTATGAGATCTTAAAAGTTTTTTCATGTGTTTTTTGGCTGCATAAATGTCTTCTTTTGAGAAGTGTCTGTTCATGTCCTTCGCCCACTTTTTGATGGGGTTGTTTTTTTTTTTTTTCTTGTAAATTTGCTTGAGTTCATTGTAGATTCTGGATATTAGCCCTTTGTCAGATGAGTAGGTTGCGAAAATTTTCTCCCATTTTGTAGGTTGCCTGTTCACCCTGATGATAGTTTCTTTTGCTGTGCAGAAGCGCTTTAGTTTAATTAGATCCCATTTGTCAATTTTGTCTTTTGTTGCCATTGCTTTTGGTGTTTTGGACATGAAGTCCTTGCCCATGCCTATGTCCTGAATGGTAATGCCTAGGTTTTCTTCTAGGGTTTTTATGGTTTTAGGTCTAATGTTTAAACCTTTAATCCATCTTGAATTGATTTTTGTATAAGGTGTAAGGAAGGGATCCAGTTTCAGCTTTCTACATATGGCTAGCCAGTTTTCCCAGCACCATTTATTAAATAGGGAATCCTTTCCCCATTGCTTGTTTTTCTCAGGTTTGTCAAAGATCAGATAGTTGTAGATATGCAGCGTTATTTCTGAGGGCTCTGTTCTGTTCCATTGATCTATATCTCTGTTTTGATAACAGTACCATGCTGTTTTGGTTACTGTAGCCTTGTAGTATAGTTTGAAGTCAGGTAGTGTGATGCCTCCAGCTTTGTTCTTTTGGCTTAGGATTGACTTGGCGATGCAGGCTCTTTTTTGGTTCCATATGAACTTTAAAGTAGTTTTTTCCAATTCTGTGAAGAAAGTCATTGGTAGCTTGATGGGGATGGCATTGAATCTCTAAATCACCTTCGGCAGTATGGCCATTTTCACGATATTGATTCTTCCTACCCATGAGCATGGAATGTTCTTCCATTTGTTTGTATCCTCTTTTATTTCATTGAGCAGTGGTTTGTAGTTCTCCTTGAAGAGGTCCTTCACATCCCTTATAAGTTGGATTCCTAGGTATTTTATTCTCTTTGAAGCAATTGTGAATGGGAGTTGACTCATGATTTGGCTCTCTGTTTGTCTGTTGTTGGTGTATAAGAATGCTTGTGATTTTTGTACATTGATTTTGTATCCTGAGACTTTGCTGAAGTTGCTTATCAGCTTAAGGAGATTTTGGGCTGAGACAATGGGGTTTTCTAGATATACAATCATGTCATCATCACTGGCCATCAGAGAAATGCAAATCAAAACCACAATGAGATACCATCTCACATCAGTTAGAATGGCAATCATTAAAAAGTCAGGAAACAACAGGTGCTGGAGAGGATGTGGAGAATTAGGAACACTTTTACACTGTTGGTGGGACTGTAAACTAGTTCAACCATTGTGGAAGTCAGTGTGGCGATTCCTCAGGGATCTAGAACTAGAAATACCATTTGACCCAGCCATCCCATTACTGGGTATATACCCAAAGGACTATAAATCATGCTGCTATAAAGACACATGCACACGTATGTTTATTGCGGCATTATTTACAATAGCAAAGACTTGGAACCAACCCAAATGTCCAACAATGATAGACTGGATTAAGAAAATGTGGCACTATACACCATGGAATACTATGCAGCCATAAAAAATGATGAGTTCATGTCCTTTGTAGGGACATGGATGAAATTGGAAATCATCATTCTCAGTAAACTATGGCAAGAATAGAAAACCAAACACCGCATATTCTCACTCATAGGTGGGGATTGAACAATGAGATCACATGGACACAGGAAGGGGAATATCACACTCTGGGACTGTGGTGGGGTGGGGGGAGGGTGGAGGGTGGAGGGATAGCATTGGGAGATATACCTAATGCTAGATGACAAGTTAGTGGGTGCAGCGCACCAGCATGGCACATGTATACATATGTAACTAACCTGCACAATGTGCACTTGTACCCTAAAACTTAAAGTATAATTAAAAAAAAAAAAGAAAAAAAAGTTTTTTTCAGTAGTTAAGAGAACAAATGGTAGAAAACAGGTAAAATTATAAAGCTTTTAAACCACAGTTTCCATCAATTTGACTGAATGGACATTTACAGAACATCCACACAACAACAGAGCAAAGACTCTTTTTAAGCTCACATGGAATACTGACTCAGAGAGTTCATATGCGGGGCCATGTCACAAGTTTCAATAAATATGAAAGGATTGAAATAGAACAGAATATGTTCTGTGATCATAATAGAATTAAATAAATTACAAGACATTGGGAAAATCCCTAGCTATCTGACACATAACAATGTATTTCCAAATAATCAACGGTTAGAAAAAAAAATCATTAAAGGAAATTGAAAATATTTTTAACTAAATGACAATGAAAATGTGGTATATCAAAATTTGTGTGACACAGGTAAATAATGCTTAGAAAGAAGTTTACAGGTCTAAAATTTATAAATAGAAAATAAGATATAAAAATCAAAGGACTAACTTCCACTTTAAGAAAATAACAAAAATTAAACATAAACTATGCGGAATGAAGGAAATAAAAAGCAGAAATCAATAACAGAGAAAATGAACAGACAATGTCAATGAAACCAAAAACAACTGCTTTGAAATGATCACTAAAATAGAGACAGGATATAAATTACCCATGTTAGGAGTGAAAGAAGGAAGCCAACAAGGGCTAAAAAATAATAATGGAATAGTATAAACTTTATGCCATTAATGTTGTCAACATATAAAATGAACCAATTTTCTGAAAAACGAATTTCCAATGAACAAGAAAATCTAACTCTATACCAAAGAAATTCAATTCACAATCAAATGTTTTCCCAAAAAGTAAATTCTTGGATTAGATCATTTCAAGAGTGAATTTTTTCAACATTTAAAAAATAAATAAGACAAATTTTATGCCAACTATTAAAAATATTACAGGAGGCTTTAAAAAAAATCCCCAACTTACCTCTAGACATCAAACTAAAGACAATAAAAAAGCCAATACAGATCCATCTATTTCATGAATATGAGCACCAAACGTCCTGAACAAAATATCAGCAAATCTAACACTGTGACATATGAAAGATACTCAGCATGACTCCATGAGGTTTATGCCAGTAACACAAGGTTGGCGTGACTAATATGAAATCAAAATACCGTACCATATTAATAGATAAAGGAAAAAATTGTTACAGTATCTCTACAGATACAGAAAAGCTTTGGAAAAATCTAACACTTATTCATGACAAAAGCCCTCAGAAAACTAGGACTAGAAAGAATTTCCTCATCCAGAGAAACAAAACAGGACACATGACCAAGAGGACATGCAGACAGACAGCAAAACAAGCACGTGAAACAATGTTCAGCACAATTAGCCATCACAGAAACACAAACTGCAACCACAATAAGATGTCACTGCACACCTGTCAGAATGACTAAAATAAAAACTGATGACTGAATATGGCAAAAACACAGAGAAACCAGATCAATCATCTGGTGCCGGTGAGGATATGTAAAAGTACAGCCACTGTGGAAAATAGTTTGACAGCCCCTTTGAAAGCTACACTGTGTGATCCAGGAACTGCTGCATGCACACACACCCCAGCACCATTCTCAGATAAGGAGGTGCTGTTCCCTGACATATGACTTCACGATTTAACAGCTGCCTGGTTTTCCTTACCCCCAGGGAAGCAGGTAAAAGGCAACTGTCAACAGGGAAGAGTCAATGCCAAGCCCAGCATCTCCATCTGCTCAGTAGAATCTTATTTCCTTCATTCACTGACCATACAGAAATGTAAAATGTCATAACTCTGAAAATATAAATTATGCATAGTATCCTACATAATTTAAATAAACAATCACAGAGCATTTGGAATTAAAAACCCGTGAAAACAAATCATCTGAGTAGCACCTCACTGCCTGGCTTTGACCAACAAGCCTGACTAGATCAGCAGACTTTGAACAATTTTCAAACAGAACTTCTGACTTGAAGACTAATGGAGCTTATGTGACATACAGAGAGAAAAGAGAAGAAAGAAAA
Source organism: Homo sapiens (assembly GCF_000001405.40). Lineage (NCBI taxonomy): Eukaryota > Metazoa > Chordata > Mammalia > Primates > Hominidae > Homo > Homo sapiens. The sequence goes on from NC_000024.10 coordinate 19,012,339, forward strand.
ACATTTCTATGTTCCTGAGAAAGAAAAAATTAAAAACAGAATATTCATTTGCAAATATCTGGTTTTACTGATTTGAAATTCTACACTTGCAGACATGTAACTTCAAGTTGGCAAGCATCAATACGAAATGGCAAAAGGGAGGGCAAACAGTCAAATTAGAAATAAAAATTTCTGGCCGGGTGTAGTGGCTCATATCTGTAATCTCAGTACTTTGGGAGATGAAGGTGAGAGGATTGCTTGAGGCCAGGAGTTCAGGACCAACATGGGCAATACCACAAGACCCCATCTCTACAAAAAACCTTAAAAATTAGCTTGGCGTGGTGTGCACCTGTACTATCTACTCAAGAGGCTGTGGAGACAGCATCACTTGAGTCCGGGAGTTTGAGGCTGCAGTGAGCTATGACCATATCACTATATTCCAGTCCAGGTAACAGTGACAATCTGTCTCTTAAAAAATAAAATAAATTGAAAAAGAAAAGGGACATTAAGAAGAGCAGGAGGTGAAATAGAGGGAGAGAGAGGGCCAGGAGAGGGAGGAAGAGGAGGAAGAAGAGGAGAAAGAGGAGAAGAAAGAAAACCTAAATTCGAGGAAACTCCAGAATTACCTAAAACTGAATAATGTGCTAAGCTATCACAGAAACTATTTTGGCATAATTCTGAATGAACCTACATAAGGAATAAAGAAATTGCAAAACAAATTCTCAATGCATTAAATAAATTAGCTGGTCTAAACAGAAACAGATGTGAAACCTGGAAACTACTATTAAAAATAAAAGAATGCAGTAGTCTCGATGCTGCTCACCCCCAGAGCCAGCAGCCATTGCATGCAGCTCTTTGCCACTTTCAGCTTCCACTAAGTTTCACCATCTAGTTTATCAGTTCTAATAAAACATGAACCTTGGAAGTAGGGAACAAAAATTTACCACTCTTGAATTGTGTTAGAGAAGGTTTTTCCTGAGCTACAGGTGCTATTAAAGCATAATTCCAAGGCACAGTGGGACAAAGAAATAACAATCTAGATATTCCCACGAACAAAACTCCTTAAAAACCTTTTTTTTACACAATCTTCCTTGATTCACAGAACGAGTCTGCTGAAAAGATGTAGGTCATTTAATTTTTTTTAGTTAATCATTTATTTTCTATTTTCTGTTCTTGCCTATCAAGGTTTAACATTAATCAGTCTATTTTACAAAAACTAGAGTGATTGTTGCTACTTTCAATCCATGTTTTGATTAAGAACAGAAACAGAAAAACATGCAAGAGTGTGTGATACAGTCTTGCTAATAAAAATATCAGGCAGGTGGATCATGAAGACAGGAGTTTGAGACCAGCCTGACCAACATGGTGAAACCCCATCTCTACTAAAAATACAAAAATTAGCCAGGCATGGTGGTGCACACCTGTAATCCCAGCTACTCAGGAGGTTGAGGCAGGAGAATTGCTTGAATCCAGGAGGCAGACATTGCAGTGAGCCAAGATCATGCCATTGCACTCCAGCCTGGATGACAGAACGAGACTCTGTCTCAAAAAAAAAAAAAAAAAAAAAAAAAAATCAGATTTACCATCAATCATCATAAAAAAAAGTTCAATCATAAAACGACAGCTATAATACTAAGATCCAGGTGTTTTTACCATATGCTCACAGGCCTATTTAGTTTCAAACATGGAAAAATATTCTATTACAAAAATCCATTGCTCTTTGACCATGCCATCATCCTACTTCTCAGAATCTATTCTAATAACGGAAGAGCAAAAGCAAAAGATGACACACAAGACTGCTTCTTGCAGGATTATTTATAACAACAGAAGATTTTTGTGAAACAAAGGGGGAACAAACAGTACTAGCTGAATGAAGCAGAGCAAATGCAGCAGTAAAGACAGAGAAAGGAAGAAAGGACAGCAAACATGATGACCTCAAGGTATTGTTATGGAAATATCTCAAGGATATAGACAGTGAAATGGAGATTGCAAGGTGCAGCACATATATGTAGAAAATACATTATAGTTAAGAACAAGGGAAGGAGAAAATTTGTGTATGTTCATACATATCCGTATGCATGTATAACTTTGTATATGTGCATGTTCATCAGTGTATGGATATGCATCCGTGTATTTGTGTGTGCATATTCAGCGTGTGCATGAGTGTCTAATCTGCATTGTGTGATGTGTGTGTGCAAGCATATCTGTATGTGCACATGCACATGTATGTTTGTGTACATGGGAATCTGTGTGTGTATAACTGTGCATACGAGCACCTGAGGATCTGTTCGTGTGTGTGCATATTGGTGTGTGAACATTTATGTGTGGATGAAAGTGTGCCTGCTTATCCGTGCATGCATCTGTGTATGTTAGGGCATGCAAATCTGTTCCTATTTGTGCCTGTGAGTGCATCTGTGTGTCTGCAAGTGCTTCTGTGTGTGTCCACATATATCTGTCCAGACATGTATGTGTGCGTAATACCTACAGAGGGAGGAAGGGGACAGGAACAGATGCTAGGCCTTCTGAATATTTCTTATTTTATACTGTTCACTTTGAAATAAGATACATTTTGTCCAGGTGCGGTGACTCACGCCTATAATCCCAGCACTTTGGGAGGCCAAGGTGGGTAGATCACTTGAGGTCAGGAGTTCAAGGCCAACCTGACAAACATGGTGAAACCCTGTCTCTACTAAAATACAAAATTAGCCAGGCGTGGTGGCACACGCAGGTAATCCCAGCTACTTGGAGAGAACTGCTTAAATCTGGGAGGCTGAGATTGCAATGGGCGTAGATTGCACCATTGTGCTCCACTCTAGGCGACAAGAGCGAAACACCATCTCAAAAAAAAAAATTTATATATATATATATATATATATGTACACATTTCATATAATTAAAAAGTCAATTACACCAAACTTTTTAAACTCCTAAAAAATAAAAAGCAGCATATATTATTTGGAGGTTAATCAAAGAGAAAATTTATCCAAGTGACTTTTGAGGTTTCAGAGTTTTTTTTTTTTTTTTTTTCCTTTTTTAGGGCCCCTTCTGTCACTCAGGTTGGAGTGCAGTAGAGTGATCGTGGCTCACTTTAACCTCAACTTCCTGGGCTCAAGCAATTCACTTGCCTTAACCTCTTAAGTAGTTGGAACTATAGGTATGTGTCACAATGCCTGGCTAATTATTTTCAATTTTTGAACAAATGGGGTCTCGCTATGTTGCCCAGGCTGGTCTCAAACTTTTGGACTCAACCAGTCCTCCCACTTCAGTCTCCCCAAGTACTGGGATTACAGGTATAAGCCATGCTTGGCACCCAGCCAGAAAAATTTTAATTATAAAATAAAATAGTTCAAAATACTACACAAGTGTAGGTATGCCTAGAAAGTTATTACAAGGCAAATACTCTCTAAACAACCGCAAGGTCCCCTAGGAGACCCTCCAGTGTTCCAACCTGAACACAGTCCCCTCTTCTTTCCCAAGATGGATCACTTCCACCTCCTTGATTTGCATAAGAGTTTATGCCCAAATGGACACCTTCAGACACTAGAGCTGAGTTCTGCCCATCCTCGCTATCTTCAAAGTCATGTTTAATCTATAGGTCCCCTTCACCTCTACCTCTGATTCGCCTGCTGAAAGGCCTTCATTTGGTTGTCTGCATACTTGTGGTCCAGGGTGACTGGCTCTTACATCCACCTGGAGCCCAGCCTATGCTCCAGCTGGCCCTCAGCAACACAGCAATGCTGCCACCCAGAGGCACTAGGTCCAGGTTCTCCTCTGCTGTTGTGGTGGCCACTCATGCTCAGCACCCAGACAGACACTATATCACTAAAGGATGGAAAGGGAGATGACCTGTCCTCCTTTTTACTTTCAGCTGGAACAGAAGCAAACAGGTCACCTTCTACCCTTTTGGGCTGGGTGTGGTCACACAGTAGAACAGCTCCTGCAGGAAAGGGTGGCTCCCTGTTCCTCTTCACCCACATTTTAAGACAATGAACTGGCACTGCCAACCCCAGATGGTGACCAGTGGGGTGAGCTCCAGTATTTCATGAGTTTCAATACAATGTGATTAATAATAATACCAACTGTTATTACTATGGGATAATATAATTAGAATGTTAAATATTATAATGTAATAACAACAATTATTATTATTACAGAATCTCATATTGTCCCATGATTGGCCAATGGGAATCATTTCATGTGGTGCTTTAGCACTGGCAACATGAACCTAGTAGACTTTGGTGATTTCACTGCAATCTGATATTGTAAGATGCTCATTGCTACTGTACTGGACATTGTTTCGAGGTATTTTCAGTAGACAGAGCAAGAAGAGAGCGAGGGGGAGAGAGAACTAACAAACATAAGTTAACTCGTGAGTTCCTACTGACATTGCCAATTCCAAGTCAATACACAGGATGTTTTATTTAGCCTCTTCTATCCTACAGCTGCATGTCCTTTCTTTCATATTGAGAATCCTGATTTTCAAGAACTCGGGGGAAGACAGAATTAGATTTCTAACAGGCTCTGTGGCTGTGGGTGGTGTGTTTGGATCTGCCAGCATTTTGAGCTTTGTAGAGCAAAGTGATAATTTCATTTTATAGTAAATGCTGTCTAGGGGTTCTTGGCTCTAACTAGTTGCTTAGTCTCTCCTCTTAGATATACATGTTAATTTAAAAATCAACAATCTTATTGAGATCTAATGGCCACACAATAATCCTCATGCTTAACATATAAAATCTGATGTGTTATGGCGCATGTGCACATCTGTGAAACCACCATTAACATCATGACATCTCCATAATCATGAAGGTATATACACGCCCTCTTCTGCTGACTGCAGGTGTGTAGCAATCTGCTTTATGTTGCCAGCTCTGTTGCTGTTGTTGCAAGGATTTGGGAACGTATGACAACTGTTGCACAACCATCTCCAAGGATTTGAGAACTGCATATGACTTAATAGACAGAAACTGAACTGTACCTTCTAGTGGGACATATCCTAAGGGAAAAAAAATTACAAATTTTAAATAACCTTCCATTACCATAACATTCATGTTCACGTTAGTGCTGTAATACGGAAACACATATACACATATGCAAGCATGAGCTGCCATCACTTTGCACAGTTAACATGGGAACATAAACATGACCATTTAAGCTAAATCCATGCAGTGTAATCTTAATAATTAAAGGGAAAATGGCAGTCATTTCATGGCTATTAAAAACTTGTCAGAAGACTGAAACTTTCTTCCTGTCAATTATAAATGTATGTAGAGACAAAAAGAATACAACTAGTGTTCACTGAGTACACTGTAATTTAAACAGTGGAAACACTGAAAGTAAGTGTCTTCTTTCTTAAAATCTTACAGAAGTTTGAACACAACTTGCCTCCTCCTCATCACACAATTTATGATACAAAGAGAGCATCTTCTCAAGGCTTGGGCACTGCCATGTGGCCATGGAAACTTGAGATGAGCTTACATTGTGCACTGTAGAGGCTTTCAGTGTCATGAAACACACCTGAGAATTCCTTTAATGTGAAATTTTTTGTTGGCATCACTTCCTTCAGGACAGCTTAATCTTTTTCAGCACAATGATTTTCCCCATTTATGTCAGTAAGTTCAACTTCACTCAATTCCTCTGGTTTGACAGCGGCCTGAAGGGCAGCGGTGTGAACAATCCATTCACTTTCCCCCAGCTTCCTTCAAAGCCATGATTGCACCTTGCATTCCAGCCTGAGTGACAGAGTGAGACCCTGTCTCACACACACACATACATGAAAAAGGTGAAAGGGTAATAAGAATATACACTGTCTTAACATAAATCTAAGAAAGTAGGAAGGACTATATTAATATTAGAACAAACAGACTTCAGAACAAAAAAAAAATTAGCACAGACAAGAAATTTACAGAAAAATAAAAAGGTATGGTAATCCTAAATGTGTACACACCAAACAAAAAAAAATCTAAAAAAACTTGTGTAGCACAAACTGATTGAACTGAAAAGAAAATCAGGTAAATTAACATTTACACTTAAAGGCTTCAATATCCTTCTCTTGACAATTAATAGAACAATGAGAGAGAAAGCAAGGATATAAAATACAGCAAGGATACAAAATCATCAACCAACAGGATCTAATAATCATTTAAATTTTTTTTCACTCAAACAACAGAAAGCACATTCTTTTCCAGAGCCAGAACACTCCCCCAAAAGAAGTCTCCAGGGCCAAATGTTATCACTGAGAATGTTAGCAATTATACGACACCAAGTGCACAGAGTCTCCTTCAGGAAATAAAAGAAAAGAGAGGGGCCAGGTGAGGTAGGTCATGCTTGTAATCACAGCACTCTTGAGAGGCGAAGTTGAGAGAATCACTCGAGCTAAACAGTTTGAGAACAGCCTGAGCAATATTGATAGGCCCTGTCTCTACAAAACAGTAAAACAATTGGCTGAGCCCAGTGGTGCACACCTGCAGTCCTAGCTACTCAAGAGGCTGAGGCGGGAGGATCACTTGAGCCCAGAAGTTCAAGGCTATGGTGAGCTATCATAGCTATCACTGCATCACTATACTTCAGCCTAGGGGACAGAACAAGACCCTGTCTCTTTAAAAAAAAAAAAAGGAGAGAAGGAAAAGAGAATAATTCCTAATCCATTTTATGAAGCCACTATTTTTTTTTTAATGGAATACTTCACAAATTTGCATTTTATTCTTGTGCAGGGGCCATGTTAATCTTTGTATCATTCCAATATTTAGTATATATGCTGCTGAAGTGAGCACTGTGAGGCTACTATTATCCTCATACCAAAACAAGGGGAAAACAGTACCAGAAAACTACATACATACATCCATAATAAACAGACACAGAAACACAACAGAATATTAATGTACATAATAATGCAAAAATACATAAGAAGAACTATAAATCATGGCCAAGTATGATGTATTCCAGGGGTGCAAGGCTGGGCCATTATTTAAAAATTAATCAATGTAATCTATCATATGAATAGACTTTAGAAGAAAAATCACATCATATAAAATTGAATTTTTAAAAATATTTGACAAAATGCAGAAGATATGTCAACAACTTTCAGAAAGTGTTGCTATTTGTACATAACATGATTTTGTGTATATTTATGTATATATATACACATATATAATTCAAAGAATTCATAAGGTTGCAGATATAAGATAAAAATTAACTATATTTCCATATGTAAGCAATGAATACATGGACACCAAAGTTAGAAATATGCATACCATTTGCAATTGCTTTAAAAAATGAAAAACTGAAATGTAAATTTAATAATATACTCATAGGATTTACATGTGGAAATCTACAAAATGTTGATGAAAGTTATTGAGAGATCTAAACAAATGGAAAGATATAACATGAACTAGACGATTTAAAATAAAGACGTCAATTCCACTCAAAGTGACAAACAGGTTTAACTTAATGACTATCATAGTCCCAGGAAATTTTTTTAAAAAGATATGGGTAAGATTATGCATAGATAGGCAAAGTTGTTTGGAACAGCTAAAACAATGGGGGGGAAAATGAATAAAAAATGGGAGAAATTAGCCCATCAGATTTTAAGTCTAGTCAGATAGCTACAGTAATCAAGATAGTTTGATACGGGAGAAGGAACAGAAACACGGATCAGTGGAATAAAATGGAGAACCTAGAGAGAGTCCCCCCAACATAAAAATATGACAGCTAATTTTGATGCATGCACAAAAGCAATTTATGGAGAACAGAGTCTTTGCAATAAATGATGCTAGAGCATTTGGATATACATAGCCAAACAACCACAAAGCCTTGACCTAAACCTTACATCTTGTACAATAATTACCTTGAAACACATCACAGATCTCACTGTACAACTTTTAGGAAAAGAACACAGAAGAAATACTCAGGGCGTAGGGCTTGATGAATTCCTAGACAGGACATCAAAGGCATAACCCATAAAAGAAAAAAAAAATAGATCAGTTGCACTTTAACAAAATTAAATACATTGAATATGTAAAGATCTTTGCAGAAGATGAGAACATGCTGAACATCATTAGCCATGAGGGAAATGCAAATATAGACCATGATGAAGTATCACTACACACATGGGCCAGATGTGGCAAAAGTAGAGTCTTATGAACTGTTGGTGGGAGTGTAAAGTAAAACAGTAACTCTGGAAGACAGTCTGTCAGTCTTTTTTTTTTTTTTTTTTTTGGAGAAGGAGTCTCACTCTGTCGCCCAGGATGGAGTGCAGTGGCGCGATCTCAGCTCACTGCAACCTCTGCCTCCCCGGTTCAAGTGATTCTCCTGCCTCAGCCTCCCGAGTAGCTAGGACTACAGGTGTGTGCCACCACACCCAGCTAATTTTTGTAGTTTTAGTAGAGATGGGGTTTCACCATGTTGGCAAGGCTGGTCTTGAACTCCTTACTTCAAGTGATCCACCCACCTCGGCCTCCCAAAGTGCTGGGATTACAGGCATGAACCACTGCACCCAGCTCCTGTCAGTCTTAAAACAAACATAATTACCATAAAACCCAGCAACCTCACTCCTGGACATTTGTCACAGAAAAATAAAAACATTTGTCCACAAAGAAGTTGTACATAATTGTTCAAAGCAGTTTTATTTACAACAAAAATCCGTATACAACAAAAAGCTTCAACCAACAATGGTGAATGGTTAAAAAATATTATGGTGCATACATCCATGAAATCCTAGTTAGCTGTAAAAAAGGAATGAAATATTGACATACACAATAATCTGGATGGATCTCAAGAGTGTTGTGCTAAGTAAAAAGTGTCTCCAAAGGTCATGAATGGTTTATTTCATTTACACAGAATTTCAGAAATGACAAATTTATTGAAATGGAGAACTAATTTATGGTTGCCCTGGGTGAGGACACCACTGGGCTGGAAGCAGAGGGATGGCTGAGCCCACGAGGTTAGTGTGAGGGAGATCCTCACAGTAGTGCAACAGTTCTGCACTTTGACTGCGTTGATGGTGATAGGAACCCATATTTAAGATGAAATAACACAGCCCCATGTGCACACACTGTACCAGTGTCAATATCCTGATCTGATATTCTACTACAGATAAGCTGTCAACCACTGGGGGAATCTAGGTGAAGGGGAAACACAGGATCGCCCTGTACTATCTTTGCAACTTACAAGGAGTCAAATAGTTATTTCAATATAAAAGTTATTTTTTAAAAAAGGTGTTGTTCACTCTAGGAATAAGTTTTGAATAACAAATTAAAAGCTCTCAATTTAGGTCGATGATACAACTGCAATCTATCTTTTCTCTTAAAATGTATCTATATAACTTTGCTATACTAGTATAAAAATATTCATATTTCACAAATAAATTGCTTTTCATAACAGCCCTTCCCAAACATGAACAGTCTTAAATTTTGGAAATGGACAAAATTTCAGCAGTGCTAATGTACTACGATGGTATTGAAGCAACAATCAGATTTAAATAATACGTAGATTTTTAAAAATATTTTTAAATAAAAAAGACCTATCAAGTTTATACATATATAGACTTTCAAATATACTTTCAAACCTTCAGTTTTAATTCTATTTTTAGGAAACAGTTATGTAACAACATAGGAAAATGGTAGCATCAATTAGACTGAACACAATATGCTCATTAGCAAACAATCTTTCATGTATGACTTGAGAAAGTCTAGAAAGATTCAGAAGCAAACCATGTAAAGCTGTACAGCAGAGCCAAGGTGAAAACAAGAAACCAGGAAAGAAAGCAAAACTTCAAATACATGAATCAAAAACAGACAGAATTGAAGGAAAAAATAGATATTGCAACAGAAATATTGACAAAATTCAACACCACACTTTCAATAATTGTAGGACAACTAGATAGAAGATATATAAGGAAAAAGAAGATTTAAACAATGCTGCAGACCAACTAGTAGAGAAATCTATAGAGCATTCCACTCAACAGGAGCAGAATATAGATTTTGCTCAAGTGCATACAGAACATTCACAAGGATATCCAATGTGTTAGGACATTAAACAAAGTTGAATACATTTAAACAGACAGAAATAATATAAAGTGGCCAGGCGCTGTGGCTCATGCCTGTAATCCCAAACTTTAGAGGCTGAGGTGGCCGATAGCCTAAGGTTGGGAGTTCGAGACCAGCCTGGTCAGCATGGTGAAACCCTGTCTCTACTAAAAATGCAAAAACTAGCTGGGCATGATGGCAGGCACCTGTAATCTCAGCTACTTGGGAAGCTTAGGCAGGAGAATTGCTTGAACCCAGGAGGCAGAGGTTGCAGTGAGCCAAGATCATACCATTGCACTGCAGCCTGGGCAATAGCGTAAGACTCCGTCTCAAAAAAAAAATAAATAATAATAATAATAATAATAAAGTATGTACTCCAACTACAATGGAATGGAATTAGAAATCAATAACAAAGAAATTTAGAAAATTTATAAATATGTGGAAATTCATATTCATTAATAAACTATGAATCAGGCCACATAAGGTGACTCACAGCTCTAATCCCAGGACTTTAGGAGGCTGAGGTAGGAGAATCCCATGAGGCCAGGAGCTTAAGACCAGCCTGGGCAATACAGCAAGATGCTGTTTCTACAACAAAATTTAAAAGTTATTCAGGTGTGTTATGTGTGCCAGTATTCCTAGCTATTTGAGAGGCTGAAGCAGGAGGAATGCTTGACCTCAAGAGTTCAAGGTTATAGTGATCATCATAGTGAACTATAATCATGCCACTGTACTCCAGACTGGGTAACAGAGCAAGAACCTGTCTCCATTTAAATAAATAAATTAATAAGGAACGAAGCAAATAAGAAATCACAAGGGAAATCAGCAAATTATTTTGAAATGTATGAAAACAATTAGAAAATACCAAACATCATGAAATACAGAAAGACAGTGCTTAGATGAAAATTTGTAGTTTTAAGTACCGGTATTGAAAAAGAAGGCCTCGAAATCAATAATCTGACCTTCTGCCTTAATAAACTATAAAAAGAAAAGTAAACTGAAAAGAAAGCAAGTGGAAGGAAACAATACAAATAGAAACCAATAAATCTAATAAAGAACAGAAAAACAATTGAGAAAAATCATTAAAACCAAAAGTTGGTTATTTTAAAAGATCAACAAAATTAAGAAACCTTTAGCTAGTGACCAAGGAAAAAAGAGAAAAGAGTTCAATTATTAAAATCAGACACAAAAGGGGGTAAGTTACTACCAACATTACAGAAATGAAAAGGACTACAAAGAAATCCTGAAAACAACTGCATAGCAACAGTTGAGATAACCTAGATAAAGAGAACAAATTCTGAGAAGGACACAAACTAACAAAATTGACTCATGAAGAGGCAGACAATCTGAATAACTCTCTAACAAGTAAAGAAACTGAATTAGTAATTTTTTTTAAAAATTAAAGTCCAGTCCTGGATGGTTTCATTGGTGAATTCTACCAAACCCTTAACAAAGAACTAATAATAATTCCTCACAAACTCTTCCAAAAAACAGAAACACTTTCTAACTCATTCTACTAAGGCCAATGTTACCCTGACACAAAAACAAACATAACACAAGAAAAAGCAAAAGAAAAAAACTATAAGCCAATACATACTTTATGAATAGAGATGCAAAAAGCCTTAACAAAACATTAACAAATCAAATCCAACAACACACAGGATTATATATGCATGATCAAGGGTTATTTATTCTGGCCTCTGTATTCAGTTAAAGAGATGAGCCTTTCAATGGACTGGAAGGCCTGCAGAGCTCTCCCACTCAGCAGTCTGTGCTGTCAAAGCAATGGACTACAAGTGAGTAATTTGCATGTGACAAACTATGAAGGCAGCCTAAATGATTTTACTACACTATTCTTAAGAAGAGCAGCCGAAATATTTGAAAAGAAGAGCACATTATACTCCAATACTGGCAAACGATGGCTTCAAAATACAAGCATTAACACTCAAAAAATAAGTATCACCAATTGCAAAGAGAATTAATAAGAAGTCTTCCAGAAGGAAAAGCAATTAGGATGATAATCAGTTAAGGTAACACCAGCTATGGTAAATGACTAATCTTGCAAACTAAAGTGCTTAACAGTAGGAGTTTATTTCTCTTTCAAATACAGTTCATTTGGTAATGGAAGGGGAGGGGTTCTGTTCCACACATTTATTCAGGAAGCCAGACTCATGGAAGCTTTGCCATCTTTAACAAGCAGTTTCCAAGACTCTGCTAGTCGTGGTCACCTACCCAACAATGGGGAAGAGAAAAGCAGGTACCTGCAAAAGAGGTTAGGTGCAAGGCTAGATGTGATATACCAGACTTTTGGCTCCACTTTCTGCCACATTTCAGTGACATGGTCCCACCTAACAGCATGAAAGGAAGTCTACCTGTGCTTGCAAGAGGAAAGGGAAATGAGTTGGAAAACTAGCCAGCCAGTCCCTGCCACAGTTAGGAAAATAAAAACTCGCATGAAACACAATAATAAAGTAAATGTATCAAGTAGACAGAGGTCACTAGATTACCAGGTAGAGCTGAACTCCTGTTACAATGTTAATAACCATAACTACAACTGAAAGAAAACATTTTTCTTCTTTCTTATGACTAAAAATGTTCCTTTTAAAAGTATGTTGTTTATAAACAAAAACTAAATCAGTAACTCTGAAATCTAACTTATTTTTGTAGGGTTTTCATACTAAAAATAATAAGATACATGCTTAGTTTCTAATAAAAATAATAACATGCTTAGATTCCTATAAAACTGCTCGTTTATTTAATAAAGTCAGAAAGGCAGGGCAGAAAGAATCTCTGGATATTACCTGATATACTTCCTTCATTTCAGAGAAGATGAAAACGTGCGCCTATTTGGCAAGGTCATACACCCGGAAATTGACCAAAGTGACTCGAACTCAGGTTTCCTGATTTCCGACAGTTTTTCTTTTTTTTTAATTTTTAACTTTTTCATGTCACTTACTATTTATTTTTATTATACTTTAAGTTCTGGGATCCATGTGCAGATGTGCAGGTTCATTACACAGGTATACACATGACATGGTGGTTTGCTGCACCCATCAACTGGTCATCTACATTAGGTATTTCTTCTAAAGCTATCCCCTCCATAGCCCCCCACCGCCCAACATTCCCAGTGTGTGATGTTCCCCATGCGGTGTTTGGTTTTCTATTCCTCTGTTACTCTGCTGAGAATGATGGCTTCCAGCTTCATCTATGTCCCTGCAGAGGACATGAACTCATCCTTTTTTATGTCTGCATAGTATTCCATAGTGTATATGTACCACATTTTCTTTCCCTAGTCTATCACTGACAGGCATGTGAGTTGGTTCCATGTCTTTGCTATTGTGAATAATGTTGCTATAAACATACGTATGCATGTGCCTTTATAACAGAATAATTTATAATCCCTTGAGTATATACCCAATAATGGGACCACTGGGTCAAATGGTGTTTCTGGTTATAGATTCTTGAGGAATAGCCACACTGTCTTTCACAATGGTTGAACTAATTTACACTCCCACCAACAGTGGAAAAGTGTTCCCATTTCTCCACATCCTCTCCAGCATCTGTTGTTTTCTGACTTTTTAATGATCACCATTCTAACTGGCGTGAGATGGTATCTCATTGTGGTTTTGATTTGCAGTTTTCTCTAACGACCAGTGATGAAGAGTTTTTTGTCATGTTTGTTGTCTGCATAAATGTCATCTTTTGTGACGTGTCCGTTCATACCATTCACCCACTTTTGGATGGGTTTGTTTCTTGTAAATTTGTTTAAGTTGTTGGTAGCTTCTGGATATTAACCCTTTGTCAGATGGATAGATTGAAAAAAATGTTTTCTCCCATTCTGTAGGTTGTCTGTTCACTCTTATGATAGAACAAAATTAACTTGGCCACAGTAGGCTTCTATCCAATTACCTCTTTTTTATCTTTGTGTTTTGAAAGTTCAGGCCATATAAATAGGAACTTTTCTGTAAAGTCCACCTCTACTCAGTAGGCAAAACTATCTGTTCATACATACCGCTAAACATTTATTTTTTTTTCTTTGTTTTTGAGATGGAGTCTCACTCTGTCACCCAGGCTGTAGTGCAGTGGCGTGATCTGGGCTCACTGCAACCTCTGCCTCCAAGTTCAAATGACTCTCCCGTGTCAGCCTCCTGAGTATCTGGGATTACACGCATGCGTCATCCAGCTAATTTTTTCATTGTTAGTAAAGATGGGGTTTCCCCATATTGGCCAGGCTGGACTCAAACTCTTAACTTCAGGTGATCTGCCTGCCTCAGCCTCCTAAACTGTTGGGATTACAGGCATGAAATATGATGCCCGGCCACCCCTAAACATTTCTTTACATGAGTCAATACTCACACAATTAGGATTATTACTGTCAATGTATGTACTTTCACCAGTAAATAGAATATGAACTCTTTGAAGGTTGCTGCCTTTTGTATCCTGAGCAAAAATTAGTGCCTGGTACATACATAATTATTTGCTGAATTGACGAATAAAACTGCAAATGCAAAATAGCAATCAAATTTTAATAACAATCATTTAATTAGATATCATTATGAATCTGAATGAAAACACACATCGGATACATAGGTCCTGATAGGATTATTTTTAAGCAAATATATCACACAGCAGATGCATTTTTAAATATCAACAATTAAACATGATTTAGATATTAATGAATTCAATATATTATCAAATAAAATTTTTATAGGATCATTTCTACTTTTATCTTTTAGAATGAAAATTAAACTACTAGATTATCATCCCCGTAACTGGAGTGCATATATTTTCTTTGTAAAGCAGCTTCATCAAAAAATGAGGACTCTTTTTTCAAAGGTTTCATGCGTCTATTATAGTCAAAGTAAAATACTCTTTCTACAGAATATTTCTCATTGCTGCATACTAAAAATGTAATAAAAATTGTTTTTGCTTGTGTAGATGGTTGTAAATTTCAATTTTTGCAATAATAATATATAGATAAGTTTTTTAAAAAGTAAAAATACCAGTTTTTTATGAAGTCCTAAAAAACACCATGTTGGACAGAATTAATTGATTCTGCAAAGAGTTTTACAAAAGATTTAATTATCTATATGCAGGTCTATAAATTAACACAATTCCATTCCAAAGAAGAAATAGCTATAGAAACAACTAAAATAATGTTACAATTAAAATTTTGCAGCAAGACATGATAGCTCATGCACTTTGGGAGACCAAGGCGGGTGGATCACCTGAGGTCAGGAGTTCTAGACCAGCCTGGCCAACATGGTGAAACACTGTCTCTACTAAAAAGACAAAAATTAGCCAGATGTGGTGGCACAGGGCAGTAATCCCAGCTACTTGGGGGGCTGAAGCAGGAGAATCACTTGAACCCGGAAGGGAGAAGTTGCAATGAGCCAAGATAACATTGCCCTCTACCCTGGGCAAGAGAGCGAGACTCTGTCTCAAAAAAAAAAAAAAAAAAAAAAATTGTTGAAGTAACTAACACTTATAATTTGTATATAAAAATTGATATTTTAATTCACATTTTAGTTAAAATGCTAAGATTTTTTTACCATTAGTGAGCATTTAGTGGTGACTTTAAAAGTGTTTCATGTCAGCCAGGCATGGTGGCTCATGCTGGTAATCTCAGCACTTTGGAAGGCCAACGTGGGATGATTACTTGAGCCCAGGAGTTTGAGACCAGCCCAGGCAACATGGCAAAACTCCACTTCCACAAAATGTTTAAAAAGTAGCCGGGTGCAGTGGTAGGCCCACGGTCCCCACTACTTGGGAGGCTAAGGGTTGAGGATGGCTTCAGCCAGGGAGGTCAAAGCTGCAGTAAGCCATGTTCATGCCACTGTACTTCAGCCTGGGCAGCAGAGCAAGACCTTGTCTCAAAAGAAAAAATTTCAAGTATGAAAAAATGTTAAATACTGCCATTTATGTGTCCTCTGTTAGTCCTTAACCAATACGTATAACATAGCAGGTACTGCATTATAAAAAACAATGTCCTCCCCATTAGACTACATGGCCAAGGAAAGTGACGACAGTGGTCCTCCAATGTCCAACACAGAACAGAGAACATCATAAACCAAACACGTAATGGACATTAAAGTATAAATCTACAACTGAATAAGCAAGCAAACAAAAAATCCTGCAAATTTAAGGAGATATTCTTTCATGACACAGAAAAACTGAAAGATATTTACGGCATTTAAAACTTTTACAAGTCACTATTCATACATTTAATCAATATCACTAACAGTTCTATCAGTTGGGAAAGCTAAATTAGCCTAAAGAAAAAAATATATTTAGAATACTTCACACAATGTCATGAATTATGTATAGTTTTTGAACTTAATAAAGACTTAACTATCCATGGTAAATAAATGGATTGTCAGTGAACAAGTAATAAACTCAAATGTTAAAGCTGAAGGAAGCTATGTTGTCAGATAGTGCTGTTTCTTTCTAACGCTAAGAAAAAAACTAACACTAGAATAAAACTAACAAAAATGTGTAAGATCTCTACACAAAAAAACTATAAAATATTGAGAGAAATAAAACCTAAATAGAATATATTGAGTTCAGAAATTAGAATGTACATTACTGAAAGTAGGTCAAATGCTCATAAATTTGTCTATATATCCAAACCCAGTCAAAATCTTAGCTTCTTTTTTTTTTTTTGGTGGGAATTGACAAGGTACTCCTAATGTATACAAGGAAATGCAAAAGTCTTCTGATGAAATGTGAAGATTAACTCTATAACCTAATAAAACTAGATTAAAGTAGTCAAGAAAAGATAGGATTACACAAAGACAGATGGCTACACCAATGCAAAACTAGATGTCCAAAAGTAGGTCCACATATATATGGACACTATTTATGTAGTCTCCTTATTATCATTAAAGAGATAATCATCCTTTAAATCAATAGTGCTGAAAAAACTGAGTACTGTCAGGGAATGAGGGGAGATGATACCTGATCTTGACTTCAATATGAACACAAAACCTATTTAGAATTACAGTTCTAAATGTGAAAGAACACTAAAATGCCTAAAAGAAAAAAATCATCTTTCCTCATTGAATTGTCATCGCTCATCAAACATTACAAGAATAGTTTCATAACTTTTTGGTAGTGAAGGATTGCTTAATCAACACCACTATCATCAACAAAAATTTTCCTAAAAAACTAATCTTGAACGAAAAGATTAATAAAGCAGACTTTACTAAATTTAAGAATTTCTGTTTAACACAGCCTGCAGGAAAGAAGAGGAAGATATCTGCAACGCATATATAACTTAACAAAGAACTCCAATCCAGAATGCATAAAGGCCAAAAACTGATGAGAAGAAGGGATATCTTAGAAGAAAAATGCCAAGAAATTTTGACAGGCTTGTCACAAAAAATAAAGGCATATATGAAAGCATATGAAAAAGTACACAATGTTATTAGACTCTGTAGAAAGATGCATTAAAACCACTTCTACATATTTATCATAAATGCTAAGTTTAAAAGGCTGAAAATGCAAATGTTGGCAAAAAAGGCTGAAAATGCAAGTGAAGGCACTGCCTGACTGGAGTATAACTTAATATATCATTTGGCAAAATCATGTGAAGGGTTTACTAGAGCGGAACTGCATGACCCAAAACACAGCAGCTCCTGCAACAGGTAGATGTGTACACCAAGAGATATAGTCAAATATGACACAAAAGTATCATTCATACTAGATAAAACTTAGATGTAACCCAAATATCCATCAACAGTAAAATGGATAAAAGTCATACGGCATTACAAAATGGGTGGGTAACAACTACACAAAACATGGATGCATTTTCACAAATAGCATGGGGCTAAAAAGCACCCGCCCAAACACACTCCTACCTCAGTCAATTTTCTGGGCATTATTGTCAAAATTCAATTAACCATAAATTTCAGACTTTATTTATGGACTCTCCACTGTGAACTCAATGCTAGCTCTACAGTCTTGATTACTGTAAATCTGTATTAAATTTTCAAATGAAGTGTGAGTATTCAAAATTTGCCCATCTTTTTCAAAACTGTTTTGGCTATTCTGGGGCGCTTCAATGTCCATATGAATTTTAGAGGCAGTTTGTCAATTTCTGCAAAGACTTTAACTGGGATTTGAGAATGGTAACACTTAATCTATAGATCAATTTAGGGTACACGGCCTTTTGAACAACATATAATTTGAACTATGATCATGGACTGTCTTTCCATATACTTTGGTCTCTTTAATATGTTTCAGCAATATTTGGTAGTTTTTAAAATGCAAATTTTGCACTTATTTTGTTGAAATTTATTCATAATAGTTTTAGAGGCAGATTCCTGTTCTTTTACCCAGGTTGGAGTGTAGTAATGTGACCATGGCTCAATGCAGCCTTGAACTCCTGGGCCCAAGCAATCCTCCTGCCTCAGCTTCCTGAATAGCTAAGGACAACAGATGTATGCCACTGCATCTGGCTAATTCTTTAAATTCTTGGCTATGTTGTGCAGGCTGGTCTCAAATTCCTAGCTTTATGTGATCCTCTCACCTTGGCCTCCTAAAGTACCAGAATTATAGGTTCACATGAGCTACCATGCTCCGGCCTTAAAAGACCATTACTCTTTATGTCCTTATTCTCTCTTATTTTGTACAGAGCACTCATAAACAAACTAGGTAATTTCAAACAGTAATTGGATACTTTCTGTTGCTTCTTCCTTCACCTCAAGACTAAGGGCATCAGAAGGGCAAAGAGACCTGTATTTTCCTAACACCACATGCGCATGTGCATGCTATGGTGTAGAAACACAGCTGCTTCTCTGACTAGTTACTCATTTGGTATATCTGGACTTTATGAAATTGACACAGGTTTTCTGTATCAATATAAATTTATCTGTGATAAAGGTCCAAGGGTGCAACTACTGGGTAGTAGGATAGTTACACAGTTTTCTTTTTTTTTTTAAACTATCAAGAGATTTTCCAGAATAACTGTATTATTTGTATTTCCACCAGAAATGTACAAGTGATCCACTTAACATTGTTTACAACAACTGCTGTCACCATCCTTTCATTTTAGCTGTTCTGACATACACATACTGATATTTCAGTTTTAATTTGCATTTCCTGATGATTAATGAATGTTGAATTTATTTTCATGATTATTTTCTATCTGTAAATCTTTGCCAAAATGTCTCTTTAAGTCTTTTGCTCATTTTCTAATTTGAATTTTTTACTGTTAAATTTTATGAGTTTTTATATATCATAGATGAAAAATCTTTGTCAGTTATACAGTTTACAGATATTTTCTCCCAATCTATAGCTCGTGTTTCATTGTATTCACTTTTTTTTGCAAAGTAAACATTTTTACTTTTAATGAGGTACAGTGTATAAATTTTTTTATACATTGTTCTTTTGGTGTCAAGTCTAAGAAATATTTTCCTAACCCTAGATTCTAAATATTTTCTTCTTTTTTTCTAAAAGTTTTACATTTCACATTAAGTCCATGATCTTTACTCACCCATAAGTGCCCAGCCCCATTTGAAAAGGCTACCTTTTCTCTATTTAGTTGTTTTCGTACCTTTGTCTAATTTTGGGTTCTCTAAAATGTTTTATTAACCTTTGTCTCTATCATTCTTCCATACTATGTTGATTAATGTAGCTATGCAATATTCCTTAACATCAAGAAGTGTTTCCTCCCACTTACTTTCCTTGTCAAAGTTGGCTTATCTATTCTACTGCCTGTGTGTGACTTTTCACATTTGTTTTAGAATAAGATTACTTATGTCTTTTAAAAACCTGAGATATTGATAGGAATAGTATTCATCCTACAGAACAATTTTGAGAAAACTGGAATGTAGGATGTTCCAATCCAAATAGACAGTGGGTCTATTTACTTATGTATTCTTAGATTACTTTTATCAACAAATTCCAAGTTTCAGCATAAGTAAGGATTCATTTTCATAGGAATGACTGTAAGAGTACTGCATTTTTAATTTCTGTGCCCATATGTTCACTGTTAAATAAAAATGAGGTTAGTATTTATGCATTGATCCTACAACTTGACACTTTGCTGAACTCACTTACTAGTTATAGGATGTTTTCTATAGCTCCCTTAGGATTTTCAACACATACACAATTATGACACCTGCAAAATGAGACAATTTTACTAATTTTCTTTTTTTTTTTAAGACAGGGTCTTCCTCTGATGCCCAGGCTGGAGTGTGGTGGTGCAGTCTTGGCTCACTGAAACCTCCGTCTCCCAGGTTCAAGTGATTCTCCTGCCTCAGCCTCCCTGAGTAGCTGGGACTACAGGCGCATTCCAGCATGCCAGGCTACTAGGCCTTTTTATTTCTTTTCTAATATGTATGTTGTTTATTTTCTTCCCTTGCATTACAGTCTAGAACTGCCAACTGAATAAAAATAGTAACAGGAAACATCCTTGCCTTTTCCCCAATGTGACAGAGGAGGCATTCAATCTTACACCATTAAGAATGATGTTGGCTACAGGTTTTTTGTAGATTCTTTTTAAACAACCTATGGTTATTTCCCCTCTATGTGAACCTGCTCAAACTTTTTGTCATAAATGGGTGTTGGGTTTAGTTAAATGGTGTTCCTGCATCAACTGATTTGACTGTATGTATGTATGTGTGTATGTATGTATGATTTTTCTTTATTCTGTTGATAAGTTTGATTACATTGCTTGATTTTAGAATGCTGAACCAGATTTACATTCCTGGAGTAACCTGAACTGGGTTGTGATGTATTACTCTTCTTCATATACTGCTGTTATCAATTTGCAAATTTTTAAAAAGATTTTTGTGTCTACATTCATGAGGGGTATTGAGCTGTATTTTTTTTATTGTACTTTTTTTCTGGTGTTGAGATACAGATATTCCTAACCTCATATTGGGTTGTGTCCCATTCTCAATTATTTTCTGGAAACAACTGTGTGAAGTTGATGGTAAGTCTTTTTTAAAGGTTTTGAGGAATTCTCCAGTGAAAATATCTGCACCTAGACATTTCCTTCCTAGAGCTTTTCAATTACTAATTCAGCTTCTTTACTGGCTATAGGACTATTCATTTTGTCTATTCCATTTTGATTGAATTGTTATACTTTATAGTTTCAAAAGAATTTGTTCATTCCTTCTACTTATGAGTATACTTAATAGATATGCAAAGAGGCAAGAAGACAGGACCCATATGAGGAGAAAAAACCATTCAATCAAAACTGACTCACAAGTGTTATCACTAGCAGACACAGACATGAAAACAACTAAGAAAACTGTATACCCACGATCAGAAAGCTAAGAGACATGAAGAATACAAGGAAGATCCAAATCAAACTTCCAGACACAAATACAACAATGCTTGGAGTAAAAAATACAACAAATGGAATTAACAGTATGATATGCTTTGGCTGTATCTGCACCCAAATCTTATTTTGAATTGTGGTTCCCCAAATCCCCACATGTCCTGGGAAGGAAGAAAAAATATTCAAGTATTGGTAGGAAGTACTTAAATCATGGGGGCAGTTACACCATCATGTTCTCATGATAGTGAGTTCTCAGGAGATCTGATGGCTTTCTAAGGGTCTTTCCCCCTTTGGAGTAAAAAAGCACTTCTTGCTGACACCATGTGAAGAAGGATGTGTTTGTTTCCCCTTCCACCATGCTTGTAAGTTTCCTTAAGACTCCTCAGCCATATTGAACTGTGAGTGAATTAAATTTCTTGCCTTTATAAATTACCCAGTCTCGGGTGTGTTTTTATTAGCAGTGTGAGAACTAACACACAGTAGAACAGGCACTGTGGTAGGAAAGAATAGTAAATCTGAAGACACAGCAATAGAAATGCACAAAATACAATAGGAAAAAATAATTAAAAATAAAAATTTAAAAACATCATTGAATTGGGTGACAACCTCAAATGGTCTAACTATAACCGGAATCCTTGACACTGGAGAGAAAAGAAAAAATATTTGAAGAAATGAAGGCTAAACTTTTTCTATATTTAATGAAAATTATATCCTACAGATTCAAAATGTTAAATGAAACTCAAGCATAAGGAACATGAAGAAAATTACACACAGGCACATCATAACCAAATTGCTTAAAACCAGTAACAAAAAGAAAATCTTAAAAGCAGAGATAAAAGACAAGTAACCCTGAAAGAAACAACAAAACACTATTGAGAAAAAATTTAAAAGGGAGAATTATATCTCATATGAGTCAAATGATTCAATATAATTAAAGCGTCAGTTCTCTGCCAAATTGATTTACAGATTCAATGCAATTGCATTAAAAATTCCAGAAGCCGCAGGAGCCAAGATGGCCAAATAGGAACAGCTCCAGTCTACAGCTCCCAGCGTGAGCGATGCAGAAGACGAGTGATTTCTGCATTTCCATCTGAGGTACCGGGCTCATCTCACTAGGGAATGCCAGACAGTGGGCACAGGTCAGTGGGTGCACGCACCCTGAGCGAGCCGAAGCAGGGCGAGGCATTGCCTCACTCGGGAAGCGCAAGGGGTCAGGGAGTTCCTTTTCCGAGTAAAAGAAAGGGCTTACAGACAGCACCTGGAAAATCAGGTCACTCCCACCCGAATACTGCGCTTTTCCGACGGGCTTAAAAAACGGAGCACCACGAGATATATCCCACACCTGGCTCGGAGGGTCCTACGCCCACAGAGTCTCGCTGATTGCTAGCACAGCAGTCTGAGATCAAACTGCAAGGCTGCAGCCAGGCTGGGGGAGGGGCGCCCGCCATTGCCCAGGCTTGATTAGGTAAACTAAGCAGCTGGGAAGCTCGAACTGGGTGGAGCCCACCACAGCTCAAGGAGGCCTGCCTGCCTCTGTAGGCTCTACCTCTGGGGACAGGGCATAGACAAACAAAAAGACAGCAGTAACCTCTGCAGACTTAAATGTCCCTGTCTGACAGCTTTGAAGAGAGCAGTGGTTCTCCCAGTACGCAGCTGGAGATCTGAGAATGGGAAGACTGCCTCCTCAAGTAGGTCCCTGACCCCTGACCCCCGAGCAGCCTAACTGGGAGGCACCCCCCAGCAGGGGCACACTGACACCTCACACGGCTGGGTACTCCAACAGACCTGCAGCTGAGGGTCCTGTCTGTTAGAAGGAAAACTAACAAACAGGAAGGACATCCACACCAAAAACCCATCTGTACATCACCATCATCAAAGACCAAAAGAAGATAAAACCACAAAGATGGGGAAAAAACAGAACAGAAAAACTGGAAACTCTAAAAAGAAGAGTGCCTCTCCTCCTCCAAAGGAACGCAGTTCCTCACCAGCAACGGAACAAAGCTGGATGGAGAATGACTTTGACGAGCTGAGAGAAGAAGGCTTCAGACCATCAAATTACTCTGAGCTACGGGAGGACATTCAAACCAAAGGCAAAGAAGTTGAAAACTTTGAAAAAAATTTAGAAGAATGTATAACTAGAATAACCAATACAGAGAAGTGCTTAAAGGAGCTGATGGAGCTGAAAACCAAGGCTCGAAAACTATGTGAAGAATGCAGAAGCCTCAGGAGTCAATGCGATCAACTGGAAGAAAGGGTATCAGCGATGGAAGACGAAATGAATGAAATGAAGTGAGAAGGGAAGTTTAGAGAAAAAAGAATAAAAAGAAATGAACAAAGCCTCCAAGAAATATGGGACTATGTGAAAAGACCAAATCTACGTCTGATTGGTGTACCTGAAAGTGATGGGGAGAATGGAACCAAGTTGGAAAACACGCTGCAGGATATTATCCAGGAGAACTTCCCCAGTCTAGCAACGCAGACCAATGTTCAGATTCAGGAAATACAGAGAACACCACGAAGATACTCCTCAAGAAGAGCAACTCCAAGACACATAATTGTCAGATTCACCAAAGTTGAAATGAAGGAAAAAATGTTAAGGGCAGCCAGAGAGAAAGGTCAGGTTACCCTCAAAGGGAAGGCCATCAGACTAACAGCGGATCTCTCAGCAGAAACCCTACAAGCCAGAAGAGAGTGGGGGCCAATATTCAACATTCTTAAAGAAAAGAATTTTCAACCTAGAATTTCATATCCAGCCAAACTAAGCTTCATAAGCAAAGAAGAAATAAAATACTTTACAGACAAGCAAATGCTGAGAGATTTTGTCACCACCAGGCCTGCCCTAAAAGAGCTCCTGAAGGAAGCGCTAAACATGGAAAGGAACAACCGGTACCAGCTGCTGCAAAATCATGCCAAAATGTAAAGACCATCGCGACTAGGAAGAAACTGCATCAACTAACGAGCAAAATAACCAGCTAACATCATAATGACAGGATCAAATTCACACATAACAATATTAACTTTAAATGTAAATGGACTAAATGCTCCAATTAAAAGACACAGACTGGCAAATTGGATAAAGAGTCAAGACCCATCAGTGTGCTGTATTCAGGACACCCATCTCACGTGCAGAGACACACATAGGCTCAAAATAAAAGGATGGAGGAAGATCTACCAAAAAAATGAAAAACAAAAAAGGCAGGGGTTGCAATCCTAGTCTAATAAAACAGACTTTAAACCAACAAAGATCAAAAGAGACAAAGAAGGCCATTACATAATGGTAAAGGGATCAATTCAACAAGAAGAGCTAACTATCCTAAATATATATGCACCCAATACAGGAGCACCAAGATTCATAAAGCAAGTCCTGAGTGACCTACAAAGAGACTTAGACTCCCACACATTAATAATGGGAGACTTTAACACCCCACTGTCAACATTAGACAGATCAATGAGACAGAAAGTCAACAAGGATACCCAGGAATTAAACTCAGCTCTGCACCAAGTGGACCTAATAGACATCTACAGAACTCTGCACCCGAAATCAACAGAATATACATTTTTTTGAGCACCACACCACACCTATTCCAAAATTGACCACATACTTGGAAGTAAAGCTCTCCTCAGCAAATGTAAAAGAACAGAAATTATAACAAACTATCTCTCAGACCACAGTGCAATCAAACTAGAACTCGGGATTAAGAAACTCACTCTAAACCGCTCAACTACATGGAAACTGAACAACCTGCTCCTGAATGACTACTGGGTACATAACGAAATGAAGGCAGAAAAAAGATATTCTTTGAAACCAGCGAGAACAAACACACAACATACAAGAATCTCTCGGACACATTCAAAGCAGTGTGCAGAGGGAAATTTATAGCACTAAATGCCCACAAGAGAAAGCAGGAAAGATCCAAAATTGACACCCTAACATCACAATTAAAAGAACTAGAAAAGCAAGAGCAAACACATTCAAAAGCTAGCAGAAGGCAAGAAATATCTAAAATCAGAGCAGAACTGAAGGAAATAGAGACACAAAAAACCCTTCAAAAAATTAATGCATCCAGGAGCTGGTTTTTTGAAAGGATCATCAAAATTGATAGACCGCTAGCAAGACTAAGAAAGAAAAAAAGAGAGAAGAATCAAATAGACGCAATAAAAAATGATAAAGGGGATATCACCACCGATCCCACAGAAATACAAACTACCATCAGAGAATACTATAGAAACCTCTACACAAATAAACTAGAAAATCTAGAAGAAATGTATAAATTCCTCGACACATACGCTCTCCCAAGACTAAACCAGGAAGAAGTTGAATCTCTGAATAGACCAATAACAGGATCTGAAATTGTGGCAATAATCAATAGCTTACCAACCAAAAACAGTCCAGGACCAGATGGATTCACAGCCAAATTCTACCAGAGGTACAAGGAAGAACTGGTACCATTCCTTCTGAAACTATTCCAATCAATAGAAAAGAGGGAATCCTCCCTAACTCATTTTATGAGGCCAGCATCATCCTGATACCAAAGCCAGGCAGAGACACAACAAAAAAAGAGAATTTTAGACCAATATCCTTGATGAACATTGATGCAAAAATCCTCAATAAAATACTGGCAAAACGAATCCAGCAGCACATCAAAAAGCTGATCCACCATGATCAGGTGGGCTTCATCCCTGGGAGGCAAGGCTGGTTCAATATACGCAAATCAATAAAGGTAATCCAGCATATAAACAGAGCCAAAGACAAAAACCACATGATTATCTCAATAGATGCAGAAAAGGCCTTTGACGAAATTCAACAACCTAATGCTAGATGACGAGTTAGTGGGTGCAGCGCACCAGCATGGTGCATGTATACATATGTAACTAACCTGCACAATGTGCACATGTACCCTAAAAGTTAAAGTATAATTAAAAAAAAAAAATTCCAGAAGCCTTTTTTGTAGAAATTGGTAAGTTGATTGTAAAAGTCACAGAGAAATACAAAGGGCCTAGACTAGTAAAAACAGCACTGAAAATGAAGAACAAAGTTAGAGGGCTATAAATATATGATTTCAAAAATTATTACAAAGCAAAAGTAACCACAAAAGCATGATGTCCACCGGGTGCAGTGGCTCATGCCTGTAATCCCAGCACTTTGGGAGGCCAATGCAGGAATATCACCTGAGGTCAGGAATTACAGACCAGCCTGGCTAACCCCATCTCTACTAAAAACACAAAAATTAGCCAGTCATGGTGGTGGGCACCTGTATTCCCAGGTACTTGGGATGCTGAGGCAGAAGAATCACTTGGACCCAGGAGGCAGAGGTTGTAGTGAGCCGAGATTGTGCCATTGCACTCCAGCCAAGATTGACAGAGTGAGACTCTTGTCTCAAAAAAAAAAAAAATAAAAAATAAATAACATAACAGGAATACACGGAACATGGTATGAAAGCACTTTCAACTGGACGACTAATTCCTCTCAGGAGAAAACTCCACCCCCAGTACCAAAAAACACTCTACCCAAAGAAAAACTTCACACCCTCAGGCTGGGAAAAGTGGACCCAGTAAAAGCAAATTACTCCCTGTTTAAAAACTTGCTTAAACCTTTACAAAAAAACATTTCTTTTAACTTTTAATGTTGGTAAAAATCCACATTCTTAAGCCTCCTTATAAACCTTTTACCAAAGGTACTTTTTACTTTCCTTACACATCTTGCACATAAACTGTTTCTTCAATAGTTTTACATTCAGGAGGCCTAATACTTTTAAATTATACAACATTTCTTGCATAAATTCCATTTTACAACTTTTTTTCATGACTTTCACAGACAATTCTTCCACATGCCTCAACTTTCTGACTTGTTGCAAATATCCCTTTATTTAAACAACCAGTTATTTTAGGAAAATAACTTACCATATAGCATTCCGTTTTACATAAATTCTACCCCCCTTTTTTTTTCTCTCAAAGACGATAAACATTCTTTTCCAAAGTGAACCTCCTTCATGTCCACAGACATGGGGACTACACTGTCTAAGGACAGAAGATTAGAAGTTAAGTTAGCATGTTACACTGCTAACTTTTAGCAAATTTTACTTTTGTTGAAAACTTTGTACGTTTGGGATTTCAAGTATTCTTTGCTATTAGTAAGACCTGTTCAGTCCACATTAACTTAGAACTGGTATAGATGGCTCCTTCCTGATTCTGTAGGTACTTTAAGGCTTTGCTGAATGCAAACAGGTCGCACGTTTGAGCAGACCAATTAGAAGGCAATTTTCCTAACTCTGCTTCTACAGGAGTTTCAAACCCATTGTGTCTTTTTCCTTCAATCACCCGGGAGGAACCATCTATCCTTCTGTCCAGAAGGGAGTTCCTCCTAGGTATGGTCCGACCTTTGTGTGGTAATTAAGATTTAGATTCCCTGTTAAGAAACCTACTTGTCCAACCTTTGTGTGGTAATTAAGGTTTAGATCCCCTGTTAGGAAACCTACAGGGGTTAAGGGAATTTTCAGTGGTTAATGTTAAATCATCTTTTTCTAGCAGAATGGCCTCACACTTTAAGATTCTTGAGTCAGTAAGGACTACATTTTTGCCTTTTTTTTTTTTTTTAATTTAAGACAGTTCTGACCTGATAAGGTGGGCTCACAATGAGGCTTCCTCTAAAAGTTATTTTTCTACTTTCTTCCATTAGCAAAGCATTGGACACAATAGATTGAAGGTATTTGGACCATCCGCAGGTTACTGGGTTAAGAATTTTTATTAGGAAGGCTAGGGATTGTCAGTGGCCTCAGTGCTTTTGGGCTATGCCCTTGTTTACACTGACAACAAGGTGGTATTGTAGTGTTACAAGGTTCCTGAGAAGACCTTCAATTATTAATTATAGGTTTTTAATTTACCCTGGATTTTAAAGGAATAGGATACACTGTTTTCTCTTTACCACTATCTCTCTCTTTCTCTCTCTGATTCCGTTTGTCTGTCTCTCTCTGCTTCTTTTTCTCTTTGACTTTGTTTCTCTTTCTCTGCCTCTGCCAGCCGCTCATGCTGCTGTTCTCTCCTCTCCTTCCCCTTCCCCTTCCTCTAGAGGAGGGACCAGTGGGAGTGGAGCTACTCTTTCTTTCCCCAAGATGAAAGGAAAGGGGAGTTTTGAGTATTTTTCTTACCACCAGAGGTTTGTGTAAGGTTCAACCCCCTGAAATCTGCGGAAGGCTCAACCCCTCAAAGCAGGGGTGTCTCACTTTGCCTGCCCCAGAAGGCTCAACCCCTCAAACCAAGGATGTCTTGCCTTGCCTGCCTCGGAAGGCTCAACCACTCAAACCAGGTGATGGCTTGCCTTGCCTGTCCTGAAAGCCTCAAACCTTCAAACCAGGGATGTCTCACCTTGCCTGACCCCAAAGCCTCACCACCTCAAACCAGGGATGTCTAGCCTTGCCTGTACCAGAAGGTTCACCTGTTTCCTCCCTTTCCCCCTCTGAAGGTCCCTTGCACACTTCCCACTCATGTTATCCTCTTTCGTTGCCCCCTTAAGGGAGAATTAGGCCCCTCTTAATGTTGGGTGCCGGTATAAATCCCATGGCATAATCCGCCCTAAGCCATATGAGGTAGCTACGGAACCACGGAGAGAAACCCACTGACGCCATCCAGCAGTAGGACTTGTCACCATCCACATGAACAACACCGCAAGTAGGGTTGTTTTTGATCATTCACGCACACACACGTTTAGCCCTCCAGAATCTGACCACCAAGGAAGTACTTTACCTGACTTCCGCGGCCTCTCTCCTTCCTTGGTCTGTGCACAGAGTCATCGCCGCAGTACGTGAGGATGCTTTAAGAGGTTGCTAGCCCATTTCTTTCCGCGTTGCTGACAGCTTGGGTTATTTCTCTCACTGGGTGGGTCCTGATTTCTTACCCCTGAGGCCACCACAAGCGGGCAGGGTGCACCTACTCACAAGAGCAAGCCAGAGACCGGTGGGCCCTGAGAGGAATGTAATTACAGGTGAGCCCCCCAAATTGTTATAAAGTTTTGTGCCGCAAAAGAAACAGCACTCAAATATAATTTTTTTTTTTTTAATTCTCAGCAAGGCAATGTAATTCTATAGAAGGGTGCCCCCTTACATTTGGAGCAATAGTGAGCACACACCTGGACAAGGGAGGAGAGGAGGTTCTTATTCCCGATCCACGTGGACCCTGCTGCTGTGTTCCCCTATTGGCTAGGGTTAGATGCACAGGCTAAACTAATTCCAATTGGCTAATTTAAAGATAGTGTACGGGTGAGTGGTTTGGCTGGAAAAATGGTTATGGCAGAGCAGGAAATCAGAAAGAGTCAGGGTGGAAAATGAGTCAGGGCAGAGCAGGTAATCGGAATGAGTCAGGGTGGAGCAGGTAATCGAAAAACGTTGTGCTACAAGGATGTTAAGTTTAAAAGTAGAAAGCAAAGAATTGAACATACATACTGATTTTTTGAAGAGAAATTTACAGCTCATATCTAACAATACTATAAGTCAAATTGTTTCTTCTTGCCTAAAAGCAATCCAGCTCCCAATGGTGCTGCAAACTAAACCACGCATGAATATGCCATTCTTCCAAGGACCCTTAAAACCCCCGGAGAAGCCTTAGCTGCTGTTCCCCATTCAGCGTCCCTTTTCAGCAGAAAGCAGTGAGAAAATGTGGTGGCCCTAAACACCCTAACAGCAGTTAGGGTTAACTTGTTCAGAAGGAGGAATGTTACAGGAGTTATTAGGAAATTATTTCAGGCAGATAGAGGGGAAAAAGGGTCCTTGAAAAGCTTTCATCTCTTCTAAAGCAGCTCCAGGAACGCTTCTTGTCTAGCAGGAAAGCCTAGCTAAGAGCCCGCTGGCAACCTTTGACATGCAAATGCACACCATTAGAAACTGGGTCCACCCAAACATGGCGATTCTCACGGTTTTCCTCTTGCCCTTGCCCCCATATTTGCCTGGCAACATGGCCACCTCGACATATCCCCACGTGTATAGAACATCAGGGCCCCTGTGTTTGCATATTAAAAGGCTAAGGTGCAAGGGTCAGTTTTTTCAAAGACTATGGGAACAATATTCCTGGTCAAACCAATACCCTAAGCATATCAAACACCGACTCCTCATATAACTGGCTAGTATCTCGGGGCACTCCAGGTTTCCTATCTCGGCTATAGAGCCCTCCTCCCTCTGTCTCTGTAAAAGAAAGCTCCTTCCTTCATGCTGCCTATTAAACTCTCCGCTCCTTAAATTCACTCCACGTGTGTTGCTGTCATTTTATCCAATTCAACAGAAAACAAAAAACCCTGGTGTTTCTCCACTCATCAAAGCCGTCTCCCATTGTCTCCCATCAGCCTCGGCCCGGTGGCCCCAGGGTTGGGCGTGTTTGCGTCTCCGGGTGCACAGAGCTATCACTTCTCACTCCCTCCTCACTGGGAAGTCCCTCCCATTGTCTAGCCTCAGTACCTCTTGATACTCTCACAGCGCCCCGCTGCCATCCACAGCGCCTCCCAGCCCGCGGCTCTGGGACGCTACCCTCGGGACCCCAGCTGCACTCACCTAGGTCGGGCCGGCACTTGCCCTTGTCCTTTTGCAGCTACAGCTCGGCGCGTAAATCACCGACATCCTCGCAGCCTCCACTGGAACAATAGTTTCCCTTGTTGAGGCTGCTACCCTGGAAGCGAGGAGAGGCGGGGACGAAGGAGGAGCCGAGTGTCCATCTTGCGCATCTGGCCTCCCGCATCTAGGCACATGTTTAAGATGCTTACACAGCAGGTGCCATGCTAACTGCTGGCAGAAGGAATCCCGCCTTCTTGCATGCAGGCACTCGCCGGGCTTGGGAAAGAGCTGCCCCATGATCCAGCCAGTGAAGTGAGGTGGCCGCTTATGTGAGAGTTCTCCAGTCACCTCTAAATTTATGGACACGGGATATTGATGTACCCTTAACTCCCTTTTACAGATGAGTCAATTCCACAAGGACGGTGCCAGACAACTCCAGACAGTAGGGATCCCAATTCAAGGATCTTCAATGTCTAAGTTATCTGAATATTATACTGACAGAGAGTCTGCATTTCCCAGGACAGGTCCTGCTCAAGGTCACTGGTGCTGGTGACCTTGAGGACTCATTTAAGAAACATGTGTTGGGCATCTAATGTGTACTGGGTACACTGGGCAACAAAGATAACACCATCCCTGCTCTTCTGGCTGGTGGTGGACACAAACATTGACATGGTGTGGCTGGGGTGCAGTTGGGGGTGCATAGGGCACAGAGCAGAGAGGAGGCTCACAGGAGGCACCTGACCCAGACTCGGGGCATCTAGGAAGCCTTCCTGGAGGAGAAGATGTTGCAGCAGGAGTCAGGTAGAGCTGGTTGGCAGTTACATGAAGTACAGAAAGAGTGTTTCTGGTGGGAGGCACAGCAAGTGGGAAGGCCGAGAGGTGAGGAAGATACTGGCTCCTTCCAGAAAATGACAATAATAGGGAACATCATGGGTATCTTCCCACCAGAGCCAGTAGGCCAACAGGCAGTCAACTCCTAGCCTGTCTCTCTTCCCTTGGCTCATCCCTGACCCCCTGGGGCTGCCCTCTCAGAATTGATTCGGTGTCAGAGTGGAGCAGCTGGAGCTGCTTGTGGTGCAGCTGGTAGTGGATAACCAGAGCCAGCAGTGAGCACTGTGGCTGGGAGCTCAGGGCACTGGAGCTGCAGGAGGTAGGGGATGAAGGAGGTGAGAGACGCCAGAATGGAGGATCCCTGAGCTCTTGTGTGTGGAAAAAGGAGAAGCCATATTGGGTCCCAGCCAGGCTGAGGAGCTACCTAGGCACACCGACATACACATAAAACTCGTTCATGCACCCTCCTTCCACTTGCCAGACTAGTGTCCTCCCATGCAGGTGCTCAACATCCCACCCGACATCCCACCCAAGCCCCTCTTAGTTACCATCATTTCTTCCAGCAAGCAATTCCCTAAACTCAGTAGGCATTTCTCCCTTTCCCAAGCCCACGGATGATTGTCTTCTCCCAAGCAGCCTGTGAAGTCCTCACTTCGGTGTCTTATTACCTCCTGCTTTGGGTGTGACTGAATTCTCCTGACACTAGAAGAAAAAAAGTTAGGCGGTGATTGAATGGGTACCAGGGGAGATGTAAATGAATGGATGCCAGGGTGGATGGATGGGTGGGCAAATAGATAGATTGGTGGTTGGGTAAATGGACGAATGGGTAGATGGATGGATGGATTAGTTCTAAATTCCTCTTCAAAGAATCAATATGTCAGTATGTTCAGTTCTTTGCTTTCTACTTTTAAACTTAACTTCCTTGTAAAGCAACATTTTCCGATTACCTGCTCCACCCTGCCTCATTCCCATTACCTGCTCCACCCTGACTCATTCCAAATACCTGCTCCACCTTGAATCGTTCTGATTACCTGCCCATTCTCCACCCTGATTCATTCCAATTTCCTGACCTGCCAAAACCATTTTTCACGCCAAATCACTCACCGGGCACTCTTTTTAAATTAGCCAATCAGAATTTGTTTAGCCTGTGCAGTCTAACCCTAACCAACAGGGGAATGACACAGCAGCAGGGGCCACATGAGTCAGGAATAAGAAACCCTTCCCCTCTCCATCAAGGTGTGCACTCACCATTGGTCCATCTGTGAGGGTGCACCCTTCTATAGAAGTAAACTGCCCTGCTGAGAAGAAAAAAAGAAAATTTTATATTTGAGTGTTATTTCTTTTGTGGCACTGAAACTTTATTTATAACAGTGGATGAGTGAGTAGATGAGTACACACCATGGATGGGGGGAGTTGGGTGGCTAGGGATGGACGGGTGAATGGATGGATGAGTGAATGATTGGATGGGTGAATGGATGGATGGGAGAACAGATGGATGGAGGAATGAATCAGCTGATGGATGGGTGGATGACTGGATGTGTAGGTGGGTGGGTGGTTGGATGGATGGATTGTTGCATGGATGGATGGATGGAGTGGATGTGTGGATGGAGGGATGGATGGATAGATAGGTGAGTGGATGGGTGGATAAGTGGATGGGTGGCTGTGTGTCCGGAATTGGTGGGTTCTTGGTCTCACTGACTTCAAGAATCAAGCCACGGACCCTTGCGGTGAGTGTTACAGTTCTTAAAGGTGGTGTGTCCAGAGTTTGTTCCTTCTGATGTTCTGATGTGTTAGGAGTTTCTTCCTTCTGGTGGGTTTACGGTCTGGCTGGCTTCAGGAGTGAAGCTGCAGACCTTCACAGGGAGTGTTACAGCTCTTAAACGCAGGGTGGACCCAAAGAGCGAGCAGCAGCAAAATTTATTTCAGAAAGCCAAAAAGCAAGGCTTCCAGTATACAAGGAGACCTCCTCAGAGGATTGCCACTGCTAGCTCAGGCAGCCTGCCTTTATTCTCTTATGTGGCCCCACCCACATCCTGGGATTGATCCATTTTACAGAGAGCCGATTGGTCTATTTTACAGAGAGCTGATTGGTGCGTTTTGACAGGGTGCTGATTGGTGCCTTTGCAATCCCTGAGCTAGACACAAAAGTTCTCCACCTCCCCGCTAGATTAGCTAGATACAGTGTCCATTGGTGTATTTACAAACCCTGAGCTAGACACAGAGTGCTGATTGGTGCATTTGCAAACCTTGAGCTAGATACAGAGTGCCGATTGGTGCATTCACAATCCCTTAGCTAGACATAAAGATTCTCCAAGTCCCCAGCAGATTAGCTAGATACAGAGTGCCCATTGGTGCATCCACAAACCCTGAGCTAGACACAGGGTGCTGATTGGTGTGTTTACAAACCTTGAGCTATATACAGAGTGCTGATCAGTGTATTTACAATCCCTTAGCTAGGCATAAAGATTCTCCAAGTCCCCACTAGATTCAGGGGCCCAGCTGGCTTCACCCAGCGGATCTGGCACTGGGGCCGCAGGTGAAGCTGCCTACCAGTCTGGAGCCCTGCGCCCGCACTCCTCAGCCCTTGGGCAGTCATGGGTCCATGGGACTGGGCGCCTTGGAGCAGGGGGCGGCGCTCGTTGGGGAGGCTCAGGCCGCGCTGGAGCGGGGAGTGGGGGGAACTCAGGCATGGCGGGTTGCAGGTGTGGAGCCCTGCCCTGGGGTAGGCAACTAAGGCCTGGCGATAAATCAAGCGCAGCGCGGATGGGCCAGCGCTGCTGGGGTAGCCGGCGCACACTCCGCAGTTGCTGGCCTGGGTGCTAAGCTCCTCACTGCCCGGGGCTGGCAGGGCCAGCCGCTCCCAGTGCGGGCCCTCCAAGCCCAAGTCCACTCGGAACTCTAGCTCGCCGGCAAGCGCCGCGCGCAGCCCGGGTTCCCGCGCATGCCTCTCCCTCCATACCCCACGCCCCCGCAAGCCGAGGGAGCCGGCTCCCGCCTCGGCCAGACCAGAGAAGGGCTCCCACGGTGCAGCGGCGGGCTGAAGGGCTCCTCAAGCGCGGCCGGAATGGGGGCCAAGGCCGAGGAGGCACCGAGAGCGAGCGAGCGAGGGCTGCGAGGGCTGCGAGCACGCTGTCACCTCTCAGTTGGGTGGACGGATGGATGGATGGATGGGTGGGTGGATGGAGGGATGGTTGTAAGAGGGTGGTTGAGTGGATGGATGAATGGCGGGAGATGGTGGGTGTTTGGTATAGGTGGGTGGATGAATAGATGGTGACTGAAGCCTGATAAAAGGGTGATGAAGAACCATGAGAACGTAAATTGGATGGGTGAGTGGGTGGGTCGTGACCAATGGGTGGGTGGATGGATGTCCAGGTGAATGCATGAGTGGTAGATGGGTGGAAAGGTGACTTGAAAAATTCATGAGCAGGTAGATGGTAGGTAGAGGACATCTCAATCCCTACTCCCTGGTAAGAGGCAAATACAGATTTTCTTTCACTGAATCCCTTTCAGATACAGGACTCCCCAGTCACAACCCTCAAAAAACACGTCCCTTCAAGATATTCCTGCCTGACTTCCCTGCCTGTACAAATCAGGCCCAGGTGGACAGACGTGCATGCATGTACACGCTCACATCACACACATGCATGCAGCCATCGCCCCAGACCTCCACCCACTGTGGGTGAATTGCTGTCATTCACACAAAGGCCACACCAATGTGAGGGTGCCTACCTGTGAGGGGGTTCCCTCTGACTATCCAGTAAATATGCCTCTGTGCTGAGAGCCCTCAGCCCTGGGTTCAGTCTCCAGGGAGCCCCTGAATGTTGAAAAAGACAGAACCAGACTAGAACCTTCCAGTCTTGACAGAGGAAGAGACCCAGCTGCAGTAGGCAGAAACCTGATTTGGGGAGTTAGATCTCTGCCTGGGAACTTTGAAGGATGAGTAGGAGTTCAGCAGAGTAGGAAAAAGAAACCATTCTAGGCAGAAATAACTGCACAGAGAAAAGCTAAGAGGCCAGAAAAGGCTTGATCTGTTTGGATAACAGGAAATACCAGTGAGGCGCATTTACTGAGCTCATGTTTGGCCAGGCTCTGTGTAGGGACCATACCAAAAACTGACCATGAGTTGGTCAAGACAGCATCATTTCTCTCATTTTATAGAGGAGGGAAGTAAAACAGAGAGGGCAAGTAACTTGCCAAAGGACACACAGCAGACAGGAGATGGAGCAGCTCTATGTCTTTCTCTAGGGACCAGGACTGCTCCGGGAGAAGGAAGTGGTCCTTTTGAGGAGGGGAAGTAGCGGACTGTGCCACCCAGGACTGGTGTCCCTCACCCTACCGCCACTTTCTCCCTTCCCCAGGTGGCCTTGGGAAAAGAGAAATGCAGAACAGCGTCCATGAAGATTCTCACGGCACAATTTAAGACGACAGAAGATGTGAGGCCCTAGATGCCTGATAACCACTAACTTCAGGCTTCTGTATCCCAGGGCTTGAGTGAAGATCCACCCGTTAATTCCAGTCTACAGCCTTTGGCCTCTATCCACCTCTTCTCTTTTCCTCTCTGCTGGCCCCTGGCGCCCTTACCTCCCCCATTTCTCCCCAGACAAGCTTTCCCGCCATCTTACCTTTGCCCAGGCAGTTCCCTCCCCAAACAACACCTTCTCCCTGCATTGCCACCTATCAGACCCTCATCATTCCTCACACTGTGGCCCTAGTACCACCTCCTCGTTCAATCTCTGCTCTCCCCAGCCACAGTGACCCCTTGCTTTTCCAAGGACTCACTTTCTCAGGGAGCCTGATCTCTTGCTTTTCGAGTGTGTGTATCCAGCACATAATTTATATAGCAGGTGCTGTTCCAGGCACAGGGGAAGATCAGCCCGGGAAGAGGACAGGCACAATCCTTGCACTGGTGGAGCCGACCGCTGAGTGTGGGGGATGAACACAAAACAAGATAAATAAGACAAAATGTGTATTTTGTGCCGTGAGGGCAGACAAAGCAGGAAGGGGAACTGAAGCATCCAGGGTAGGGGAGGTGGTAGCAGTGTTAAAGAGGATGGCTGGGGAAGGCTTCCCACAGCAGGTGATATTAGAGTAAAGATCAAAAAGGGAAGGGGAGGACAAGATGCAGTGGCTCCTGCCTGTAATACCAGTACTTCCAGAGATGGAGGTGGGCAGATCCTTTGGCTGTGGGTAGCACTGTGAACTAGCATGAATGTCACTCCTGTATTTAGATTACATTATATGGTAAAGGTGAAGGTATTCTATATGAAGTAACTGAGGTCTCAGCCAGGTGGGGTGGCTCACACCTGTAATCCCAGCACTTTGGGAGCCTGAGGTGGGTGGATCATCTGAGGTCAGGAGTTTGAGACCAGCCTGGCCAATATGGCAAAACCCCGTCTCTACTTAAAAAAAAAAAAAGCAAAACAAACAAACAAACAAAAAAAACAGAAATTAACTGGGCATGGTGGCGTATGCCTGTAGTCCCAGCTCCTCGGGAGGCTAAGGCAGAAGAATTGCTTGAACCCGGGAGGTAGAGGGTGCAGTGAGCTGAGATCACACCACTGCATTCCAGCCTGGGTGACAGGGCAAGACTCTCTCTCAAAAAGAAAAGAAACAGAAGGGGAGGGAGTTTGCAGGCACTGCATACCAGGTGACTGGTACAGCCAATGCAAAAGCCCTGAGGTAGATCCAGCTGTCGTCTCTTGCATCCTTGTCTTGGTCTATGAACTATTAGAAATACATGCTTCTTCCTCAGTCATTCCCACTCCCTCCTAGGCCCCTCAAGTGCCTTGTGGTATGGTGGCCAGTTCAGGCCACAGATGGAGAGGATGAAAGTGAGGGTTCACCTCCAGGGGCAGTCAGTCAGCCTTCCTGAGCACCTCTTTGTGCCTGGCGTGGGTGGGCAGGCTTGACTTGGAGCCTTTCATTTTCCCAGTATGGGCTACGGCCTCCCCATCCTGTGTGATCTAGAGCAATCAGGGAGTCTATCTTGAGGAGGCAGTGCCAGAGCAGAGCCTGGAGCAACAGGGAGGATTTAGAGAAGTGAAGGCAGGCACATGAGGAGCTGGGTGCGGACCCGATGGACAAACATTCAGAGACTGCACTAGATCTGCTGGATTCACAGGGAAAACAGGCAGACTCTCTTGGCAGGGGCAAGGAGTGCAAGTCAGTGGGAGCCCAGGAAGGGGCATCCTTGAAAGCCAAAAAGAGGGGCCTCTGGAGCAAGCTTGGATTTCATTTTTTAATTTTTAATTCTATTCATTTATTTATTTTTAATTAATTAATTTGTTTGTTTATTTATTTATTTATTTTTGAGACAGCGTCTCATTCTGTCGCCCAGCCTAGAGTGTGGTGGCACAATCTTGGCTCATTGCAGCCTCTGATTCCTGGGCTCAAACGATCCACATGCCTCAGCCTCCCAAAGTGTGGAGACTACACACATGCACTGCCAGCTGTGCTAATTTTTATTTTTTATAGAGAAGGGTTCTAGCTATGTTGCCCAGGCTGGTTTTGAACTCCTGGCCTCAAATGATCCTTCCACCTCAGCCTCCCAAAGTGCTGGGATTAAATGCATGAGCCACCATGCTTGGCCAAGTCTGGATAGAATCAGGTGGCTGTGAGTTCAAATCTTTCCTCTGTGCCTGGTATATTCTGGGTGACTCTGGGCATATCATGACCCCTCTGTGGCTTCCTTTGTTTTATTATTTTATTTTTTATTTCATTTCATTTCATCATTTCTCATTTCATTATTTCATTTCATTTTTCTTTCTTTATTTTTTGAGACGGCGTCTCACTCCGTCACTCAGGATGGAATGTAGTGGTGCAATTTCGGCTCACTGCAACCTCTACCTCTTGAGTTCAAGCTATTCTCCTGCCTCTGCCTCCCAAGTAGCTGGGACTACAGGCATACACCACCATATCCAGCTATTTTTTTTTTATATTTTTAGTAGAGACAGGGTTTCTCTATGTTGTTCAGACTGGTCTTAAACTCCCGACCTCAAATGATCTGCCAGTCTTGGTCTCCCAAAGTGCTGGAATTACAGGTGTGAGCCACTGTGCACGGCCCATTATATTTTTAAAAATTTTAATTTAATGTCATTGAATTCACTTTTATTTATTTTACTTTTTTTAAAGTTTGTATTTTCTTTTCTTTTTGAGGAAAAGCCTCACTCTGCTTGCTACTTAGGCTGGAATGCAGTGATGCAATTTCGACTCACTGCAACCTCAGCCTTCTGGGTTCAAGCGATTCTTTTGTCTCAGTCTCCTGAGTAGGCTACAGGCATGCACCACCATGCCCAGCAAATTTTTTGTATTTTTTAGTAGAGATGGTGTTTCACTGTATTTTCCAGGCTGGTCTAGAACTCCTGACCTGAAGTGATCTGCCCACCTCAGCCTTTTAAAATGTGAAGATAACAGGCGGAAGCCACTGCACCCGGCGCTAAGTTTTTTTGTTTTGTTTTAAAAGATGGGGTCTCACTATGTTGCCCAGGCTGGTCTCAAACTCCTAGGCTCAAATGATCCTCTTGCCTCCACCTCCAACTAACTGAGACTACTGGAGTGCAACACCATGCTTGGCTTCTTTCATTTAATTTTTGTTGATTTTTTAGCACTATAAAGAGCTTAACATGTGCTTTGCATGTTTCACCTCATTTAATCCTCATCACCATGCTATGAGACAGGAGCTTTTATTATCTTCATTTTATAGGTGTGGGAGGGAAGCCCAGAGAGGTTAAGACACCTGCTCAGGGTCACATAGCTAGGAAGTGAGACACCACTTCCCCCCAGGGGTGCATTACTATGAACATTATTAGCCTGGAGATTGGAAAAGAGTGCCTTGATTGAAAAGATTGAGGGTGAAGATAGACGGGGGAGAGAAACAGATGAAAAACAGCTCATTAGCTGCCTACAACACATTGTGGCATTGGGTGAGCTTCATTAACTGTGGAATAATCCTAAAATTTTTCATCCCATTTGGTATCAGTTCCTCAATTATATGACCCTTGAACAATTACAGCTGACACCCCAGCACAGTCAAAAATCCATGTATAGGCAGTGTGCATTGGCTCATGCCTATAATTCCAGCACTTTTGGAGGCCAAGTTAGGCAGATCACTTGAGGCCCAGAGTTCAAGACCAACCAGGCCAACCTGGTGAAATCCCCGTCTCCACTGAAAATACAAAAATTAACTGGGCATGGTAGCCTGCCCCTAATTCCAGCTACTCGTGAGGCTGAGTTATGAGAATCACTTGGGAGGCAGAGGTTGCAGTGAGCTGAGATCGTGGCCTTGAACTCCATCCTGGGCCACAGAGACTGTCTTAAAAAAAAAATTTAGAAATAGAATTACCCATAAGATCCAGCAATTCTACTTCAAAGATCTATATACCCTTGGCTACATATCCAACAGCAGCAAAATGAGTGATTTGAACATATATTTGTAGCCCCCTGTTCATAGCAGCATTAATCACAACAGCCAAAAGCTTGAAACAACCCGTGTCCATCAACAGAAGAATGGAGAATCAAAATGTGACATAAGGAAGGGAATTCTACGTGGTAGAAAACAGATGAGCATTAAAGGAAGTGAACAATGTGCCTCTAGCATGTATTCAAATGAAGAATTTTTGCCTGAATATTGGTACTAAAACATATTAAAACCCAAAGTCAAAACATCATATTAGTTATAGCAGGAAATTTTTCTGATATATGCAGCAGAAGGAAATTGAAAGCATTATTTCCAAATTGATCACAACAAACAAATTCAGGCAAATGAAAGTCCAACACATCATGATGGGCGATGTCTACTACACCCACTCCACAAGCCACATGGCCTTCTGGGAACACAGCCTCGATGCCACTTGATTCTGTGGCTACAACAGCACTTGTCCATTTCCAAATAATGGGCTGCTCCTCCAAGCAGTATTAGATGCAGTTCAGAATGACGCCTCTATAGTTTTGTGACAAAAACTGTGGGTACTGACCATGATATGGGTTGAAATTTCAGTAACAGTAGCAGTCGCTTTCTCTGTGATGTCCACAGACCATAATAAAAATGACAGCATATTGCCAGGGAAATGCTGGGTTTTGGGGAAAAGACTCCTTTCTAAGAGAGACCCATGACAATTGGCAATTGACATGAATACATTTCCACAAACAGTCATCTTTGCACTGGCCTCATACCAACCACTCTAATGACTGGTGACACAAGGACCATTCAGGAGCCATGGGTAACACACTATGCTACATCCAGAATGCAATGGCTGGTAAGTGTGAGGCACTCACAAGAATAGGCTGCAATGTATCTTGAAATAAACATTACCAATTGTGGGAGGTGAAGTGAAAATTTTCTCAAAAATAAAGCCACTAAAAAAAGTAAAATTTGACACCCGGTGCAGCAACTGATGCATGTAATCCCAGAACTATGGGAGGCCGAAGTGGGCGGACTGCTTGACCCCAGGAGGTTGAGGCTACAGTGAGCACGATCGCACCTCTGTGTGCTCCAGCCTGAGCAAGACAGCAATTCTGTCTCAAAAGTAAGTAAATAAGTAACAAAAACTGACTTTGACCTCCACAAATTCAAGTTGGTCACAATTGAGGAATCTAAGCTGTGGGGGCAAATAGTTCAACTGAAGACTGACCCACAGGGGCAAACTGATCCAAAAGGGAAATATGCCAGTCACAAAGAACAACTATTTTATGACTCCACTTATAGGAGAGGTACCTGGAGTAGTGAAATTCTTAAGAGACAGGAAGTAGAGTGGTGGTTGCCAAGGATTATGGGGAGAAGGCAATGAAGAGTTAAGTGTTTGATAGGTACACAGAGTCACCTGGGAAGATGAAGACGTTCTGGAGAGGGATGTTGGTGATGGCCTCACACAATGTGAATATAATACCAGAGAACAGTACACTCAAAGATGGTAAAAATGGCAAATTTTATACAGCTGGGCTCAAACAATCCTTCACCCTCAGTCTACTGAGTAGCTGGGACCACAGGCACGTGCCAACATGCCCCGCTATTTTTGGTATTTTTTGTAGTGACGGTGTTTCACCGTGTTGCCCAGACTGGTCTCAAATTCCTGGGCTCAAGTTATCTGCCCACCCTGGCCTCCCAAAGTGCTGAGATTACAGGCATGAGCCATTGTACCTCACCTAATAATTCCATTTTAATACAAATTTACTAAAAAGGGAAAAATTCATAAAATCATTAACTATATCATCTTATTGAGGCTACCTAAGTTCTCTGAACTTCATCTTGTAATCTCAATAAGATAAATGCATCCTTTAACACTAACAATTATGGCCACTTCCATCAAAACATAAAGTTTTAAAAACTAGGGTTCTCATTTAAGGCTCTGTCTCTCCCTAACAGCTCAGCTCTCAGAATGTTCAGAAGACTCAGTTACTGCCCTCTCCCTCCTCTGGCACTCATTTGTGAAGACCTCCAGAGCATCTACTGCAAAAGCCCATTTCAGCATATTCATCACCACTGGTATACTTCCTTCTGTCACGAGCTTCATTTTATAAAAACTATCATTAATACTGGCTCAGAGTTTTTCAATAATTTCAATGTAGTACACCATGGCAACCTGTCTAGTTCACATTTAATACAAAATTAATTCCTTATGTTACCACATAAGCAATAGATTGTTATGAAGTTTAATGTTTCCATGGCTTTCTACTTATGGAAAAAATTAACTTCTTCACATCACCTATAGTGGAAATGCTTCCTGTTCAGACTGCAATTCTATTCACACACACACACAAAAAATAATACTGTAGTACTATTAAATCACAATGGTAAGGCCAGGTGTGGTAGCTCATACCTGTAAGCCCAGCACTTTGAGAGGCTGAGGTGGGCAAATCACTTGAGGCCAGGAGTTTAAGACCAGCCAGGCCAACATAGCAAAACCCTGTCTCTATTAAACACACAAAAATTAGCCAGGTGTGGTAGTAGGTGCCTGTATTCCCAGCTATTCAGGAGGCTGAGGCACGAGAATTGCTTGAACCTGGAAGGCGGAGAGCCGAGATCTCACCACTGCACTCCAGACTGGGCGACAGAGCAAGACTCCATCTCAAAAATAAATAAATAAATAAATAAATAAATAAATAAATAAATAAATAAATAAAATATCACTATGATGGAATCTATCCCTCTAACCTAAAAATTCTTAAAGTATCT
This sequence comes from Homo sapiens, assembly GCF_000001405.40. Taxonomy (NCBI): domain Eukaryota; kingdom Metazoa; phylum Chordata; class Mammalia; order Primates; family Hominidae; genus Homo; species Homo sapiens. Next base: position 19,055,164 of record NC_000024.10, read on the forward strand.
TGAAGTGTGATACAGGCCAGATGTGGTGCACGTAGTCCCCAGCACTTTGGGAGGCGGAGGCAGAGGATCACTTGAGATCAGGAGCTCAAAACCAGCCTGGAAAGTATATCAAGAAAGACCCCATGTCTACAAAAATAAAAATAAATAGAGAAACCAGAGAACAAACTCTACAAAAGGAAGAAAAGAAAGCTTCAAGGACAAAAGTCAATAAAGTTACACAGTTCCAAGTTCATCTACTATGATAGGGCAACAATCTGGTGTTCAGAGGCCAAATATGACCCAATATCTTTTTTTGACAGTCCATAAGCTAAGAATGGGGTTTATATTTATAGCTAGTTGAAAAAGAAAATAATGTTTTGTGCTAAGTTAAAATTAGAAAATTCTAATTTTAGTGTCAACAGTAGTTTAATTGGAAAACAGCCAGGCTTGTTTAAGTGTGCCCCACAGTTCCCTCCATGATCCATGATACAAATGGCAGAGCTGAATAGCTGTCAGGGAATGTGTGGCCCACAAGGTCTAACATATCTACTATGTGGCCATTTACAGAAAAACTGAGATGACATTAAAAAAACAAGTCTGCATATTAAAGCGCTGCAAAATGCTAGCCAATATAAAGAAGTCATAATCTAAACCCTAAAAATAGTGAAATGTCAGACTCCCGCATATAAATAGAAAATCCTACAAGTTTCCATAAAATCCTAAAAATCTTACCCACAAAAGAGTCATGAATCACACTGGTGTCAGACTTCTCTCATCTTACAGCAGAGGCCATGACAAAGAACAGGAGTGGCACACTCTTACCATCAACAGCAGACAGTCCATGGTGGCCTTGCTCCACAGCACTGGCTGCCCGCACACGTCAGCGAAAGGCCTGCTTTCAGCACACACAGAATACCTGCTTAACAAGTAGGAACACTTACTCCTCCAGTATTCCACCATGAGACAATGGAAAAAATCTCAAGTGTCCTTTGGCACACACCACCCATGTACTCCTGGCACATCAAATGTACTAGTGAAAGAAGACCCCTCTGCTACACAGCCACTATCACACTTTCTAAAAGCTCAGGGTGCTGATCACAACAGGGACCAATAAAAGGAGGTTGTATCATAGCCTCAACAAAGTGCCCAGAAATAGATGCTGGCAGAACCTGCTCCACGGGCTGTGGGCTCAGGCACATCAGGTGAACACAGGAGAGCACATGCAACCCCATCTGTAACCAGTCCCAATCTGTTGTTGACAGTTCAGTTATCTGAAGAGAAAATAATTCTAATGATTTGGGTTTTAGATTCTATTTATCTAAAATCCAAAAGACTTAATTCCCATTTAAGGAGACGTTCACAATAAGCAAATCCACAGAGATAGAAAGTAGAGTACTAGTTGTCAGGGAAGGGGGAGAACGGGGATAGAAACTGACGGCACAGGGGACCTTGTGAGGATAGAAATATTCTGGAATTTGACAATGGTGATAAGGTGCACAATATACGATGAATATACTAAAAATCATGAATTGTGAGCTTCAAATGGTATATTTTGTGTTCTGTGAACTATGTTGCTTATTTTACAATTTCTGAAATAAATTCACCACCCTACAAAGTAAAATTCCTAATGCCTGGCATCCAATAAAAATTACTAGGCATGAGAAGGAGAGAAAAAAATACAAGCCTCAGAGAATTAGGACTAGTGCTGAAAAAAAAAAAGTCATAACGAAGACAAAAGAATCAATCAATGGAAACCAACTTAGAACTGAAACAGGTGTTAAAATCAGTAGACAAAAACATTAAAACCTGTTTTACAGTGGGCACAGTGGCTCACACCTGTTATCCCAGCACTTTGGGAGGCGGAGGAGAGTAGATCACGTGAGGGTCAGGAGCTTGAGACCAGCCTGGCCAACATGGTGAAACCCCATCTTTACTAAAAATAAAAAAATTAGCTGGACATGGTGGTGGGCACCTGTAATCCCAGCTACTCAGGAGGCTGAGGCAAGAGAATCGCTTGAACCCAGGAGGCAGAGTTTGCGGTGGGCCCAGATTGTCACTCCAGCCTGGGCAACAGAGTGGGACTCCATCTCAAACAAACAAACAAACAAACAAAAGCTGTTTTAACTTTATTCCATGTGTTCAACATGTAAGACACAAAAAAGGCACCTCAGCAGCAGCCAAACAAAAGATACACAGAACAAGGTGTGGGTGGCAGGGAGCCTTTACAGCATTCGAATGTGTCCAAGAGTTTTTAGAGCTTCATCTTCAGCTCCTGCTCCCTCCCTGGAGGTTAGTTGGTGAAGATGAAAGCTCCAGTCCTCTAATCACTTCGTCTTTCTGGTGACCAGCCCTAACCTGTCACCTCACTGCTTATATTCTGGTGTGATCAGAAAGGAGCTAGTTATGAATAACAAGTGACATCCTATCATTCAAAAAATTCAAGCGTTGTAGGAAATCTGCCAGGACTGAGAAGGTAGGGGAGACAAAGGCCACATAAATGTTTATTATCCAAAGTCTTCCAAACGAGTAAGCTGAAATTAGGCCAGGAGCAGTGGCTCATGTCTGTAATCCCAGGACGTAGGGAGGCCAAGGCAGGCAGATCACTTGAGCCCAGGAGTTCGAGACCAGCCTGGGCGACACTGCTAAACCCTATCTCTATAAAAAATAGCAAGAAAGACCCCATCTCTACAAAAAATTCAAAGATATATTACCTGGGTGGCATGTGCCTGTTGTCCCAGGTACATGGGAAGCTGAGGTGGGAGAACTGCGTGAGCTCAGGAAGTTGAGGCTACTGAGGTGGGATGGTACCACAGCACTCCAGCCTGGACCACAGAGTAAGACCTTGTCTCTAAAAAGAACCCCTGGGCTCAAGTGACTCTCCAAGTCTTGGCCTCTCAAGTATCTGGGACTACAGGCACACACCATCACATTCGGCTAAGTTTTATTTTTATTTTTGTAGACATGGGGTCTTTCTTGATATACTTCCCAGACTGGTTTTGAGCTCCTGATCTCAAGCGATCCTTCTGCCTCCGCCTCCCAAAGTGCTGGGGACTATGCGCACCACATCTGACCTGTATCACACTTCAAGATGCAGGATGCACTGCATCGCTGATCCCAAATGCTGTTGTGTATCCCATTAAGATACCACAGGACATGTTGGATATGTTTACAAATATCAGGTAAGACAACTGAGTGACTTGCTACCCACAGTCTTTTTTTTTTTTTTTTTTTGAGATAAAGTCTTGCTCTGCCACAAAAGATGGAGTGCAGTGGTGCAATCTCTGCTTACTGAAACCTCCCCCTCCTGGGTTCAAGTGATTCTCCTGCCTCAGCCTCCCGAGTAGCTAGGATTACAGGCATGTGCCACCAAGCCCAGCTAAGTTTTTTCATATTTTTAGTAGAGATGGGGTTTTGCTGTGTTGGCCAGGCTGGTCTTGAATTCCTGGCCTCAAGTGATCTGCCCACCTCGGCCTCCTAAAGCACTGGGATTACAAGGGTAAGCCACCTCGCCTGGCCTGCAGCCTTTTTCACTTCAGGACACTGTTCCCGTGAACTTAGCAAAGAAGGGTTTGGTAATTTAGTGATAACTTGAAACCAAAGCAGAAGATGAAACAATTATCTGGATGATTGTAGGGAGACCACCTGAAACTATTGCTACAGAATAAAAGATGAAATGCTCCTGATTATTGTAAATACAAAATTACACGCAGGATTGTGTAAAGACAATGCCAGGTTGGACTGCCAGAATGACCCAACAGCGTGTGATGTGCTTCCCCTTGCAGACAACCTATAAATGGACATGCAGTCAGGGAGGTTTCATATCACCAAGGTTCCTATCCCAGAAAAGCAGATGTTCACAGCTCTGGGAATGGAATGTGACCCTTGTGGAGAGCTTATAAACGGATTCATGAAGGGCACCTGTCCATATGGATAAGATAGGGCTATAAATGTCCTCATCTTGCCACAGCTATTCTAGGCCTCTTTAGGGTTAAAGCATACTCCCTTCTGAGAATTTCTGGTCTAACTGGTTGTCTGGCTTCACGTCCTGTTTCTAAGGATTGCTGGTAACCAGCTTTTGCTGCAACTGTTACTGCTGATTAATATCTTGCTAATCACAGGTTATAGAAAGACTGTGTTTCTGTTTTAAGGCTCTGTTACAAATTACTGATGCACACATTATATTGTAAATTCTTATCTCTGTATACTGTGCTTTTGCATACAGATGTTATGTTAAAGAATTACTTCATTCCCATGTGACCATCTCATCTCATAATCAAATGACCCTAAATCCCTCACTAACCTACCCTCGCCCTCACTAAACTTAATAATAAACGCTGGTATATCCAGTGCATTGTTGGCACCATGGGACAAGAAGGCAGTGACCCCCCTGGACTCAGCTTTCACTATCTTGTGTGTGTCTATTATTCCTTGACCTGCTGATCTGCCTGGGAACAAAGAGAGCCCCACTGCATTGCGGGCTGCTGGTCAGATCCCGCAATAAATGACGATAGTAAAAATAAGAGAATCTGGGTTTAAGTTGTTGCAGTAGGTATGCCCAAATTGCACAGACTCACCTTCTCACCCACACCTCCAATTCAAATGCAGCTCATTCCATAAGGAGGTCGAGGGAGAAAGTCTATTTTGCACTCCTTGAATCTCTTCTCACTCGGCGATTGCTTTTACCAACAGAATGAAGCAAAAGTGAAGCTGTGTAGCTCAAGCTTCTGCTGCCCTACTGTTCTTGGTAGCCCCAATGACTAGTCTGCTGGATGGTGAAAGGTGCAGGGCTCAGCTGACATCCAGCCAGCCATGTATCATACAGGAAGAATGACACATTGTTACCAAGTGGGTTTTAATGCAGGAATGCATGATTGGTTTAACATTGGAAGAACAATGTAATTAACAATATTTACAAACTAAGAAATCAAAACCAAATGATAAATAAATGTAAAAAAAAAATTATAGGGCCAAGTATGGTGGCTCACACCTGTAATCCTAACACTTTGGGAGTCCAACGCAGGTGGATCACCTGAGGTCAGGAGTTTGAGACCAGTCTGGCTAACATGGTGAAGCCCCGTCTCTACTAAAAATACAAAAATTAGCCTGACATGGTGGTGCACACCTGTGGTCCCAGCTCCTCAGGAAGCTGAGGCAGGAGAATCAATCAAACTTGGGATGCAAATGTTGCAGTAAGCCAAGACCACGGCAAAATAAATTATAAAATTCAATGTCCATTCCTGATAAACACTTAGCAAACTTGTAATAGAAGGGAACTTCCTCAACCTCATAAAGTGCCTTTATGGAACTCTACAGCAAACATCACGGTTAATGGTAAAAAAAGTAGGCGCTTTCCAATTACCGTCAGAAATAAGCCTGTGATGTCCACTCTCATCACTTCTTTTGAACACTGTACTGCAGGTTCTAGCCCAAGAGAAATGAGATAAAAGGTATCCAAGAAAGGAAAAAGTAAAACTGACTTTGTTTATTTCTGTAGAAAATCCAACAGAATCTATAAAAAGACACCAGAATTAATAATTGAGTTTAGTATGGTTGTAGGATACAAAACCAGCATATTTACAAAGTTGGTTTCCATCCCAGTTTAAAAAAAAATCAAAAATTAGAAAAGCAAAACCATTTACAACAGTATCAAAATATGAAATACTTAGGGATAAATCTGAAAAAAGATGTGTGAGATTCATACACTGAAAGCTAAAGCATTGCTAAGGAAAGCACAGTCCACCTAAATCAATGGAAGGATAAGCTGTGTTCATGAGTCAGAAGGCTCAAATTCACCAAAATGTCACTTCCTTCCAAATTAATCCACAAAGTCACTGCAATCGCAATTAAAATCCCAGCAGGCTTTTAAGTGAAAACTGACAAATTGATTCTAAAATTCATACAGAAATGTGAAAGACCTAAGATAACCAAAACATGTTTGAAAAAGGAAAAAAGTTGAAGGACTAATATTCTTTTGACTTAAAGGTTTATTAAAGCTACAGTAATCATGATGGTGTGTTTCTGGTGTAGTAACAGATAAATAAATTAAAGGAACAAAATGATGTCCAGGGGCCCAATGCAGTGGCTCACACTTGTAATCCCAGCACTTTGGGAAGCCAAGGGAGGAGGACTGCTTGAACTCAGGAGTTTGAGACCAGCCTGGGCAGCACAGCAAGACCCCATCTCTACAAAAAATTCAAAAAAGAATAAAGTAGTCGAGCATGGTGGGGCACGGTGGTGCATGCCTGTAGTCCTAGCTACTTGGGAGGCTGAGGCGGGAGGATCGATTGAGCCCAGGAGTTTGAGGCTTCAGTGAGCTATGATCATGGCACTGAGCTCCAGCCTGGGAGACTGAGTGAGACCCCATCTCTTAAAAAAGAAAAAAAAAATTGTCCAGAAAGAGACACTCCCATATATTGACAATGGATTTTTTGACAAGGATACAAGGCAACACAGGGAAGAATGGATTCCATTTATATGAAGTTCTAGAAAATGTGAAGTACCCTAAAGGGACAGAAACCAAATTGGGATGGGAGAGGGCAATTTTGAAGGGGTCCTAGGAAGCTTTGGTAGGGATAGATGCATTCATTGTCTTTATCTATAATGTATTCATACCCAAAATTTGTCAAAGTGTATACTTTAATTAAACTACAGTTTATTACATGTCAATAATATCTGAATAAAGTTGTTGGAGGAAAAAGCAGCAGTTGCCAGGCTTCAAATGCCAAGCGAAACAGGAAGGAAGAAATAAAATTATTATTTAGGGCTTACATGTGCCACTCTGGCAGTTACTTTAATAGTCATTAGCTCATTTAATCCCTCGCAAAAGGCCGTGAGAGGAGATATAATCCCAATTCTTAGAAGAAAACCAAAAGCAAGGAAAAATAAAGTAACTTACTCATGGTCATAGCTTATCACTAAGATTCAAAACCTTTCTACAAATCCTGCCCTATAGAAAAAGGGTTGAAATGTGATCCATTATGTGACAGGCACACAAGGGGAAACACATACCCCAGATAACAGTGAGGTAAGCTTATCCAAGTCCAGGTCAATGTGGATCGGTCTGAGGAGAGAGGCGTGAGTGACCACACTGAGGAGAGGCAGCCATGGGTGTTTTGTACACAGACTAAATGTATGTAGGGAATATTGGTTAACATGATAGACTTAGATGGGGAAAAAAAATTCTCTAAGAAATCTCATGAAAGCATAGGCACCAAAGCCTTCCATTCTACATCCTCAATCTAAAAGCATGACTGCGGTTGCGTGCAGTGGCTCCTTCTTGCAATCCCAGCACTCTGGGAGGGCTAGGTGGGAGGATCATTTGAGCTCAGAAGCTGGAGTCCAGCCTGTGCTGGACAGTCAGACACCATCTTTATTTTAAAAATAAAACATAAAAATAAAGCACTATTGAACCTCCAAACTAGGTACTATCTGGAAATTCTAACAATTTCCCAATCACACCGTTTGAGAAGCTGTGTGCAAAACCTAAAAGCCTGCTGCCCTCAAGTCCTGTGTGGTGTGGTGCTCTCATCTCCCTCAAGAATTCACAAAACAGTAAGAACTCACCAAGTTACCTGCAGTTCTGAAGGAGTTAACAGGAAGTGATTTTTGTTAGAGACTGCTGTAAGAAAAAGCTTCAGGTAACAAATTAGGCCACCATGGAGATACTTAAGGCATGATTTCATTTACTATCCAAATCAACTCATGATACAAATAAGACTTGGAGTCTTAAGGAAAAACGAACACTCAAAGGATTTTTTTTTTTTTTTTTTTGAGACGGAATCTCGCTCTGTCGCCCAGGCTGGAGTGCAGTGGCACAATCTCGGCTCACTGCAAGCTCCGCCTCCCGGGTTCACGCCATTCTCCTGCCTCAGCCTCCCGAGTAGCTGGGACTACAGGCGCCCGCCACCACGCCGGGCTAATTTTTTGTATTTTTAGTAGAGACGGGGTTTCACCGTATTAGCCAGGATGGTCTCGATCTCCTGACTTCGTGATCCACCCGCCTCGGCCTCCCAAAGTGCTGGAATTACAGGCGTGAGCCACCGCGCCCAGCCTCAAAGGATTTTTAAGCAAAGCAAGTTTATTTTTGCACAGAAGGGTGCCTCTGGTATGTCTGGTTGCCACGAGAGCACCCCAAACAAAGGAGAATAGAAGTTTTTATTTTTAAGGCAACTTTTGTCTGCCTTTTTCCTACTGGCTGGGGTTGGACCACACAATCTAAACTAGGCTCAACTGGTTAAACATTTAAACTTTTTTAGATAAGGTGGGCGCATGATGGGAGAGAGGGTGGAGGAGGAAGGGGTGGTTTATGACAAACTAGAGAGCCAGTCTTTTCCCAGATAAGGCAAGGAATGTGAGTTGGTGCTGATAATGCTACTGGTGCTGTGGCACGCCCGGGCAGGTAGTAAAGACAAGGAGAAGAAAAGGAGAAGAAAGGGCGGTGGGGTGGAGTTGGGGGCATGTACTGGGAATTAAAAAATAAAAGGCTGAGCAGGCTGTTATGAAGAAAAACCTTGCCATATCTCACAACTCACATGCAACTCCTCACAACAAAGAAGAAACAGGAAAACATTCATCTAGCAATGTGTCTTAGGTCCTTACTCCAATTACAAGACCATGAACATCATGAGCGATGGCTACCACCTACACATGCAGCCCTGCCAAACACCACATGCTCATTTTATCTCCAGACAAATCTCGTCTCATAAAATGGGAAGCTGTCATACCCTCGGATCTCCTCCAGCCCTAATACTCAGGTGACTACTTGGTAAAGGTGCTCTTCATTGAGCAGGAGAAACCATCAGGATTAGGGGCAGAAATGTAACATAGCAGCACATCTTAGGGTTCAGAGTCTGAGAGCAATTTCCTATCCTTCTTCTGAGACTGAAGCTCCTGTCAACACTGCCCAATAAACACTCACAGTACACAGCTAAGGATGGAAGCCAGAAGAGTAAGAGGCAAACAGGGATGCTAAGTTTGCACCCTCCTGTTCCAACCTGAGTATCATCTGTGTTTTTGTGTTTGTATGGATCTGGGGGAATGGTACCAAGATCTCTAAGGTGCAATATTAGAAGATCTGAACATTTACTAAGGGGAAGGGAAAGGGAGAAAGAAAACGATCTGACTCAACAATAAACCTAGGAATGAAAATAAGGAGGCTCACTGGCATTTGAAACAAAGCAGTAGCAAGGCCGGGCAGAAGCAGCCATGGCGGCACAATCAGGGACTAGCGTCACACGCACATCACACCCTTCTGATCCATTATATTTATTTCCTTTTTTTTTTTTTGAGATGATGTCTTCTTCTGTCCCCTACGCTGGAGGGCAATGGCACAATCATGGGTCACCACAACTTCAACCTCCCATTCCACTGCGCCCAGCTTGTTCCATTTTAATCAAAAAATTAAAGAAAGAAAGAAAGAAAGAAAAAAACAATGGGTTAATGAGAGGAGCACTAATAAACTGAAATTGTGTTTATCACTTTCGGGAATAGTTCCTAACATTGCTGTTAGGTCACAGAGGATCTGGGCATAGCAAATGTGGCCCAGCTGCCTCGTCAGCAGCACACACAGGGCAGAGACCAGAGAAACACTCTCATTACCTTCAATGACCCATTTTTTACAGCCAGGGTCCAAGAAACAGAAATGCACATACAAGCTATGACCCTAATAAAGACTCAGACTCAACACTGAAAAAGAAGGAAAACCAAATTGGAGTTGGTTTTTCTTTTAATGCCCTTCAAATCTATAAATAGGATGTCTATTGTGTGGACATCCCAATCCACATAATTCTTAGGAAAAAAAAGTTCCCTCTGTGGTTAAGCAACCTGATGTCTCCATACCACACCTGAACATTCTCCCTCATCCCACCTGTTAATTCACAATGTTCCAAAGAGAATGGATCTCAGGATCTCAAAGACCCACTGCCCCCAAGAAGCAACCTGGACATTCCACTGACATAAGCAATTGAGCATCATCACATGAATGTGTCTTTTTCATCCCCCAACAGTCACCCCCCAGTGCGAAGCTATCTCTGGAGGCCATCTTCTCTCCTCCAGCAGCTGGCTGTGCGCAGTTCTCCTGCACAGGTATCACCTGCACCACTGAAGCAGCCAGCAGCTTCTTCTTTTGACATTTCTCATCAGGGCTTTACATGCAAATTCCTTACTCCCATGACTAACATCAAAGAACCACACCTTAACAGAATGAAACTTTGATTATTCCTAAATTTCTCAAGGATGAGGTAATCTGGAAGTTAAACATTCTTGCACTGAGTTGTCCTCACTTGGGATGGCCTTCTAGGCCTGTCACTTGTTCGAGTACGTAAATAATGACCCAACACTTTTCTTTTCTTTTTTTTTTTTTTTTTTTTTTGAGACCGTCTCACTCTGTCACTAGAGTACAGTGTCATCATCTCAGCTCACTGCAACTTCAACTTTTGGGGCTCAAGACCCCACACCTTTGGTAAATCTGTGAGCAGTGGTTCTCCTGTTTACAGGGGCAGCAGTCCCATCAGTAGTAACTCCTGCTACGCCACCCCCCCGCATCCCCCCTCAGGACAGCCCAAAACAGTCCCTGAAGATTCAGGTGACAGATAACTGACTCCAAGAGTGCAGCATCACTAGAAAAACATTACTTACAAGGAAGGTTTGCCCCCTAGATAAAACAAACGTGACCTGATATAAAAAATATCTTAAGGCCAGGAGCAGTGGCTCACACCTGTAATCCCAACAGTTTGGGAGACCAAGGTAGGAAGACAGCTTGAGCACAGGAGTTTCAGACCAGCTTGGACAAAATAGCAAGACCCCATCTCTATAAATAAAAAGAGGAGACTCTGATAATAAAAAAGGCGGCAAGATTATTAAACCTGACAGCCCAGGAGGGGTTGATTTCAGCCCCAGCTATGAACACTTTGAAACTAAATAGCCTTTCTTAGCCCATTAATCTTAAATTATTTATATGAAACCTGATTCACTGAAAGCAGAGCCCTCAAAAGCATCCTTGTGAGGAGATTATACAGCAAATAAAAACAAATGAACCCCTGGATGACAAAGAAACAACAAGCCATTTTTAGGATAGGTAAGGAGAGGTGGCCAGGCGTAGTGGCTAACACTGTACTCCCAACCCTCTGGGAGGCAGTAGGGAGGATTGCTTAGCCCAGGATTTTGAGACCAGCCTGGGTAACATAGTGAGACCCCAGCTCTACAAAAAAACAAACAAAGACACAAGTTGCCTGGTGTGGTGGCACACACCTGTGGTCCGAGCTACTCAGGTGCCTGAGGAAGGACGATTTCCCCAGCCTGGGAGGTCAAGGTTGCAGTGAGCCACGATCGTGCCAGTGTACTCCAGCCTGGGCGACATGGCAAGACACTGTCTCAGAAAAAATAAATAAATAAAATGAAGGAGAGGCCTAGCTGACCTGTCTGATGTCAGGCCCTGAGAGATACTTTCAATGAGCCCTTGGCTCCTACTGGCACAATAATCAGTGAGCTAGAGAAACACCAGAGTAAAGGTCACCCAGGCCCTCCTGGATCTCGATAGCAAATCCAGTGCAGTCTAACACTCAAAAAGGAAACCGTGACTGGAGCAGCACTGTGGCAATGCCACAATTGTAAAACAAATTATCTCCCTCAAGATAACACCTGAAAAAGTAAAATGTTCCCATATGAGGGAAGGGCTAGTTAAGAAAAGGACTCAGCATAACTGTGGAGGGCTTATGTAAAAATAAACACAAAGAAAGTTTGCCACACAGGGCCCTTCTGTACCCGGAAGCAACTCCCTTTACGTGCACCTGGACCTGAGCACACTGCAGGGCAATGAGCCATCCAAAACATTTACTTCTGGTCTCCATTCATCTCTGTATCTGCAGTTAAGCCAAAGCGTAATTTAGGGCACTGATAGAAACACTGCCACTGGAGACAGCCATCCAATGGAAGGCTCCCTAACAGGGGCCCAGTGCTGCTGCCCCACACGCAGACCACAGAGGCTCACATCCAGAATGAAGACTGCATACTACCCACTTGAGACAACTCTCCAACACTCACATTTGTTCATAAGCTTGGCACAAGTTTAACACATTAAATGTTTATTGTATAAAATATTAAGTATTTTCTGTCAGGTATTACTGCCTTCTCAGACCATAAGCCTTTGTAAAAATCAGAACTTTTCAGACTTCCAAACAAAGTTTCAACCTAATATTAACTAGGTATCTATTAATATGCACATAGAAGTATTAGGAGATATAAAACAAAAACAAGTCCAAGGTGAGCCTAGCCATGCATTTGGGCAAACAGAATCCATATTCTTCCTTCTATACTGCTTCTACCAGCAGGCTTCTACCTTCAAAATCTCTAATCCCCTTCTATTTTGACCCAAAACTACTATCTTGGCCCACACTTTATTGTCTTGACAAAAATCTATGAGAGCAAATACCAGTCTGTCTTAGACAATAGAGCTATTTAGGAAACACATCTGTTGAGCTGATCAGAGCCAGCAGCTACACAACTGACTAACACAAGGCTCACTCCTGAGCTCTGCCCATCACACTTCCCCACATAACCATTTCCTTTCCTGAACCAAGATGCCCACTTCTCCCTCCAGAATGTATGCAAATGACACCAGTGACATCCACATCTGTCAAATGTTTCCAGGGCAGAGAATGGAGTGTGACATACAGTAGGCACAAAATAAACACCACCTAGCTTCTGCTCCACTGCCCTGTTCCCCATTCCTGCTTTATTTTCTGTCTCCTTTCCTCTATCCTTTCAAGAGCCACTCCCCTAACTAAAGTTTTCCCAATTCCCTCCACTGGGAATCAATTCATTTTCTCTTTTTCCAAGTTTTTTTTTTTTGTGAATACCTGTTAACAAACACCACTAAGTCTTCACAACTTGCTTACTCAGTCTGCTTTCCAAGTCCCCTCCCTGTTTCAAGTTTCTCCAGATTCTCTTGTAAGGATCTTCTTAAGGTTGGACATGATGCCTCATGTCTGTAATCCCAGCACTTTGGGATGCTGAGGAGGGAGGTTCACTAGCAGTCAGGAGTTCAAAACCAGCCTAAGAAACATACGAAGACCCCCATCTCTATAAAACATATTTTAAATTAGCCTGGTGTGGTGGCACCTGCCTGTAGGCCTAACCACTTGGGAGGCTAAGACAGGACAATCACTTGAGCCCAGGATCTCAGGGCTGCAGTGACCCATGATCATGCCACTGCAGACAATTTTTACTTCTATAGAAGGATGCAAGTTGCAGATGGAGTAATGGTGACAGCACACCTGGATGAGGGAGGGGAAGCAGTTTTTATTCCTGATACAGGTAGCCCCTACTGCTGTGTAATGCCCTATTGGCTAGGGTGGGACTGCACATAGTCTAAGCTAATTCCGATTGGCTATTTTAAAGAGAGCAGGGGTATGAGCCGGAGTGGCAGGCTGGGTAGTTTAGTGGGAAGGGTGGTTACAGAATAGGTGACTCAGAATGAAAAAAATAAAAAAAAAAAAAAGCACATCTTCCATTAAATCTCCCAGGTCACAGAGCCCTTCTCACCTATGATATATTATATCCTTTTTCACAGGAACCAGTACTTACTTCAAGTTTTAGTCAACTGAATGCATCTTTCTCCCAGTCAAAGCAGGGCCTGGGTCTGCACCATCTTTGTGTTTCCTAAAACACATCAGAAAAAGCTAAGTTTGTCTAGTTTTAGAAGTCTTCCATAAAACATGTAACTCATTCAAGTTGAAAAAAGACACAAAGCTGTTCTCCCACAATGGAGTGCATCCCATTGGGAAGAGCAGACAGGTAAGCTAGAAGTCAGCCACACAGTGTTTTACAATGGTGCCAAATGTGTGAATGGTCACAAAGACATAAAAAATAAGCACTGCCCTCATCAAAACTGCCAAAGTCATGAAAAACAAGGAAACACTGAGAAATAGTTACATACAAGAGACTAAGTAGACATGACAACTAAAGGCAACGTGGGATCCTGGATGGGATCCTGGGACAGCAAGGGAACATTATTGGAAAAATCTCCAGCTTGCTCAGTAGTCCCCCAACAATGCCACACTACTCTGGCCACATGGACTCTGGTGAACCAACTCAAAGCACTGCAGCCAGGTGCACGACCCTGCTCCAATCATACATGTGATGACAGGGTCCCAGTGTGGGAAGGAGAAGAATGTCCCAGTGGGTCCGTGTCCTTTCTCTGAAACCTGTGAATATCTTAGGTTGCATGGAAAAGGAAATTAAGGTTACTAATCAGCAGAGAGGGAGATGATCCTGCATTGTTCAGATGGGCCCAATGTAATCACAAGTCAAGACTAAGATTCCACTTGTAATCACAAGAGGAAGAGGGGCCAGGCACAGTGGTTCCATGCCTGTAATTCCAGCACCATCGGGGGGCTGAGGCAGAGGGACTGATTGAGACCAGGAGGCCAAGGCTGCAGTGAGCCTTGATTGTGCCACTGCACTTCAGCCTGGGCAACACAGCCAAGAACCTGTTTCCAAAAAAAAGGGGACCAGGGCAGCAGAAGAGTCAGAGAGATGCCATGAGGCTGGCTTTGAAGATTGCAGCACTACAGGCCACAGAAAGCAGGCAGCGTCTGGAACATGGAAAAGGAAAGAAAGAGATTCCCCACTGGAGCCTCCAGAAGGAACCAGCCCTACCCACACCTTAATTTTAGCCCAGGCAGATCACATTAGGCTTCTAATCAGCAGAACTATAAAACAATACATCTAAGTGTATGGCGGTTTGTTACAGCATCACCAGAAAACCAACACAGGCAGCACTGATAAAAGTGCCAGTGCTTCTCCAACGGCTGGGAGCTGTTTCCCTTCTACCTTCCGTATCTCCCACGTCACTGCTGCTTACACACCCTCCATCTGCCTTCGTCTCATCCCCCTGAACCAATGTATTTATGGACTTAGAAGAAAGCTATTAAGGAAAAGGAGAAGGTGTAGGTTAAATTCTAAGAGATATTTTCTCCTCAACTCCCGAAAACTTCACTGTGCCATTAGCCTCAACTTAAATGTCCCTCTTTACAAAAGTAATACAAAGTTTCAGCATCATCTTTTTAAAAAAGCCAGTCATCTGATAAGAACCCAAGTTTAGTAGAATCAGATCTAATCACTTTGCCAAAGAAACATAAAATTTGAATGTAAATTTCACTAAGGTTACATCTGTTTAGCATTATCTAAACTATTAAGTGAAAGTACATAGCACTTTTCTGAGTTTCATACTAAAAGATAAAGGATACAATTCAAATATACCTCTCTTATGTTAGGGGAAAAAATACCTATAAGAAAATGTTCTGATTGTTAGCATATTAATATATTATGCTCTAAAGAACTTCAAATTTCAGATAGACTATTCTCAAGGTAACAAAAAATATCTATGTATGTAATTTAAATAAATAACCAGCCAAACATACAATTCTAGTAAAGAAATATGCACAAAGTCTAAAAATTCCTTCAAATTAGAATCAACTGTGGGGTTGTGGAATACTAATACAAGTTCTCAAGACATTATTCAGCCTCCTAAAAGCTGGATTTTTTTCTTTGTCACCACCTAAAAAGGCAAGGTTTATTCAGTGCTCTGCACATCCTTTAATTAGCCAGACATCTTGGTAATAATAACTTTTTAAAAGTTAAGCCTTTCAAGAGTGGTGCTTTGGGGTTTTTTGTTTGTTTTACTTTTATTTCTTGTTTTGTATCTGTAAAACCACATTTAGAAACATGGTAGAATACTAACAAAGCTTGATATCTTAAGAGTAAAATACAGTCCCTCACTGCTTCTTACTCTCTCCTATTTTAGGTAAGTTTAAACAATATAGCCATAACAATCTTAAGTTTACATCATCATCCAGAATTAAATCAAAATCTTCTTTGATTGTGCCAGTGTGAAAGCAGGACATAAGCTAATCCCAACTCTGGTAAAACCTCAGGAATCAAGCACCCTACACAATCTTCCCATTGCTTAGAATGACTGCATTCATTATTTCAGGACATTAGCAACCTAAGTCCAAAAACTGCCACAGGGAGGAGAGAAAGTGCTACTTCGTTGTTGTTTTTTTTCTTTTCTTTTTTTGAGACAGAGTTTTGCTCTGTCACCCAGGCTGGAGTGTGGTGGTGCGATCTTGGCTCACTGCAACCTCCACCTCCCAGGTTCAAGTGATTCTCCTGCCTCAGACTCCTGAGTAGCTGGGATTACAGGTGCACACCACCACATTGGGCTAATTTTTGTATTTTTAGTAGAAACAGTATTTCACCATGTTGGTCAGGCTGGTCTCAAACTCCTGACCTCATGATCTGCCTGCCTCAGTCTCCCAAAGTGCTGGGATTACAGGCATGAGCCACCACGCCTAGCCAGCTACTTACTATTAATGCATCAAGAAAAGAGGTCTATTTGCTAATGTTACATGAAAAATAACCTCTGATATGACAAACTTATTAAGCATTTACAATAGAATTTCAATTTCATCCATTCTTAAAAGTCACATTTTTTAGAGTTAAGTAATGAGGGGGAAAGTTTCATAATTTTACCATGACAGAAAAAATTTTCATAGAAGTGATCAGAAATGTTTTGCATTGAGAAAAAGCCAACATTTTCAAATAAAGAGTGGGTGCACAGTGGTTGCTGTGTAAGTGGAAAAAAAAGGGGACCTACCGATTTTTCAGGATAATAAATAATTCAATACACAAATGCCAAGAACAAGCCTGGAAACAGGTCTCACGCTCCGCCAGCCACAGGGACACTATAACTAAGACAGCAGCACCCACACAGCCACTTCAACCTTGACCTCTAAGAGGAAAGAGAAAAAGCAGGTGTGGGGCATCCCAGAAGATGGGATTTTCAGTCAACAAGATTTGGCTCTTTCAGCGCTTGAAAAATCTCAGCCATTACTGACAGGATGGCTTACTTTTATTTTCACACTGAAAATGTGCTTTTAACTCTTTATTCACAGAACCAGTTTTCGAACTACAAGGTAAGATTTCTTAGACCTAGAACAGTGTCTGAATGTTTTCAACCACAAGCAACCAGTTTCCCTCCACCAAATATCCTTGCCTCTTACTATAAAGCCAAAAAATGAAAACAAGTCTCGATCTCCTAAATATACTCATAGTCTTTTCAAAAGCCATTTTTCACCAATTAAGTTTCATTTAAAAAGACACTTTGAAAACATAAACATGGGAAAATCAATAAGGCACACCTCTATTTTGTTGTATTTCCCTCAAAAGAAAATATTTTTTTCTTCATTAAAATGCAAAAATTTTCACATGACTCCACTTGTTCAGCTACATTTGGCCGGAAGGTACTCAAAGTTACAAATGAAACATTAAATTCTCATAAACAGCAGCAGCCAAAACTGATTTCAACCCATCCCTTACAGCATCTGAAATCCTGATGGAAAGGATGATGAAATTAGAATAAAAACAGCTTATGGCCTTCTACTTTGGCCTAAAAACCAGTCTTACTAAAACTGCTTTCACAGAAAGCATTTACTTCCCACAAAGACAACATTCCTTTTAATTATGTTTATCTCTTCTGCCAATTTTGAAAACTGTGTTCCCACCTTTATGTAAATTATAAAAGCAAACCTGTAATGAAAACAAATGGGAGCCACGCATGGTGGCTCACGCCTATAATGCCAACACTTTAGGAGGCTGAGGCAAGCCCAGAAGTTTGAGGCCTATGAAACATAAGGAGACTCCATTTCTTTTTTTATTTTTATTTTTTGTTTGTTTTTTTGAGACTGAGTCTTGCTCTGTCACCGTGGCTGGAACGCAGTGGCACAATCTCGACTCACTGTAACCTCCACCTCCCAGGTAAGCAATTCTCCAACCTCAGCCTCCCGAGTAGCTGGGATTACAGGCACATGCCACCATGCCTAGCTAATTTTTGTATTTTTTTAGTTGAGATGGGGTTTCGCCTTGTTGGCCAGGCTGGTCTCGAACTCCTGACCTTGTGATCCACCCACCTCGGGCTTCCAAAGTGCTGGGATTACAGGCATGAGCCACTGCACTAGGCCAGGAGACCCCGTTTCTAAAAAAATAAAAGTAAATTAGCTGGACATGGTGGCACATGCCTGTGGTCCCAGCCACCCAGGAGTCTGAGGTGGGAGGATCGCTTCAGCCCGGGAAGTCAAGGCTGTAGGGAACCATGTTCACGCCACTGCACTCCATAGTGAGCCACACAGTGAGATCCTGTCTCAAAAAAAAAAAAAAAAAAAGGCTTGCTAAATGCTAAAATCAAGTGATATTAAACTAAGACCCAAAGGCTGAGTAACAGTTATCTTGGAGTTGTGATGGAGGCATCTGCATGGGAGACAGCGATAGATATGTCAAAGCCATGCCAAAAACTATGGTACCTGGCTCAACTGAGGAAAGGAAAGGCCAAGGCAGCCAGAATGACGCAGGATCCGACTGGAGGCCTGAGGCGGGGTAAAAGAATGAGGCATGTATTCAGAATTAGGCCACAATCATCATTTGGGATGTTATTAAAAAAAATAACATCTGAAGTTCTGCCTTATACATACATAAAACAATATAAGCTGAATCTGACTCTAGGTTAAGAGATGCCATGAAAAAGGTTTCTCAAACAAATAAAAGCCACTTAATAATAGAACCCCTGGGCCGGATGTAGTGGTTCCTGCCTGTAATCCCAGTAACATGGGAGGCTGAGGTGGGCAGCTCACTTGAGCCCAGGAGTACAAGACCAGCCTGGGCAACATAGAGACCCTGTCTCTATATTACGAAAAGCAAGAGGCAGGAGAATCACTTGAACATGGGAGGCAGAGGTTGCAGCGAGCCGAGGTTGCAGCACTCCAGCTGGGTGACATAATGAGACTCCATCTCAAAAACAAATGAACAAATAATACACAATAAAATAATAGAAACGTCTATCAAAATTAATGAAGTGATCATTAAAGTGGATCATGTTCTAAGGCTAAAATGGCTTCTATGGGGGTCAGGTGCCATGGCTCACGCCTGTAATCCCAGCACTTTGGGAGGCCGAGGCGGGTGGATCACGTGAGGTCA
The DNA here is from genome assembly GCF_000001405.40 of Homo sapiens. Lineage (NCBI taxonomy): Eukaryota > Metazoa > Chordata > Mammalia > Primates > Hominidae > Homo > Homo sapiens. The sequence goes on from NC_000024.10 coordinate 19,074,169, forward strand.
GGAGTTCAAGACCAGCCTGGCCAACACGGTGAAACAAAAATTAGCCAGGCATTGTGGCACATGTCTGTAATCCCAGCTACTCAGGAGGCTGAGGCAGGAGAATCACTTGAACCAGGGAGGTGGAGGTTGGAGTGAGCGGACATTGCACCATTGCATTCCAGCCTGGACAACCAGCGAAACTCCACCTCAAAAAAAAAAAAAAATGCTTTCTAAGGCAATTATTTAGTTGCCTGAGTTCCAAGAGCTGAAGATTGACACCTTCTTTCATATGGTTTTACGATAAAAGCTAGAAAGTTGAATTGCACAGACATTCCATTTAAAATTTAAATTAAAAAAACACACACTGAAAACATTTCAACATTTCAAAACAGTAACTTTTAGTTATTTGAATTCATTCAATTTTTCTATAAAGTTTACCAAACGGGTCACAATTCCTACAGAACACTGACTACACAGCAATTTAAATAAGTTGATACAACATGCTGTTAGATAAGCAATGTATCTTCACCTATTCACTAGCAAATACCTTGCTATTAAATAACACTCATCCACTACACTTACCATTTGACCGATGAAGAGACTTATACAAGGTAATGGACAGACCTAAACACTTATTTTGGCAACCAAATGTAGATTATTTTCTGAACCAGCATTTACTGATACTCTCTCTGTTATTTAATGGATGATGGGCTCATTGCCCATATGCAAAGTAAATTTCCTCTTACATTTGATGAACCATTAATTTTACTATGTAAAACACCAAAGTACCAGTTGCAAAGTAATATTACAGGACTTGCTCAATCACTCTCAAAAGACACTAACAGAACTCTAAGTATTCCACGCAGCCAACATTTAATAAAAGAAATCAAGAGCTCAGAGACGCCAAATAAAATCTCAGGGTCTCTGATTTTGAACTATCCTAGTTATGCCATTAATGGCATTTGCACACAACAAAAATAGTAACTGTTTCAATAGTACTTTTTCCACAAGCAATATCATCTTACATGTTGGCTGAATAAGTCTCATTGCCTCAAAAAGGATCAAAAGATTCTAAGTTTTGCAGTTCAACAATTGTGAACAATTTTATTTCTCATTTCAAGTGTAAAGGATATTGCTCAAATCACCGCATGAAACTCTCTCCTCATGTAAGAAAGCCTGAAATCTGATTTCTCTACCAAAAAAAAAAAAAAAATCCAGTTCTTGCAAATGGATACAAAACTACTCATAACCTGCAAAAACCATGAAACCTAAGCATGTTACATCTTAACTGTTATAAGAAAAATAGTTAAAGCAAAGGGAGCTGTCAGAGAATCTTCATTTTCCCAGTGTCTTCCAAAACTTCTTGGAACTCGTATACAAGAATACCTTTCAAAAACACAACAGAAGCAGAAAACGTCAATCGGGCACCAGGAAAAGAGCAGGCCTAGAGAAAAACCTAGACTCCCCTGCCACCGACCTTCCCAAATGACACAGATACAAGCGTTAACAGCACAATCCCTCTGAGAGGGGATTGAAACAATGTGGCAGGTACGGACACACACACATACACACACACAGGACTGAATCAATGTGGCAGGGACACACACACACAAGACTGAATCCATGTGGCAGGGACACACACACGACTGAATGTGGCAGGGACACACACACACACAGAATCCAAGTGGCAGGGACACACATACACACACTCTCACATCACTCCCCACTCCCTTCCCCAACGCCCTGGATGATGAAATGAGAAACGGAAATTAACATTTCAGGCAACGTCTCACATTGTTCCTTAAGGGCAAGAGCTGCTGTTGAAGCCGCCACCGCCGCCGCTTTCCTCCCAACTCCCTCCTCCGACCTGCCTACCCTCCCCCCTAATAACCCCCACACTGTTGGCCCGCATTCCAGTCCCTACTCGAACCTACGCGCGCCTCCAGCAACCCTGCCTTTCGCCCGCCCCCAGCAACCCTGCCTTTCGCCCGCCCCTTCCGGCTGGGATCCCGGCAGCTGCCTGCTCTCATTCCAGAAGAGCAATAATAATAGGAACGCTGGCCAGGCGCAGTGGCTCACTCCTGTAATACCAGCACTTTGGGAGGCCAAGGTGAGCGGATTACGAGGTCAGGAGATCGAGACCATCCTGGCTAACACGGTAAAACCCCGTCTTTACTAAAAATACCAAAAAAATTTAGCTAGGCATGGTGGGGGCGCCCGTAGTCCTAACTACTCGGGAGACTGAGGCAGGAGAATGGCGTGAACCCGGGAGGCGGAACTTGCAGTGAGCTGAGATCGCGCCATTGCACTGTAGCCTGAGCGACTGAGCAAGACTCCGTCTCAAAAATAAATAAATAAATAAAATAAAAAGAATACTACTACTAATAATAATAGGGACGCTGAGAATAACAACTACGACCAGAACCGAACAGCGAAGGCGCCCCTGTTGTGTGTTAGAAGTCGGCGCCCCCCGAGTTCCGCAGCAGTCAACACCTGCCCAGGGCCCCCCTCGGCAGCCCCTCACAGCAGCCCCCGGGCTCCCAGAACCCCCAGGCGCTCCCGGAAGCCCCCAGTCGGTCCCCCACAGCCCCCTGGGGACCTTCTGCCCCGCCAGCCCCGCCCCGGAGCCCCCCGTCCGCCCCGCACAGCGGCCTCGGGTCCCCCTAACCGTCGCTCCGAGCCCCTCGAGCTCCCAAGCCCGCTTGGAGCCCCCTGTTGGCCCTTCACGACCTCCCCGAGCCCCCAAAGTCCACCGCCCACCCCGATCCCGGCCCTCCAGGCCTGACCCAAGGCCCACACAGCAGCTCTGTCGGCTGGGAAGGCCTGCAGGCTGCAAGGCCGCGCGAATGCCCCGGGCCAGCCCCAACCACTGTCCCTAGGCCAGCGGCGTCTCTTACTGGGATTCGAAGACTGGACGGCTCCCCGGCGGCTCAGCGGCGGGGCGCGAGCGCTGCCCATGCAGCCCGTGGCGGCGTTTCCCCGGCGGCGCTACCGCAGCGGGAAGGCGGAGCAGGCTCGAGGCCTGGCCGAATTGCGGGCAGGCGGTATGCTAGCCCGCCACTCGGCTGCGCGGCACCTGTTGCGGAGGACTACTGAGGGGGCATCTGGCCGCAAGCTCACCGGAGGCGCCTCCCCAACTGAAGATCTCGGTCCATCTCAGGGTGGCCTCTGACTCTCCGACCCGGCGCTGGTGCAGGCTGCATGAGAAGCTCTGGCCCATTGTCCCCGCACCCCACACCCCTTATCCGTCACAGCCATTGGCCCGCCCCAGTTGGCCGCAGGGACTGAGCAAGTTATGCGGTCGGGAAGACGTGCGTTAAAGGGCTGAAGGGGAGGGACGGAACTGACAGTCTCTGTGACAGCTCTGAGGTGGGAGTAGGAGGACGTCGCATTGACGATTGGGCAGGGTCCTGCGTAAGGGAGCACACGACCCTGGAAGTAGCGAGCAACCGGATTGGCGGTTTCCTTCGCAAACGTCTTGCCTTCTGGGGCCTGGCAATTGGTCTTTCCAAGTGTCGGAAGCGACGGGGATATGGTCTGGAAACATCTGGTTTTGAACATCTGGTATTGAAGCGCTGGGAGGCAAAACGTCTGCCCCGCGCGCCCATGCGGCGAGTGTCGGTCCGTGCCCCTGCTCAAGGACAGCTCGGGCCACGTGCGCCCCGGTCCCCAGAAGGCCTGGCTCCGGACTGTGCTGCCCTGGGGCGTCACTGGGCAAGGAGAGCAGTGGGTCGGCGTCGAGGGGAGGGGACCTGGGCTTCGGAGCGGTTGCTCCGGGTGGGCACTGGCCGCGCAACCCCTCTCCCGCGCAGAGACGCTAGCTCCACCGTGAGCGGGAACGGCCCTTGGGCGGGTTGTAGCGTTGGCTCCAGATTCCCTGGGTCTCGCGCACTGAGAGCCTGAGCCGCCTGAGGGAGGCAAAGCGCCCTGGAGCCGCGTCCCCTGCCTTGCAAGTTAGTTCTCCAACACGCGAAAAGGGTAGAGAGAACTGATGCGGTGACAGAAGCATTGGGTGAAGTTCACTTGGCACCACCCAATTTCTAATTCAGCCATATTTTTCATAGTTCTACAAACAAACGTCCAGCTGGGTCTGGGTGCTGTAATCCCTGCACTTTGGGAGGCCCAGGCGAGAGGCTGTATTGAAGCCAAGAGTTTGAGACCAGCCTGGGCAAAACAGCAAGACTCCATCTCTACAAAAGTTTAAAAAATTATGTAGATATGATGGTGTGTGCTGCTAGTCCCAACTACTTGGGAAGCTAAGACGAGAGGATCGCTTGAGGCCAGGAATTTGAGACCAGCCTGGACTCCATGTATAGAAATATGTATGTGTGTGTGTGTGTGTATTTAAAAATATATATGTGTATGTGTGTGTATATGTGTGTGTTTATATGTGTGTGTATATATGTGTGTGTTTGTGTGTGTATATATATATAGATGGGTGTGATTGTGCACACTTGTGGTCCCAGCTACTTGGGAGGCTGAGGTAGGAGAATCACTGAGCCTTGGAGGTTGAGACTCTAGTGAGCTATGACTGCACCACTGCACTTCAGCCTGGCCAACAGAGCAAGACCTTGTCTTGCTCTGTTTTCATATATATATATGCTGGGTATGGTGGCGCACACCTGTGGTCCCAGCCACTCAGGAGGCTGAGATGGGAGGATTGGTTGAGTCCAGGAGGTCAAAGCTGCAGTAAGCCATGATTGCACCAGTGCACTCTTTCCTGGGCCACGGCAAGACTCTGTCTCTAAAAAAATAAAAGGGCACAGACACCCACAGAGGGATGACCACGTGAGGATGCATTGCTTGAGCCTGGGAAGTTGTGGCTACACTGAGCTGTGATCACGCCACTGCACTTACCAGGCTCAAGTGATCCTCCTGCCCTAGCCTCCTAAGCAGGTGAGACCACAGTTTTGTGTCACCACTCCCGGCTAATTAATTATTTGTAGAAATGAAGTTCTAGGTTGCTCAGGCTGGTCTGAAAATCCTGGGCTCCAGTGATCCGCCTTGGCCTCCCAAAGTGCTGGGATTATAGGCATGAGCCTCTGTGCCCAGACCAACTGAATTCTTAATTGGTGTCTTGGTAGTTCATTAGTTAATCTGCCTCAGTTTCCTTTAAATGTTTGACCCTAGGCCGTGCACAGTGTCTCTGGCCTGTAATTCCAACACTTTGGAGAGAAGTGTTTGGGATACTGAGGTGGGCAGATCACCAGAGGTTAGGAGTTCCAGACCAGCCTGGCCAACATGGTGAAACCCTGTCTCTATTAAAGATACAAAATTACCCAGGCGTAGTTGTGGGCACCTGTAATCCCAGCCACTCGGGAGGCTGAGGCAGGAGAATTCCTTGAACTCGGGAGGGAGAGGTGGGTAAGCTTCAGTTGCACCACTGCACTCCAGCCTGGGCAACGAGAGTGAAACTCTGTCTCAAAAACAAAACAAACTAAAAAATACTGAGCTTGTCCTCTGGCTAAGCTCTATTAAGAAGGTTGTGTGCTGTCATCCTGTTGTACGTATTTGAGAAAAGTTCTAGATTTCACTTCTTGTCCATCTTTCATTTGATCTTTAACAAAAAAACAAATGGAGACAAGGTCTTGCTCTGTTGGCCAGGCTGAAGTGCAGTGGTGCAGTCATAGCTCACTAGAGTCTCAACCTCCAAGGCTCAGTGATTCTCCTACCTCAGCCTCCCAAGTAGCTGGGACCACAAGTGTGCACAATCAAACCCATCTAATTTTTTTTTTTTTTCACTTTTTGTAGCAGTGAAGTCTTGATCGCCTGGCTTCAAGTGAACCTCTGGAGAGACAGGACTAGCTGGATTTTCTAGGCCAACTAAGAATCCCTAAGCCTAGCTGGGAAGGTGACTACATCCACCTTTAAACATGGGGCTGGCAACTTAGCTCACACCCAACCAATAAGGTAGTAAAGAGAGCTCACTAAAATGCTAATTAGGCAAAAACAGGAGGTAAAGAAATAGCCAATCATCTATTGCCTGAGAGCACAGAGGAAGGGACAATGATCGGGATATAAACCCAGGCATTCAAGCCAGCAATGGCTACCCTCTTTGGGTCCCCTCCGTTTGTATGGGAGCTCTGTTTTCATGCTATTTTAAAGTCTTGCAACTGCACACTCTTCTGATCCATGTTTGTTACAGCTTGAGCTGAGCTTTTGCTCACCATCCAGCAATGCTCTTTGCCACCATCACAGACCCGCCACTGACTTCCATCCCTCTGGATCCAGCAGGGTGTCAGCTGTGCTCTTGATCCAGTGAGGCACCTGTTGCCACTCCCAGTTGGGCTAAAGGCTCACCATTGTTCCTGCAAGGCTAAGTGCGCGGGTTTGTCTAGTTGAGCTGAACTAGTTGAGCTGGGTTCCACAGTTCTCTTCTGTGACCCATGACTTCTAATAGAGCTGTAACACTCACAGCATGGCCCGAGATTCCTACTTGGAATGCATGAGGCCAAGAACCCCAGGTCAGAGTAGAAGAGGCTCACCACCATCTTGGAAGTGGCCCCCACCATCTTGGGAGCTCTAGAAGCAAGTCCCCCTGGCAACCTTTTGGCAACCACAAAGGGACCTCCAAAGCAGTGAGTAATATTGGACCACTTTTGCTTGCTATTCTGTCCTACCCTTCCTTAGAATTGGAGGAAAATACTGGGCACCTGTCAGGTAGTTAAAAACGTTAGCATGGTGCTGGACTTAAGACTCAGGTATGAGGCTGTCTGGGATAGAGCTTTCTAACAATCTCAACCCTTCTTGGTCGGGAGCATTGGTCTGCCTAGAACCAGCATCCTCTTTGATTATTCCTGGGGAAGCAGAGGGCTAACTAGAGGCAGAAAGCTGTCATCCCTAACTCCCAGCATTAGCTGTTTGAGATCATGGTGCAGCCAGAAGTCTCTACTCAACAGTCGCCCATGCGTGTGCCCCCACCTTTCCTTCTGATCTATACCTCCTGGGTCCTGACCATGACTTTCTTGAAAGTGTAGCCCCAAAATTCTCCTTACTTCTGAATCTACTTCCTCCAATCCCTGCCTCCTAATTAATAATGGTTCAGACTTTCATTTCCTCTAGCAAGTTGTATCTCCAAAGGGATCTAAGGAAGCTCTAAGCTGCATCCTTAGGCCCCTAGGCTATGAACCCAGAGAGTCTTTTCCCTGATATCCCTCCCAATTTATGCATACAGCTCTCAACATGGGCAGTTATGTGGGACCCATTCCCCACTACCCTTGCCAAGGCCCCAGGTTTCTAAAGGGCTAGCAGAAAACAGAGAGACAGAGGGGAGAGAAAGAGAGAGAGGCAAAGCAAGAGTCAAAAAGAGAAAGAAAGAAGAAAGAGAAAGAAAGATAGAAGAAAAAAACAGTGTGCCCTATTCCTTTAAAAGCCAGGGTAAATTTAAAGCCTGTAATTGATAATTGAAGGTCTTCTCCAAGACCCTATAACACTCCAATACTACCTTGTTGGCATTGTAAACAAGGTCATAACCTGAAAACACTGAGACCACTGGCAACTCGTAGCCATCCTATCAAAAATCCTTAACCCAGGAACCTACAGATGGCCCAAATGCATTCAATTTGTAGCAGTAACTACTTTGCTAACAGAAGAAAGTAGAAAAGTAACTTTTGGGCGAAACCTCTTTGTGAGCACATCTCACCATTTCAGAATTATTCTAAGTCAAAAAAGCATAAAGGTAGCTTACTAACTCAAAAATCTTAAAGTATGGGGCTATTCTTTAGAAAAAGGTGATTTAACATTAACCACTGAAAATTCCCTTAACCCAGCAGATATCCTAACAGGGAATTTAAATCTTAATTGCCATACAAAAGTCCGACCACACCTACGAGGAACTCCCTTCAGGACAGGAGGATAGATGGTTCATCCCAGGTGATTGAGGGGGAAAAAACAAAAATACAATGGTTATTCAGTAATTGATAGGGAGACTCTTGTGGAAGCAGAGTTAGGAAAATTGCCTAATAATTGGTCTGCTCAAACGTGCTAGCTGTGTGCACTCAGCCAAACATTAAAGTACTTACAGAATCAAAAAGACTGTACCTCAATCCTGACTCAAAAGGTTACCTACACCCTCTCTGAAATAAATTTGCGTAAGAACTGTTGTTTATAGCAATGCATATTGATGGGGCAGCTGGGTTGTTATGAAATACTCAGGAACCCAGCCCAGCTCTAGAACTCACCTATGAGTACAAAGGCAATGTTGGGCACACTTGGTAAAGGACCACTAGAATCCAGCAGCCCAGACCACTTTCTTTCTTGGTGGTCAAGAAGGGCAGGAAAACAGGTACAGTACTGCCGCATTGGTGAGCATAACTTATCCATTAAGCAGAAGTCCATTGGTGGTTACACACCCTGGAAAAGTATAAGCATTATGACCATAGAGGACACTCTAGGACTAATGCTCATCAGAAAATGACTGGGGTGCTGATATTCCCCCCAAGGCAAACATTCCCTCCAAGGCAAAGATGCCCCAAAGATGTATTCTGGAGTATTCAGCCCAGTCAGAGAATATGTACCTGTTTCCTTGTCAGACTTGAAGAAAATTGAAATAGACCTAAGTAAATTCTCAGATAACCTTGATGGCTATGTTAATGTTTTGTAAGGGTTAGGACAATCCTTTGACCTGACATGGAGAGAAATAATGTTACTGCTAGATTGGACGCTAACCCCAAATGAGATAAGTGCCACCATAACTGCAGCCTGAGAGTTTGGCAATCTCTGCTCTCTCCATCAGGTCAATGATAGGATGACAACAGAGGAAAGAGAACAATTCCCCACAGGCCAGCAGGCAGTTCCCAGTGTAGACCCTCAATGGGATGCAGAATCAGCAAATGTAGATTTGTGCCACAGACATTTGCTAATTTGTGTGCTAGAAAGATTGAGAAAAACTAGGAAGAAGCCTATAAATTATTCAATGATGTCCACTATAACACAGGGAAAGGAAGAACAGCCTACTGCCTTTCTGGAGAGACTAAGAAAGCCGCTGAGGAAGCATACCTCTCTGTCACCTGACTGTGTTAAAGGCCAACTAATATTAAAGGATAACTTTATCACTCATTCAGTTGCAGACATTAGAAAAAAACTTCAAAAGTCCACCTTTGGCCTGGAGCAAAACTTACTATACCCTATTGAACTTGGCAACCTCATTTTTTTATAATAGAGATCAGGAAGAGCAGGCGGCAAATTGAATGCCTAATGGGGCTTGCTTCCAGTGCAGTCTGCAAGGACACTTTAAAAAGATTGTCCAAATAGAAATAAGCCACCCCCTCATCCATGCCCCTTATGTCAAGGGAATCACTGGAAGGCCCGCTGCCCCAGGGGATGAAGGTTCTCTGAGTCAGAAGCCACTAAACAGATGATCCAGCAGCAGGACTGAGGGTGCCCAGGGCAAGTGCCAGCCAATGCCATCACCCTCACAGAGCCCCAGGTATGCTTGACCATTGAGGGCCAGGAGGTTAACTGTCTCCTGGACACTGGCATGGACTTCTCAGTCTTACTCTTCTGTCCTGGACAACTGTCCTCCAGATCTGTCACTATCAGAAGGGTCCTAGTATAGCCAGTCACTAGATACTTCTCCCAGCCACTAAGTTGGGACTGGGGAACTTTACTTTCACATGCTTTTCTAATTATACCTGAAAGCCCCACTCCCTTATTAGGGAGAGACATTCTAGCAGAAGCAGGGGTCATTATACACCTGAACATAGGAGAAGGAACACCTGTTTGTTTCCACCTGCATGAGGAAGGAATTAATCCTGAAGTCTGATCAACAGAAGGACAATATGGATGAGCAAAGAATGCCTGTCCTGTTCAAGTTAAACTAAAGGATGCTGCCTCCTTTCCCTACCAAAGGCAGTATCCCCATAGACCCAAAGTCCAACAAGGACTCCAAAAGGTTGTTGAGGACCTAAAAGCCCAAGGCCTAATAAAACCATGGACTAGCCCCTGCAATACTCCAATTTTAGGAGTACAGAAATCTAATGGACAGTGGAGGTTAGTGCAAGATCTCAGGATTATCACTGAGGCCACTGTCCCTCTGTACCCAGCTGTACCTAAACCTTATACTCTACTTTCCCAAATACCAGAGGAAGTAGAGTGTTTTGCAGTCCTGGACCTTAAGGATGCCTTTTTCTGCATCCCTGCACATCCTACCTCAATTCTTGTTTGCCTTTGAAGATCCTGGAAACCCAATGTCTCAACTCACTTGGACTGTTTTACCCCAAGGGTTCAGGGAAAGCCCCCATCTGTTCACTCAGGCATTAGCCCAAGACTTGAGCCATTTCTCCTACCTGGACACTCTTGTCCTTCAGTATGCGGATGATTGATTGATTGACTGATTGATTGATTTTGAGATGGAGTCTCCCTCTGTCACCCAGGCTGGAGTACAGTAGTGCAATCTTGGCTCACTGCAAGCTCCGCTTCTCAGGTTCACACCATTCTCCTCCCTCAGCCTCCCCAGCAGCTGGGACTACAGGTGCACACCGCCACACCCGACTAATTTTTTGTATTTTTAGTAGATACAGGGTTTCACCATGTTAGCCAGGATGGTCTTGATCTCCTGAACTTGTGATCCACCCACCTTGGCCTCTCAAAGTGCTGGGATAATAGATGTGAGCCACTGTGCCCAGTCGTGGATGATTTACTTTTAGCCACCCATTCAGAAACCTTGTGCCATCAAGCCATACAAGCGCTGTTAAATTTCCTCACCACCTGTGGCTACAAAGTTTCCAAACAAAAGCCTCAGCTCTGCTCACAGCAGGTTGCATACTTAGGGCTAAAATTACCCAAGGGCACCAGGGCCCTCAATGAGGAACTTACCCAGCCTATACTGGCTTATCCTCATCCCAAAACCCTAGAGCAACTGAGAAGTTCCTTGGAATAACAGGCTTCTGCTGAATATGGATTCCCAGGTATGGCGAAATAGCCAGGCCATTATATACATTAATTAAGGAAACTCAGAAAGCCAATACGCATTTAGTAAGATGGACACCTGAAACAAAAGTGGCTTTCCATGCTCTAAAGAAGGCCCTAACCCAAGCCCCAGTGTTAAGCTTGCCAATGGGGCAAGACTTTTCTTTATATGTCAGAGAAAAAACAGGAATAGCTTTAGGAGTCTTTACAGAGGTTTGAGGGACCAGCTTGCAACCTGTGGCATACCTGAGTGAGAAAATTGATGTAGTGGCAAAGGATTGGCCTCACTGTTTACAGGTAGTGGTGGCAGTAGCAGTCTTAGTATCTGAAGCAGTTAAAATTATACAGGGAAGAGATCTTACTGTGTGGACATCTCATGATATAAATGGCATACTCACTGCTAAAGGAGACTTGTGGCTGTCAGACAACCATTTGCTTAAATATCAGGCTCTATTAATTGAAGGGCCAGTGCTGTGACTGCGTACTTTTGCAGCTCTTAACCCACACACATTTATTCCAGACAATGAGGAAAAGATAGAACATAACTGTCAACAGGTGATTGCTCAAACCTACGCTGCTCAAGGGGTCCTTCTAGAGGTTCCCTTGACTGATCCCTATCTCAACTTGTATACTGATGGAAGTTCCTTTGTAGAAAAAGGATTTTGAAATGTGGGGTACGCAATGGTCAGTGATAATGGAATACTTGAAAGTAATCCCCTCACTCCAGGAACTAGCACTCAGCTGGCCGAACTAATAGCCCTCACTAGGGCACTAGAATTAGGAAAATGAAAAGGGGTAAATTTATATACAGATTCTTAAGTATGCTTACTTAGTCCTCCATGCCCATGCAACAATATAGAGAGAAAGGGAATTCCTAACTTCTGAAGGAACACCTATCAAACATCAGGAAGCCATTAGGGGATTATTATTGGCTGTACAGAAACCTAAAGATGTGGCCGTCTTACACAGCTGAGGTCATCAGAAAGGAATGGAAAGGGAAATAGAAGGGAACTGCCAAGTGCATATTGAAGCCAAAAGAGCTGCAAAGCAGGATCCTCCATTAGAAATGCTTATGGAAGGACCCCTAGTAAGGTGTAATCCCCTCTGTAAAACCAAGCCCCAGTACTCAGCAGGAGAAATAGTATAGGAAAACCCATGAGGACATAGTTTCCTCCCCTCAGGATAGCTATCCACCAAGGAAGGAAAAATACTTTTTCCTACAACTAACCAATGGAAATTGCTTAAAATCTTTCACCAAACCTTTCACTTAGGCATTGGTAGCACCCATTGGATGGCCAAATTATTATTTACTGGATGAGTCCTTTTCAAAACTATCAAGCAGATAGTCAGGGCCTGTGAAGTGTGCCAAAGAAATAATCCCCTGCACTGCAGGCCATTTGAATCCCTATATCTTTAACTTCCTTGTTAAGTGTGTCTCTTCCAGAATCGAAGCTGTAAAACTACGAATCATTCTTCAGATGGAGCCACAGATTCAGTCCATGACTAAGATCTACCACAGACCCCTGGACCAGCCTGCTAGCCCATGCTCCGACATTGATGACATCAAAGGCACCCCTCACAGGGAAATCTCAACTCCACAACCCCTACTACAATACAATTCAGCAGGAAACAAAGTGATCATTGGCCAACCTCCCCAACAGCACTTGGGATTTCCTGTCGAGAAGGGGGACTGAGAAGTAGAACTAACTGGATTTCCTAGGTCGACTAAGAATCCCTAAGCCTAGCTGTGAAGGTGACCGCATCCACCTTTAAACACAGGGCTTGCAACTTAGCTCACACCCAACCATTCAAGTAGAAAAGAGAGCTCACTAAAATGATAATTAGGTAAAAACAGGAGGTAAAGAAATAGCCAATCATCTATCACCTAAGAACACAGTGGGAGGGACAATGATGGGATATGCACCCAGGCATTGGAGCCAGCAATGGATCCCCTCCTTTTGTATGGGAGCTCTGTATTCACGCTATTATAAAGTCTTACATCTGCACATTCTTCTGGTCCATGTTTGTTATGGCTCAAGCTGAGCTTTTGCTCTCTGTCCACTCCTGCTCTTTGCTGCCATTGCAGACCCACCACTGACTTACACCCCTCCAGATCCAGCAGGGTGTCAGCTGTGCTCCTCATCCAGTGAGGCACCTATTGCTGCTCCTGATTGGACTAAAGGCTTGCCATTGTTCCTGCATGGCTAAGTGCCTGGGTTTGTCCTAATTGAGCTGAACACTAGTCCCTGGGTTCCACAGTTCTCTTCTGTGACCCACGACTTCTAATAGAGCTATAACACTCACTGCATGGCCCAAGATTCCATTCCTTGGAATCCGTGAGGCCAAGAACCCCAGATCAGAGAAGAAGAGGCTTGCCACCATCTTGGAAGTGACACAAGATGCCATCTGGGGAGCTCTAGGAGCAAGGACCCCTTGGTAGCACTTCCAGCTCAGCCTCCCAAATCACGCTATTACAAGCATGAGCCACTCTTTGTGGCCGCCACCTACTTTTTGAACTCCAATTGTATTAAACACCATAATAGACACTTTTGTCTGTTATATTTCATGGATCATAAACTTTTTTATGTATAATTTTACCTTTTATTTTAGATTCGGGTGGTACAAATGCAGGTGTTTTACATGGGTATATCATGTGACACCAAGGTTTGGAATACAGATGATCCCATCACCCAAGTGCTGAGCATAGAATCCAACTGTTAGTTTTTCAGCCTTGCCCCCTCCATCTCTCCACACTCTAATATTCCCTAATATCTACTGTTCCTAAATTTATGTCGATGTATATATTATATTTCTTAGAGTTCCCTGAATAATGGTCAGGGAAGGTAATGTGAATGATGCAAAGATGATTATGAATAAAATATTCAGTTTTCTGGAGTGAGCAGGACACTTTTTCATGCAAAATTCCATTTGAATCCTCCACCTCCAGCCAGCGCGGTGTAGGGAGAGGAAGAGAGACAGACCTATTAAAAGTTATATTTGTTCTCTTGCAGTCTTGTGACTTACTTCTTAATGAAAACCCTTATTGTTTTATAAGAAAAGGAGAATGAATGCAGTGTTTGAGATGGAGTTATCTAGAATTTTTAGAAGCATAAACAGACATTGAAAAATTATAGAAAACAAAGGCAGAAAAGCAGAAAAGACATAGTAGGTCAGATGGTATTTTAGGCAAATACACCATAAACTGGCCACCCAGGTCTGCATCTCTAGGGCTTTCCCAAAGAGGAGCAAAGCAGTTTATATTCTATTATTATCACCACCATCACCTTTATTTCCCCCCTTACATGATGGATGTCAATATCATGATCATTCTCGTTGTCTGTATAACCGTCATCATCATCATTAATACCTCATAAATTTTTTCATGTTATTTTTAACATAGTTAGAAAGAAAGAGATTTTGGGCCTCCCAAATCACTAAGCTAAAAGGAAAAGTCAAGCTGGAAACTGCTCAGGGCAAACCTGCCTTCCATTCTATGCAAAGTCACCGTCTGTTCACTAAGACAGATGTATATTCTGATTGCTTCTTTTGGAAAGACTTATCAGAAACTCAAATGAATGCAACCATTTTTCTCTCAGCTACTTGTGACCTGGAAGCCAGTTCCCTGCTTCTGTTGTCCCCATCTTTCTGGAAGAAGCTAATATACTTCTTACATATATTGATTGATGTCTCATATCTCTCTACAATGTATAAAACTAAGCTGTTCCCCTACCAACTTGGGCACATGTCATCAGGACTTCCTGAGGTTGTGTCATGGATGTACGTCCTAAATCTTGGCAAAATAAACTTTCTAAATTAAACCAGACCCATCTCAAATTTTGGCAGCTCACAATAGCACATAAACAACACACCTTCCCGTTCCCCAAAATATTAGCGCAGGATAAAAATCTAAGAGTATTTCATAGCAACTGATAGTTTGACCAAAAAAAAAAAAAGTTTTCTTTTCCCAAAATAAAGTTCTGTGGCTTCTGTCAGGGAAAGTTTTTTGTTTGCTTATTTGTGGGTTTTTTGTTTAGTTTGGTTTCGTCTTTTGTTTGTGGCTTTGGTGGTTTGTGGTTGGGTTTCTTTCTGGCTTAAACATTTCTTGGTGAACAAATGTTTATGTCTTCAGGTCTGTAGACTTAGATAACTATCTTAATCTGAGAAATCTAAAGTTTTGAATTGTTCTGTGAATACCAGTGAAGGAATCCACCTTCCCTCTGAAACCATATTCACAAGGCCTAACTTGAGGATGCTAGAACCATTTTCAACAACAAAGACACCACATTCATGCTTCCATGGCATACTGCATGTCCACTTCAAGATAGCACCTTTGTATACATTTGATTATTCCCCTTACACCCATCTTACTTTGTAGTGTCTTCTGAATGATGAACAACCCAAGACTTATATGGTCAGAACTGAGATCTGAGATTGTCAGAACAAAGTGTCCTACTGTTTTTTTTCTGCTTGGAATGTTATTCCACAATATTCTACAATATTCAGTGCCATGCAATTGAATGTGAAATATTCAATAAATATTCAATATTCAAAAACATATTCAATGCTATTCAAAATATTCTATGCCAAATACAGGAACTGGACAAGAAGAAGGACCCTAGTCTCAATGTTGAAACAGCATCCTGTGTCAGGCATTGCCAGTGTGAACCATGAGGAGATTGGGAGTCCCATTCTGGAGTGTGGAATCCAGAGAGTGAGGTGTGGGACAGAGGCTCTTTGACATACCACCTCATTGGTGTGGCCATATTTTAAGCCCAAGAACATCCCAAGAAATATTGTAAAGCTAGGAAGTATGTACAAACTGTACTCAGGTTTTGTTCTGAAATTTAGTGATTTGTACTTTGTGGCTTGCCACTTCCAAAAACTCATGCAACATGAGTTGACAGTTAGTATTTTAATACAAATAGTTACGATTTTAGGGAGACCAAAAAAAAAAATGTTTTCCTGAGAAGAAAATACCTTAGCTGTACATTTGTGTAAAGTGATTTTGATGAAATATGTAGTCAAACAATGACACAGTGATATAGCTTGCTAAAGTCAATATTTATGTTACCCTCAATTGAAAATCAAATCCCCAAGGTGATGGTGTTAGGTGGTGGTGTCTTTGGGAGGTGATGAGATCATAAGTGTGGAGCCTCATGAATGGGATGAGTGCCCTTATAAAAGTGGTCTCAGAAAGCTCCCTTGTTCCTTCCACCATGTGAGGATACAAAGAGAAGGCACTGTCTGTGAAACAGGAAGAAGATCCTCACCAGGCATCGATCTTGGACTTCCAGTCTCCAGAACTGTGAGCAGTAAATGTCTTTTTTTTAATCCATTTCCCATTTACCCGAAGAATACTCTTTTCCCTCATCCTAATGTAATAGAAGAAGTGTATAAGATTTTATATTAGGATTAGACATAATTGCATTTTAGAAATAACTCCAAGAACAGTTTTCGTACTTTATTTTCCCATTGGAAATCAGATTTCCCTCAGTCAAAGAGTGTGTTATGTCAAATTTAATGAGCGCTGGCAGTGATCTGCACCTTTTTTCTAAATGGGAAATGGGTTAAAAGCCATTCATTTTATAATATTTTTTCATAGCAGTCTGAAAATACAGAGCTCCAGTGAGATGTCCCAGAGGATAAAAAACATTGGTATCATCTTTCTACTGTTTTGATGTTCTTTTTAAAGGAGGAAGGAAGGAATACCCCATGAATTCCACTTGGGCTAGACCTTTTATTTTACCCTATTTCTAGTTACCAACAATGCATTGCTACTTGCTGTAGTCCAAGCACCAACAATGTTGGCAGCATCCAGGACCTGGTTAGGAAGAAAAACAACCTGGACTCACCAAAACTTCCGAGATCACATTCTTCATTTTCATGCCAGTCACTCAGTGATTTGTTTGCAAGTTAACACTTAAGGAGCTATGTCTAGGGACAGAGCATTTTCTCAATCCATGATGCAACTTCTAGGGCTAGATCAGTGATTCTCAATGAAGGGACAATTCTGCCTCAGCAGGGAATACTTGGGCAATGTCTGGAGGGCATTTTTAGTTGTCACAACTTGGGGCTGAGGGAAGCCTACTGGCTCTTAGTGGATGGACACCAGAGATATTGCTAAACCTCCTACAGTCCACAGGCCAGCCCTCACCACAGAGAATCAAAGACTTAGTTTGAAATGTCAATGGTAAATTAGCCCAGCTTGGTGGCAGGCACCTGTTGTCCCAGCTACTCGGGAGGCTGACACAGGAGAATTGCCTGAACCCCAGATGCGGAGCTTGCAGTGAGCTGAGATCATGCCAGTGCACTCCAGCCTGTGTGACAGAGCGAGACTCTGTCTCAAAAAAAGAAAGAAAGAAAGAAAAAGAAAAAAGAAAGAAAGAAAGAAAGAAAGAGAGAAAGAAATGTCAACGGTACAGAGAGGAGACACTTTCTCTAGAGGTCAGAGGACAAAGAATTCTCCTGGATGCTTCCCATAATAAGCCATTGGTTTATCCTACAGTTACCTGCTGTGAATGTGTATGTTTTTCTTCTATTCCTCCTGATAGTTTATTGGAAATACTGCCTTCTGAAGTAAACTTTTTTTTAATCTCCCATCCGATTCTTCAACAAAGAGGCTAAGTAAACAACACACAGAAAGAATTATTTTTTTCCACTTCTTTTTCTTGTTTTCTTTTTGGGAAAGGTTCTCACTCTATTGCCCAGGCTGAAATGCAGTGTTGGGATCATGGCTCATTGCAGCCTCCAAATTCCTGGGCTCAACTCATCCTCCCACCTTAGCCTCCCAAGTAGCTGGGACTCCAATCACACACCACCACACCCAGCTAATCAAAAAAAAATTATTTTTTGAGATAAAGTCTCATTCTGTTGTCCAGACTGGAGTGCAGTGGAGTAATCGTTTATTACTGCAACCTCCACTTTCTTAGCTCAAGGAATTCTCGTGCCACAGCCTCTCAAGTAGCTAGGATTACAGGGGTGCACTACCATATCTGACTGATTTTTGTATTATTACTACAGACAGGGTTTCACCATTTTGGCCAGGCCAATCCTGAACTTCTGGCCTCAAGTGATCCATCTGCCTTGGCCTCTCATAGTACTGGGATTATAGGCATGAGACACTGTGCCCAGCCCCAGTTTTTTATTTTTTGTAGAGACGAAGTCTTGCTCTGTTGCCCAGGCTAGTCTCAAACTCCTGGCTCAAGAAATTGTTCGACTTCAGCTTTCCAAAGTGCTGAAATTACAGGTGTGAGCCACTGTGCCTGGCAAGAAGCACTTCTTGGGTGTCAAGTGTATTTACCCCATGTGGTTTTTCTGGGGCTGCCATAATGCATTGTCACAACCTGAACAGCTTTTAAAAACACAGGAGTTTATTGTCTCCCAGTCCCAGAGGACAGCAGTCTGAAATCAAGGTATGTCAGGGCTGCTCTTTTTCTGGAGGTTCTAAGAAGGATCTTTCCTGCCTCTCCCAGCTCCTGGGGGCATCAGGCATCCCTAGACTTGTGGATGCATCTCTCTAGTCTCTCTACCTCTTGTGTGGACTTCTGCTCTGTATCTGTGTCTCCTCTTCTGTGTCTTAGAAGAACACCTGTCATTGGATTCAGGGCCCACCCTAATCCAGGATGATATCATCTCAAGGTCTTTACTTGATTATATCTGCAAAGACCCTATTTCCAAATAGTGTTCCATTCAGAGGTTCTGGGGGATAGGACAGGAACATATGTTTTAGGGCCAACATTTAACTAATTGCAGTTGTGTCCAGTTTCTCTTGGAGGCTCTAAACAAGGATTCTTTCTGCCTCTTCCAGCTCCTGGTGGCTCCAGGCACCCCTGAGTTTGTGACCATATCACTCCAGTCTCTGTCTTTGTCTCCATCAGTTCTTCTCTTCTGTGTCTGTGTCTCCTCATCTGTCTCCTAGAAAGACACCTGTCATTGGATGCAGGACCCTCCCTAATATGGATTAGCTGTGTCCCCACCCAAATCTCATCTTGAATTGTAACTTCCACAATTCCCACATGTTGTAGGAGGAAGATGTGGGAAGTGATTGAATCATGGGGGTTGGTCTTTCCCATGCTGTTCTGGTGATAATGAGTGGGTCTCATAAGATTTGATGGTTTTAAAAAACGGGAGGTTCCCTGCACATGCACTCTCTTTGCCTGCCACCATCTACCTAAGTTGTAATTTTCTTCTCCTTGCCTTCCCCTATGATTGTGAGCCTTCCCAAGCCATGTGGAATTGTAAGTTCATTAAAACTTTTTATTTTGCAAATTGCCCAGTCTTGGGTATGTCTTTATCAGAAACATGAAAATAGACTAATACACTCTGAAATCCAGGATAAGCTCATCATGGAATCCTTTACTACTAACATCTTCAAAGACTCTATTTCTAAATGAAATACCATGACAATTTCTGCGTATTAGAAGTTGAACATATTTTGGGGGGATCACCATTCAATCCATTGCGATTGTGTTTGGTTCCTTTAAGAAGCTCTAGGGGAGAATCCCTCCTCCATCTCCAGCTCCTGGGGCTCTAGGTGTCCCTGGGCTTTTGGCTGTATAAGTCAAGTCTTTGCCTCCTGCTCTACACAACTTTCTCTGATGTGTCTGTCTCTTCTTCCATCTCTTAGAAGGATACTTATCACAGGACTCAGGCCCCTCCCTAATCCAGGAATGTCTCATCTTTAGGTCCTTAATCTCTATCTGCATCACTGACATCACGTACATTCTTCGCTACATCTGCAAATACCCAGTTTGCAAATAATGCCACATTCACGGGCTGAGAGTTCAGGATTCAACATATCTCACTTGGGCATACAATTCAGCCATCAACAAAGAAATGTGAATCCGTGGTAACCTCTTCTGTGCTTTCAAGCCATCACCTTCATTATATGGGGTTTCTTCTTTCTAAAATTTATTTTTACATATAGTAGCCACAGCTGTTATTTATTTATTTATTTATTTATTTATTTATTTATTTATTTATTGAGACAGAGTCTCTCTCTGTCACTTAGGCTAAAGTGCAGTGGTGCAATCTTGGCTCAGTGCAAGCTCTGCCTCCCCAGTTCAAGTGATTCTCCCACTTCAGCCTCCTGAGTAGCTGGGATTACTGGTGCCCGCCACCATGCCTGGCTAATTTTTGTATTTTTAGTAGAGGCAGGGTTTCATCATGCTGGCCCAGCTGTTCTCAAACTACTGGCATCAAATGATACACCCACCTCAGCCTCCCAAAGTGCTGGGATTATATGAGCCACTGCACCAAGCCAGCTGTTATTTTTGAAGCACTCATGAGGTACCAGTCGCTTCTTATCTTCTTTGCAAACTAAAAATCACATAATTTTCACGCAAATCCTATAAGGAAAGTATTACTGTATTTTATGAATGGGGAAGCAAAAATTTGGAAACACTAAGACAAGCCTAATATTTTACATTTAAAATATGGCGGTTACCATTTCTAAATATATCTCCAAGAGAAATGAAAATGTGTTTTCACGTAAACACTTTAACATACATATTCACAGCAGCATTATTCACAATAGCCTTAAGGTGGTAACAGCATCAAATGGCCTGTCAGCAAATGAATGCATAAACTAAATATGATCCATCCATATAATGGAATATTCTTCAACCCTAAAAAGGACTGAAGTTCTGACACAGGTCGCCGCATGAGTGAAACTTGAAGGCATTTTGCTAAGTGATGGAAGCCGGTCACAAAAGGCTGTGTTCCAAGTGATATTATTTACAGGATAAGCCCAAACAAGGATATCAATGTAGATGGAAAGTAGATTCGTGGTTGCTTAGGGATGGACAGAGGGGGGTGTAAAGGGGTTTATAGAAATATAGTTTACATACTATAAAATTTACCCACTTAATGCATACAATTCAATGGTTCTTAGTGTATTCACAGGATTGTGCAACCATAACCACTGTCAGTTTTAGAACATTTCATTTCTTCAGTAGGAAGCTTCATACTCTTTAGCTACATGTTCGAAAACTGATAGTGGTGATACTTGCACAACTCTGTTGAACCACACTCAGTGTAACAAGCCAGGCACAAAAGACCATACGTTGTTTGATTCCATTTATACCCAATGTCTATAACAGGCAAATGCACAGAGTCAGAACATAAATTAGTGGTTGTTAGGGGATGGACAGCTGGAATGGGAAGTGATCTGTAGTGGGTACAGTGTCTCATTTTGGAAGGATGAAAATGTTTTGGAACTAAATAGAGATACAGTTGTGAACATATTAAATATCACGGAGTTTTACACTTTAAAATGGTGTATTTTATGTTCTATACATTTCCTCTCGATAGAGAAAAAAATACCTTTTCCTAGCTCTCAAAGCCTACAGTGGACATCACCTCAGTCACCTCAGAAGTTAATCTCCAGGACCAATCCCAGTGGTTCACACATGTAATTTCAGCATTTTTGGAGGCCAAAGTAAAAGTACCACTGAAGCCCAGGAGTTCAAGACTAGTGTAGGCAACACAGCAAGATCCTATCTTCACAAAAAACAAAATAAAAATTTAGCTGGGCATGGTGGAGCACCCTGAAGACAAAGCTGGGAATATTGCTTCACCCCAGTATTTCAAGGCTGGAGTGAGTCATGATTACACAATTGCACTCCAGCCTGGACAACAGAGTAAGTCCTCATAAAAACATTTTTTAATTAAAAAACAAGGTTAAGAGCAGAGAGAATCCTTGCCCTCCCCATCCCCACACTGTCCACAACTCAATGCACAAATAGATCCCAATCTTTCTGTATATTTATACAAGACTTTATCTTAAAAGATTTATCTGTGCACCACTTTGGGGAAATTTTTGAAAGAAATGTGTCATCAGAATGTTGGGAATTTTAAAGATAGTTTAATCTCATTGACTTTACAACTTTTATTCGGTTTTCTAGAAGATAATACAAAATCCCTATGGACATAGAAGGGAAGGGTAATATGCAATTAGCAGAAAGTTTATAAATTAAGAACTGCACTTATTTATAAGATGATAACACTGGCCTCATTATTTAAAAAAGTACAGGTAAGTGGCACACCAATTATATCCCAGGAAGAAGTGGCAGACATTCAATGGTGTGAAAAACTAATCCTATTTTTATATGGTCCAAAACACCTGAAAGTACCTCAAACATATACAGCTTCCAGTGCTGGGTGACCATGGGAGAAAGCCATGAGTTTTCAAACCCGTGCCAGCATGTCCCTGAAGTTTTCACTTACTTTTTTTGAGGGGGTTGGAGGGAGGCAGTGTCTCCTTCTGTTACCCAGGCTGGAGTGCTGTGGCACAATTGTAACACATTGCAGCCTTGGACACCCAGTATCAAGTCATCATCCCACCTCTTAGCCTCCCAAGTAGCTGGGACCAAAGAAGTGCACCACGGTATCTGTTCAATTTTTAAATTTTGTAGAGATGGGGTCTCACTATTTTGCCCAAACTGGTCTGAAACTCCTGGGCTCAAGTGCCTCCTAGAGAACTGAGATTACAAGTGTGAGGCACTGGGCCCCAAATTTCACTTACTTATTTTGAAAACAAGTTGCAGCCCATTAGAGAAGTTCCAGAATCCACAGGTTTTGTATAGGATGGGGATGAAATTCTTACTTCCTACTCCATCAACACCATCAGCCAAAGGAAAGAGAACACATTGCTCTGGGCTGCAGTAGGTATTATGGACTGAAAGACATAATTTCAAAACTTATATGGGGAGACCCTGACTCTCATGTGGCTGTATTTGGAGATAGAGCCTATCAACAAGTAATAAAGATGCAACGAGGTCATAATAGTTGGGCCTTCATCCTATAGGACTGGTGTCCTCATAACAAGATGAAGAAACACCAGTTATATCTCTTTCTCTCTTTCTTTCTCTCCCTCTCTCTTTCTCTCTTTTATTGTGGTAAAAACCCTTAATATGAAATTTATCTGCTTAAATATTTAAGTATACAACACAGCTTTTTTAACTATAGGCATGATATGCACGATAAATCAGAGATTGTAAGTCCTACATAACTAAAACTTTATACCTACTAGACATCTTCATCCTCATTCTCCCTCCCACCAACCCTGGTCAACAGAGCTCATTATCTCTCTCTCTTCCCATCACCTATCCCCTTCCTTCTTTCTGCTGTGTGAGAATGCAGCAAGAATGTGGCCATCTGCAAACCAGGAATAGCGTCCTCCCCAGACCCCAGTCTTAATATCATCTTGATCTTGGCCTTCCAGCCTCCAAAACTGTGAGAAAATTAATCTCCGTTGTTTAAATCTCACAGGCTGTGGAATATTATTACGACAGACCTACCGGAATAATATGGTGAGGATTCGTCCCCAAACAGGAATGCCTGAAGTTGAGACTCTCTGACTCAATAGAGCTGGATGTGTCCATTTTCACATTGCTATAAAGACATAACTGAAACTGAGTAATGTATAGAAAAAAGACATCTAATTGGCTCACAATTCTGCTGTCTGTACAGAAGACATGGCTGGGGAGACCTCAGGGAACTTACAAACATGGCAGAACGTGAAGTGGGAAGCAGGCACAATCTTCACATGCCCAGAAGGAGACAGAGAGAGTGTGAAGGGAGAAGTGCTACATAGTTTTAAACAGCCATATCTCTTGAGAACTCACTTATTATTAGGAGGACAGCAGAAAGAAAATCCGGCCCCAAGATTCAATCACCTCCTACCAGACAGATCCCTCTCCCAACACAGGGAATTACAATGTAACATGAGATTTGAGTGGGGACACAGAGCCAAACCATATGAAGAGCTATATCGGGATCAAACCTCTTTCTCATTTTCTCTGGATGACAAAAATGTTAGCTGCAGCTCACTGAATTCATATGCTTTAACTGTAGAGATTGTCCCCAAATCTTATTTCAAAGACAGCACAGATAAGCTTTTTAAGACCAACCTGTTTCCAAAGGTAAGGGAAGATTGAACTACATAATATTTGCAAAGCAGTTAACTTATTTATTATACACTATAAACAACGACTCGAAAAAAACATACAGGAACGTGTTGGAAATTATCTCAATGGCTCCTCTCCTCTTCCAGATGTTGTTTTAAAAAATGGCTATTTCCTGTTTCTTAGAAAATTAGAAATAAGTATATCATGTGACCAAGCAATTCCACTTGTAAGTATTTCTCTAAATGAAATGAAATAAAATTATCAAAGAGACAACTGCACCCCCATGTTTACCACAGTATCATTCACTATAGCCTGGGCATGGAAACCACCTAAGTGTCAGTGCATGGATGAATAGGTAAAGAAAATGTCATGTATATATATAATGGAATACTATTCAGGTTTAAGAAAAAAAGGCAATCAATCATTGGCAACAACACAGATGAACCCACAGGAAATTATACTAAGCACAATCAGCCAGGCACAGAAAGACAAATAATGCCGTGTCTCACTTATATGTGCAGTCTAAACTCAGCAAATTCATAGAAGCAGAGGATGAATGGTGGTTGCCAGGTGCTTTGAGGAGGACTGGGATGTCGTTCTGTAGGTATAAAGCTTCAGTTACACAAGATGAATAAGCTCTGATCTGCTGTATAAAACACTGTGCCTACAGTTAATAATACTGTCTTCTCAACTACTCAGCCATAAAAAGGAACAAAATAATAGCATTCGCAGCAAACTGGATGGAGTTGGAGACCATTATTCTAAGTGAAGTAACTCAGGAATGGAAAACCAAATATCATATGTTCTCACTGATAAGTGGAAGCTAAATTATGAGGATGCAAAAGCTATGAGGATGTAAAGGCATAAGAATGACATAATGGTCACTCAGAACTTGGGGGGAATGCGTGGGACAGGGATGAGGGACAAAAGACAACATATTGGGTACAGTGTGCACTACCAGGGTGAGGGTAAACCAAAATCTCAGAAATCACCACTAAAGAATTTATCCATGTAACCAAACACCACCGGTTTCCCAAAAATTAACCAAATATTTATTTTAAGTGTGAGATAATTCAAAAGTAATAATACTGTTTTTTCTACTTAAAAATTTGAGAGGATAAATTTCATGTTAAGTATTCTTATCACAATTTTTTAATGGATCTGTTTTCTGGTTCCATCCAAATCTTCTAATCTGCCACTATCTGACTCTCTGTCACCTAAGAATTTCCTTCAATGGCCTCCAATAAGACGTCCCCCATCTTGCTTAGCTGTAGGACACCTGAGCCTTATTTCAGGTCACACAAGCTAATGCCAGCAAATCCACCACTCTGTCAAACCATAGGTACACAGCCTTTCTTAAACCCAATCCACCAGCTTCTCTTGTCATTCCAATCTAACTCCATGCCATACTCAAGTTTGAGGAGATTGATTCTTTAGTTCTCCAATTCACTTTAGAAAAATAAATAAATAAAACACTCACTTCAGGATATCGTCCTTTCTCTCCCAAGAGGTAAAATCTCAGAGCAGGTGCCCTGGGAACCTGCTGGGAAGGTTCTATCCTTGGACTAGTGTTGGAGCGCAAGTTCCCAGTGAAAACCTTTAGAATAAAATTGGACCGCAGATATCAGGTATGGGTATAGGAGTGCAGCCAGGTGAGGGGGCTAGAAAGAACAGACCAAGGTGGGAAGCAGAATTTGTAAATTCTCTCGGCTACAGGAGTCCTGAGTCAGACCGTTTGTATGGTATGCAGTTGTAAACATACAAGTCTCAGTCCAGAGTCCTCCTGACCTGACCGTTGGGTCATTTTACCAGAACTTGAAGGTACCTCCATAGACAGCCATCAAAGATTGCATCAGGTAAACAATGACCCAGAACAATCTCCCCATGGTGAAGCAGTGACTTCCGGATCATGTCAGACAACTCTCAGCCAGCAAGACCTCCCTACTTTTCTTCCTCCTACTCTTCCTCCTTCTCTTTAAAAAAAAAAAAAAAAAAAAAAAAAAGAGGAAATATATAAAACCTCATGCCCTGCAGAGAAGACTCTAACCTACAACAGCCTGTGAAACTCAGATGAGTCCAGGAGTACACTTTATATTGTTGACTTATATTTTTGCTACCTTAGAGCCTTGAATTCATCAAGTAACCGAACATGAAATCTGTGTAGATAATGCAAAAGGGTTCTCAGTATGTGACTATCATTCCTTGCTTCTCTTCCTTTCTTCTTTAGCTCCTCCTTCTTCCCTCCTCCTCTTATTCCCCCTACCTCCATGTTTTCATTCTTTTTCTCCTTCTCTTCCTCCTCCTTCTGCTTGGGTTTTTTTCTTTTCTTTCTCCTCCTTCTCCTTCTCTTTCTAATTTTTTATTCCTTTTCTCCTCCTCTTTGTGTCTGGAGTTCATTCCTTCTGGTGGGTTTGTGGTCTTGTTGACTTCAAGAATGGAGTAGCAGAACTTCATGGTGAGTGTAACAGCTCTTAAAGATAACATAGAACCAAAGGGTGAGCAGCAGCAAGTTTTATTCTGAAGAGCAAAAGAACAAAGTTTCCATAGCAAGGAAGGGGGCCTGAGTGGGTTGCCGCTGCTGAGTGGGGTAGCCAGCCTTTATTCCCTTATTTGTCCCCAACCATGTCCTGCTGATTGGTCCATTTAACAGGCTGCTCATTGGTCTATTTTATAAACCTCTAGCTAGCTACAGAGCACTGATTGGTGCATTTTACAAATCTCTAGCTAGCTACAGAGCACTGATTGGTGGATTTTGCATTCCTAGCTACAGGGTGATAATTAGTGCATTTTGCAAACCTCTTGTAAGACAGAAAATTTCTCCAAGTCACCACCCAACCCAGAAGTCCAGCTGACTTCACCTCTCAATACCCCCTCTAAACAGGACACACCAAATGCTGTTGGGAATTGGGTGATGATGGCTCTATCTACTTCCTGTTGGATAGGGGTGAAGAAGGGGTCCTGGAGTTTTAGTGTCCTTCAGAGGGGAACTCTTTAGGCCAGTCAAAGGGCCAGTGGCTCTGTCCAGGGGTCCTCAATAGAAGTTGTTAGTTGAGTTCATTTGAGGTTCCATTTGTAAGAGCATCTGTAGCTTGATGGCCTTCATCTTACAGGAAACAAATTTGACAAGGAGGTTAGAAATACAGGTCCCAAAGGCGAGTAATATTAAGATGGCTGTCAGGAGGTCTAGAAAGGGGAGAAGCCATATCACTCAACTCTAGACATTGTCTGATTTCGAAGACTTTTCCAGTAAATGCCGAGCAGTGTTTCATACTATCCCTGACTACTTAGTGTAAAACAACAACAACAACAGCAACAAAAACAAAAACAAAAACAAAAACAAAAAAACTCTTCTCCTAAGCAGGTGTAAAGTCCTCCTTTCTCATCTTTCTCATCAGTGGAGATGTCTAGAACCCAGCGGTTTGGGAGAGTCACTGCTAGCAAAGATTCTGTTTGGGAATGTAGAGTAAGGATAGATTTTGTTATTTCTTGCAAACTGTCTGGGAAATCCTTTGAGAGAGTGTGGTAGTAGCATAATGAAGTAGACAAACTGGCTGTTCTGGTTCCTGTAGTCATAGCCATTCCTAACCCTATAAGTAAGGGTACTAGTTGTATGGCTCTGCCCTGACAGACTTTAGCTTTGAGGGACACTGATAGGGTCTGATTTTCTGGGGCAATGTTAATGTCGGGACTTAGGAAGACTAAGGTGCAGGTGCCTGTCCAGTTGGTGGGGAGGCAGATAAATGTTGAAGTTCCACATAAGAAGAATGTGTTCTATTTCCCCATTGGAAAAACAAACAAACAAACAAACAAACAAACATTTTGTATCTACTAGGAACAATTTGAGAGAGTGATTGAAAGAGGGGAGAAGAAGGCATCCATTAGTGGTGAGGATGGTGCTGCAGGGAGTCCAGAGGTGAATGGTCATGCAGGGAGTATGGTTGCCATTACAAAACCTAAACTGTTTGCTAAGCAGGGAAGAGGTGATAATTTTTGGAGGCTGTGTTGACAAGCCGTCTGAATGGAGCTGTTTGTGTGACTCGGAAGTTACTATGATCAGTTGGGGCTTGAAGTTGTGGGGTGTAATTACACTGATGGGGAGGTAGGTACCCCAGGGGCAGGCCTGATAACAGGTTGTGTTGGATGCGTAAAGGGTCTTGGGAAGTTAAGATGGTTTTCGCAGTTACAGTGCCATGTATTGGCTTTTCATTGCTTATGTATTGGGTGAGATTGGAAATGTAAGAACATAAAAGTTGGATTGTGCGTCATATTAGGGTATTCTTGGTCCTATCAGAGATGGTGAAGTTGGGTAATGGTTACATATTTAGAAGTGAGAAACGATCTCTTCCTTCATAATGAGGGTGGTAGATTAAGTTAGTAGAGACCTAATTTTTTTGCGGGAATGAGAGTTGCAACGCAAGCAGTGGTAGGTAGAGAGATACATAGCCAACAGTGGTTTGCCAGAGAAGGATTGGACTGGTTTAACAGAGTTTGGGTTAAGTTGAGAGTCTTGTAGAGTTAATTAGAAGCTAGTGGAAGGGGAGGGGTGACTGTGTGGGGTATCCCAGGAAGCAGGAATGATAGATAGGCATAGAGTAATTAGGAAGGTTAAGAGGGTGCTTTGAAGATGAGATCATTTTATCCAGTCTGAGTTAAAAGTAGGAGTAAATTGCTGTCAGAAGGAAGGATGATAGAAAGGAGGTTGATGTGGTTAGGATATTTATCCCTGCAGGAGCTACAGTATATAGCCCTATTGCAAAGAGTATGGTTAGTATGCTGCTTAATGTGATGAAACAGTAAAAGAATTCCATTAAAAGGGCAAGGAGAGGTGTTAAAAATTATGTAGATTTTCACTTACCTTTTTAAGTAGGAAGGGATTTTTCCTCAGGATCAGCTGTAAGAGTCTTCTTAGTCTGGGATGTTTCCTTCCAGAAAAGAAGATGTAAGTCCTCCAATGGCTCACAGGTGTATCTAGCCTACTCTTGCTGATCCTTGGATTCCTGAGCTGTTTGTCCAGCAGGTTCCTTAGCAGGTGTCCAAAGTTTAAGTGGGGTGTGGTGAATCCAAGACTTCACTCCTGCCACCTTAACTGCAGTGGGGGTAGAGAGGATTACTGAGTATTGTTCTCTCCACAAAAAATCATAGATGGGGAGTTAGAGGGGAGGAATTTGACAAACACTAGATTTCCCAGTTAAAACAGCTCTGTTCCCTTTTCTCTGTAACATCCTTCATGTATGTTTTTAAGGTTTCATTGATATTTTGCCAAATAAGTTATATCCTTCATCAAGTTGGCCATTTCCTGATAAAGTAGGAGGTCATTTGTGAGAAAAGGTTATCCATACAGCATTTCATAGGAACTGAGCCCCATTTTGTGAGGAGAATTTCAGATTCTCAACAAGGCCATGGGCAAGAGAGTAGGCCATGGGAGATGAGTTTCTTGTGTTAGTTTCCTTAAGTGCCTCTTGAGTGTTTCATTTACCTTCTCCACCTTCCCTGAGGATTGTGGTCTCCAGGTGCAGTGAAGGTGATGCAGATATCACCAGCGCCCTGGAAATTCCCTGAGTTATCATGGCTTTAAAAGCCAGACAACTGACACTTTGAAAGCTTTAGGGAATCCCAAATCTAGGAATTATTTCATGAATTAAAAGTTTAACCACTTCCATACCAACAAGTATTTAAATTCCTTTGATTTAGGCATATAGGTGAAGCCTAACAGCCAGTCCTCTCTGGGATAGTGAGCTATTCTTTGTTCTCCCAGGAGGGCCTTAGAATGGACCAAGGGATTATTCCTTTGGCACTTCTCACAGACTTTGACTACTTGTTGTTTGGTCTGGAGGAAATTTGCCCTGTAAATAGGGATTTGTTCATTTGATGAATGTTCTCAATACCCATATGAAAAGTTTTGTGTAGGGTTTTAAGTATTTTCCACTGGTTGGTTTTGGGTATGAGTACCCTTCCCTCTTCTGTTGCTAACCACCCTGAGGGGAGAAAACTGTGCCCCCATGAAAGTCCTCATTCTGTTTCTGTCAGGGAATACTGGGGATTAATCTCAAGGAGAGGTTTTTCCCATAACAAGGGTCCTTCTATAGGTATTTCTAGTGGGAGATTCTGCCTGGCAGAAAATTTGGCCTCAGCAGCTGCCCAAAGATTTTCTTCTACCTTTTCTCCTTCACCTTTTTGATGGTTTGGGCAGAGTAAGACTGCAACCTCCTTGGGTTTTTGAACTTGGTGCAATAACTCCATGATTTCTTTGTGGTATTTAATTGGGTTTCCCCTAGAGGTTAGGAACTCCCTTTCTTTCCATATTGCAGTGTGGGCATGTAGGATTAGATAAGCATACTTGCAATATGTATACACATTTATTCTTTTTCCCTTTTCCAATTTGAAGTCTCTAGTAAGTGTTACTACTTCTGCTAACTGAGCTGTGGTTCCTGGGGTAATAGACTTACCTTCAAGTAGTGTTACATCATTAACTATGGCATAACCTGCCCTTCATATCCCATTCTCCATAAATGAACTTCCATCAGTATATAGGTTAAGGTCAAGATTAGCTAAGGGGAATCCTAAGGTATCCTCTTAGACAGCATAAATCTGGACTATAATTTGTTTGCAGTCATGCTCAATTGGTTCTCCATCTTCTGGGAGAAAAATCGCAGGATTGAGTGTCACAATCATGTGTATTTGAAGCAACAGTCCCTTGAAGAATGATGCCTGGTATCTATGCAGGCAGTAGTCTGATAGCCATAAACTTCCTTTGGCACCTAGTATGCAATTTACATCATGAGTAATCCAAACGGTAAGATCCTTTTCTTCTATTATTTTGACAGCCTCTGATACTAAGATGGCCATTGCTGGACCCTCCCATAAACAGAGTTGGCAAAAGCTGGTGATTTCAAGGAACCCCCACAACTGGTTTAATGTCTTATGGAGAGGATAAGCCAGTATAGGCTGTATTCATTCCTTTCAGGGGCCCTAGTTTCTCCGGGTAAGATTAGGCCTAGATATTTGACTTGTTGTAGGCAGAGCTTGTCCTTCAATTTAGACACCTTGTAGCTTTGATTAGATAGAAAGTTCAAGATATCTACAGTAGCCTGCTGGCATGAGGCTTCCAAACTGGGAGCCAAAAGTAAGTCTTCCACATAATGAAGGACTAGAGTGCCTGGATTTCAGAAGTGGCCTATATCATGGGCCAGTGTCTGACCAAACAGATGAGAGCTATCTCTAAACCCTTGGGGCAAGACCATCCACGTAATTTGGGACGTGTTTTGTGGCATCCTCAAAGAAAAAGAGAAACTGGGGGTGAGAGTGTGGGGGAATACAGAAGAAGGCATCCTTGATGTCCAGAACAGTGAACCATTCTTCTTCCTCTTGTATTTGAGAGAGAAGTGTATAGGGTTGGGTGCAGCTAGATATAGAGCTAGCAAGATATAGAGGAATTACTGTCTCATTGATGAGTCTAAGATCTTGCACTACTCCCCACTGATGTTTGGTTTTTGTATTCCTAGAATTGGGGTGTTGCAGGTACTGCTGCTTTTTCTTACTAAGATTTGAGTTTTTAAATGTCTAACAATATCCCGTAATCCTTTATGAGCTTCAGGCCTTAAGGGATTTTGCTTTTGATTAGGAAAAGTGGCACTGTCTCTTAGCCTGATTTTGCCTGGGTGGGTATTTTTTGCCCTTCCAAATTGTTCTTCCTATGCCCAGACTTCAGGTTTGGTTCCCTCCTCAAGTAGGGGACAAAAAATTAGTAACTTGTTCCCCATATTCACACAGATAATAGCTCCAGCTTTGACTAAAATGTCCCTCCCTAATAAGGTTGTGTGGCTTTCTGGGATAACAAGAAAGGCATATGAAAGGACGAATGTCTCTCAGTTACAACTGAAGAGGTGGGAGAAATACCTGGTTACAGGCTGTTCCAGGATTCCTCAGATGATAGTGGAATTTGAGGACATGTTTCTGGGTCAGAAGATTATCACTGAGAAGGCAGCACCAGTGTCCAAGAGGAAGTCAATTTCCTGGTCTTCAATAGTTAAATATACCTGGGGCTCAGTGAGGGTGATGGCAGGAGATGGCATTCACCCCAGGCACCTTCAGTCCTATTGTTGGATCATCTTGTTGGGGGTTTCTGGCCCAGAGAACCTTTGCCATCTGGGGCAGTGCACCTTCCAGTGATTGCCTCAGCATAGTGGACATGGGCTAGGGGGCGGCTTGTTTCTTGATGGACAATCTTTTTAAAAGTCTCCTTGCAAACCACACTGATAACAAGAGCCACCAGGTGATTGGCCCGCTCCATTTTCTACCCTGTCTGAACTACCAAGGCTTGTTTGTCTGAGGGCCATGACTAAGACTGAGGCCTATCTCTGATTTCATGTTTCTTTTTGGCCTGTTCCTCTTGGTCCCTATTATAGAACACTGAGCTTGCCAGGTTTAATAATGCCTCCAGATTTGTTCAGGCCCCAGGGCTGGTTTTTGGAGCTTTCTCCTGATGTCTGTTACTGATTGGGTAATAAACTTATCTTTTAGGATCATTTGACCCTGAAGTGAGTTGGGTGACAGAGTAGTATACTTTCTTAAGGCCTCCTGTATTTGCTTGAGGAAGGTGGAAGGATTTTCTTCCTCTGTTTGAGTTATGGTGGATATCATTGAATAACTCATGGGCTTTTCCCTAATACTCTTTAGTCTTATATTTTCTTTTGTTCTATAAGAATTAGCCCTAATTCTCTTGAGTTCTATAAGAAAACAGGTTAAGAAATGTTTGTGACTCCAGTCCCCATGATCTGAGCTGAGTTCACAGTGGGATCCATACTGGGGACAGCTTGCTGACAGGTAGGGAATTTTTGCCTTCCTTCAGCTGTCATTTCATCATTTACTTGATTAAAATACCAGGTATCTCCAAACTCGGGCTACAGCTAAAGCCACATTTGTTTCATTAAATGATAGGGTTTGATCTCACAATAGCCTGACATCTCTACAAGTTAGGTAGAACTTTAGACCCTGTAGAAAATCAATATACCTATCAGGATTATCTAAACACTTCCCCAGGTCTACCTTGATCTGCTTTAAATCAGAGAGGAAGAAGGGGATATATACCCTGATTGGGCCAAATTCCCCTCCCTCTACAGCTTGAAGGGGACATAACTGATAATCCAGGGGTTTTTGTGTTCCGTTGGAGATTCCTTTGCTTGTTTTCTTCTGGGTGGGGGAGATTAGAGGAGTCTTATCATTAATAGGAAGTGGAGCTATAGAAAGTCTAGGACATGGAGGTAAGCTGAGAGGTCCTCCTGTAAGTTGTAAATTGCAAGCTTTGCATAATTGTAGATTATCCTTCAATGAAAAGAAAACTTGGACATAAAGTATTTAACTCCCTTTGCCTTCCCTCTTACAGAAAAGGTCAAGCTGCAGAAAATTTTGTAATTTATGCTTTTCTCGTATGGCCATATTCTCCATCAGAGAGAGATTATTGGGGCCATCACATAGTGCAGAAAAAAAAAGAGCTGCTTCTTTTTCAGGGTTTGGGGGCCAGATTCTTCCCATAGGCTTAGGATACATTTCAAGGGTGAGCCTGTTGATGCCTGGGTGTTTTCCATCTGATAGAAAAAACTGCCAGTGGTTTGGGTTTGTTGTTCTACACCCCCCCACACACACACACCCAAGAACCCACAATTGTCTCTGGACCCTACTGATCAGAATAGTTGCACTCACCGATGCAGCAGCAGATCCCCCTCTTGCCCAAGAACCCGCAATGGTTCCTGCATCCTGCCGATCGGTATAGTTGTGCTCACCGTAACAGCAGCAGAAACACTAGTTTTCCTCCTAGAACACAAAGAGGACCGAGCAAGGTCAGATTTAGTGGCTCTTACTGACACATATTCAAAAACCTGCACTTTTGCTTTTTCTCTTAGAACACAAAGAGGACCAAGAAAAATCAGGTTTAGTGGCCCTTACTGAAGCATTCTTAAAAACCTGTTAGAGTTCTAAGCATTTTCTTCTGTCAGTATTGGGACCTTATCCCGTCCTATAAAGATGTTATGCCTCAAAAACGGAGTGGATGGCCATACCCTGAAGGAGGGAAGAGATCTCTAGGGTTGGAAGAATGATATCTTTTGTCCTAACTTCTCATCATATGAATAGGAAGGAAAAAAATTCTGAGGCTACCCATATCCTAGCTTCAGGAATAGACTTTTCAGGCCAGCTAGTCTGAAGAGGGATCCTAAAATTCCAGATAATCCCCCAACCCCCAGTGGGGCTTTGGGCAAAAATTATGTATTTCTGTTTGTTGAGACTGGGTACCTAAAGAAAGAAACAGAGTCCCGAAATTTGTACTAGAAATTTTTCTTACAATAGAAGTTGGAAAATCACCAGAGAGAGAGAGAAATTATTTTAATTAATTAATTAATTAATTAATTTACTTACTTTTATTTTTTATTATACTTTAAGTTCTAGAGTACATGTTCATAACGTGAAAGTTTGTTACGTATGTATACATGTGCCATGTTGATGTGCTGCACCCATTAACTTGTCATTTACATTAAGTATATCTGCTAATGTTATCCCTCTCCCTTCCTCCACCCCACAGCAGGCCCCAGTGTGTGATGTTCCCCTTCCTGTGTCCATGTGTTCTCATTGTTCAATTCCAACCTATGAGTGAGAACATGCGGTGTTTGGTTTTTTGTCCTTGTGATAGTTTGCTGAGAATGATGGTTCCTGGCTTCATCCATGTCCCTACAAAGGACATGAACTCATCATTTTTTATGACTGCATAGTATTCCATGGTTTATGGTATTTATGTGCCACATTTTCTTTTTCTTTTTCTTTTTTAAATAAATAGTTCCTTATTACCTAGGTAGATTTCTGTAATCTGAGGTAGATTTCATTAATTTCATGTTATTGTGGGAAGGATCCTTGAATGATGACCTTTTATTATTTATCTTTTTATGCCTCTGAAGGATTTAATTTAATTTAATTTAATTATTATTACACTTTAAGTTTTAGGGTACATGTGCACAATGTGCAGGTTAGTTATACATGTATACCCGTGCCTTGCTGGTGTGCTGCACCCATTAACTCGTCATTTAGCATTAGGCATATCTCCTAAAGCTATCCCTCCACCCTCCCACCAACCCAGAACTGTCCCTGGAGTGTGATGTTCCCCTTCCTCAGTCCATGTGTTCCCATTGTTCAATTCTCACCTATGAGTGAGAATTTGTGGTGTTTGGATTTTTGTTCTTGCAATAGTTTACTGAGAATGATGATTTCCAATTTCATCTATGTCCCTACAAAGGACATGAACTCATTATTTTTTATGGCTGCATAGTATTCCATGGTGTATATGTGCCACATTTTCTTAATCCAGTCTATCATTGATGGACATTTGGGTTGATTTGAAGTCTTTGCTACTGTGAATAGTGCTGCAATAAACATACGTGTGCATGTGTCTTTATAGAAGCATGATTTATAGTCCTTTGGGTATATACCCAGTAATGGGATGGCTGGGTCAAATGGTATTTCTAGTTCTAGATCCCTGAGGAATCACCACACTGACTTCCACAAGGGTTGAACTAGTTTACAGTCCCACCAACAGTGTAAAAGTGTTCCTATTTCTCCACATCCTCTCCAGCACCTGTTGTTTCCTGACTTTCTAATGATTGCCACTCTAACTGGTGTGAGATAGTATCTCATTGTGGTTTTGATTTGCATTTCTCTGATGGCCAGTGATGATGAGCATTTTTTCATGTGTCTTTTGGCTGCATAAATATCTTCTTTTGAGAAGTGTCTGTTCATGTCCTTTGCCCACTTTTTGATGGGCTTGTTAGTTTTTTTCTTGTAAATTTGTTTGAGTTCATTGTAGGTTCTGAATATTAGCCCTTTGTCAGATGAGTAGGTTACGAAAATTTTCTCCCATTATGTAGGTCACCTGTTCACTCTGATGGTAGTTTCTTTTGTTGTGCAGAAGTTCTTGAGTTTAATTAGATCCCATTTGTCAATTTTGGCTTATGTTTTCATTGCTTTTGGTGTTTTAGACATGAAGTCCTTGCCCATGCCTATGTCCTGAATGGTAATGCCTAGGTTTTCTTCTAGGATTTTTATGGTTTTAGGTCTAACGTTTAAGTCTTTAATCCATCTTGAATTAATTTTTGTATAAGGTGTAAGGAAGAGATCCAGTTTCAGCTTTCTACATATGGCTAGCCAGTTTTCCCAGAACCATTTATTAAATAGGGAATCCTTTCCCCATTGCTTTTCTCAGGTTTGTCAAAGATCAGATAGTTGCAGATATGTGGCATTATTTCTGAGGGCTTTGTTCTGTTCTATTGATCTATATCTCTGTTTTGGTACCAGTACCATGCTGTTTTGGTTACTGTAGCCTTGTAGTATAGTTTGAACCCATGTAGTGTGATGCCTCCAGCTTTGTTTTTTTTGGCTTAGGATTGACTTGGCAATGTGGGCCCTTTTTTGGTTCCATACAAACTTTAAAGTAGTGTTTCTACTATTCTGTGATGAAAGTCATTGGTAGCTTGATGGGGAAGGCATTGAATCTGTAAATTACCTTGGGCAGTATGGCCATTTTCATGATATTGATTCTTCCTACCCATGAGCATGGAATGTTCTTCCATTTGTTTGTATCCTCTTTTATTTCCTTGAGCAGTGGTTTGTAGTTCTCCTTGAAGAGGTCCTTCACATCCCTTGTAAGTTGGATTCCTAGGTATTTTATTCTCTTTGAAGCAATTGTAAATGGGAATTCACTCATGATTTTCCTCTCTGTTTGTCTGTTATTGGTGTATAAGAATGCTTGTGATTTTTGTAAATTGATTTTGTATCCTGAAACTTTGCTGAAGTTGTTTATCAGCTTAAGGAGATTTTGGGCTGGGACAATGGGGTTTTCTAGATATATAGTCATGTCATCTTCAAACAGGGACAATTTCACTTCCTCTTTTCTTAACCGAATAGTCTTTATTCCCTTCTTCTGCCTAATTGCCCTGGCCAGAACTCCCAACACTATGTTGAGTAGGAGTGGTGAGAGAGGGCATCCCTGTCTTGTGCCAGTTTTCAAAGGGAATGCTTCCAGTTTTTGCCCATTCAGTATGATATTGGCTGTGGGTTTGTCAAAGATAGCTCTTATTATTTTGAGATAAGTCCCATCAATACCGAATTTATTGAGAGTATTTAGCATGAAGGTTTTTGAATTTTGTCAAAGGCCTTTTCTGCATCTATTGAGATAATCGTGGTTTTTGTCTTTGGTTATGTTGATATGCTGGATTATAATTATTGATTGTGTATATGGAACTAGACTTGCATCCCAGAGATGAAGCCCACTTGATCATGGTGGATAAGCTTTTTGATGTGCTGCTGGATTCAGTTTGCCAGTATTTTATTGAGAACTTTTGCATCAATGTTCATGAAGGGTATTGGTCTAAAATTCTCTTTTTTGGTTGTGTCTCTGCCCGGCTTTGGTATCAGGATGATGCTGGCCTCATAAAATGAGTTAGGGAGGATTCCCTCTTTTTCTATTTATTGGAATAGTTTCAGAAGGAATGGTACCAGTTCCTCCTTGTACCTCTGGTGGAATTCGGCTCTGAATCCATCTGGTGCTGGACTCTTTTTTGTTGGCAAGCTACTGATTATTGTCACAATTTCAGAGCCTGTTATTGGTCTATTAAGGGATTCAACTTCTTCCTGGTTTAGTCTTGGGAGAGTGTATGTGTCGAGGAATTTATCCATTTCTTATAGATTTTCTAGTTTATTTGCATAGAGGTGTTTGTAGTATTTTCTGATGGTAGTTTGTATTTTTGTGGGATCGGTGGTGATATTCCCTTTATCATTTTTTATTGTGTCGGTTTGACTCTTCTCTATTTTCTTCTTTCTTAGTCTTGCTAGCGATCTATCAATTTTGTTGATCCTTTCAAAAAACCAGCTCCTGGATTCATTAAATTTTTGAAGGGTTTTTTATGTCTCTATTTCCTCCAGTCTTGCTCTGATTTTAGTTATTTCTTGCCTTCTGCTAGCTTTTGAATGTGTTTGCTCTTGCTTTTGCAGTTCTTTTAATTGTGATGGTAGGGTGCCAATTTTGGATATTTCATGCTTTCTTTTGTGGCATTTAGTGCTATAAATTTCCCTCAACATACTGCTTTGAATGCGTCCCAGAGACTCTGGTATGTTGTGTCTTTGTTCTCATTAGTTTCAAAGAACATCTTTATTTCTGCCTTCATTTTGTTATGTACCCAGTAGTCATTCAGGAGTAGGTTGTTCATTTTCCATGTAGTTGAGTGGTTTTGAGTCAGTTTCTTAATGCTGAGTTCTAGTATGATTGCCCTGTGGTCTGAGAGACAGTTTGTTATAATTTCTGATCTTTTACATTTGCTGAGGAGAGCTTTACTTCCTAGTATGTGGTCAATTTTGGAATAGGTGTGGTGTGGTGCTCAAAAAAATGTATATTCTGTTGATTTGGGGTGGAGAGTTCTGTAGATGTCTATTAGGTTCTCTTGGTGCAGAGCTGAGTTCAATTCCTGGGTATCCTTGTTGACTTTCTGTCTCGTTGATCTGTCTAATATTGACAATGTGGTGTTAAAGTCTCCCATTATTATTGTATGGGAGTCTAAGTCTCTTTGCAGGTCACTCAGAACTTGCTTTATGAATCTGGGTGCTCCTGTATTGGGTACATATATATTTAGGATAGTTAGCTCTTCTTGTTGAATTGATCCCTTTACCATTATGTAATGACCTTCTTTGTCTCTTTTGATCTTTGTTGGTTTAAAGTCTGTTTTATCAGAGACTAGGATTGCAACCCCTGCCTTTTTTTATTTGCCATTTTCTTGGTAGATCTTCCTCCATCCTTTTATTTTGATCCTATGTGTGTCCTGCACGTGAGATGGGTTTCCTGAATACAGCACACTGATGGGTCTTTACTCTTTATCCAGTTTGCCACTCTGTGTCTTTTAATTGGAGTGTTTATTCTATTTACATTTAAAATCAATATTGTTATGTGGGGATTTGATCCTGTCATTATGATGTTAGCTGTTAGTTTGCTCGTTAGTTGATGCATTTTCTTTCTAGCCTTGAAGATCTTTACAATTTGGCATGTTTTTGCAGTGGCTGCTACCAGTTGCTCCTTTCCATGTTTAGTGCTTCCTTCAGGAGCTCTTTTAGGGTAGGCCTATTGGTGACAAAATATCTCAGAATTTGCTTGTCTGTAAAGTATTTTATTTCTCCTTCGCTTATGAAACTTAGTTTGGCTGGATATGAAATTCTGGATTGAAAATTCTTTTCTTTAAGAATGTTGAATATTGGCCTCCATTCTCTTCTGGCTTGCAGAGTTTCTGCCGAGAAATCTGCTGTTAGTCTGATTGGCTTCCCTTTGTGGGTAACCCAGCCTTTCTCTCTGGCTGCGCTTTACATTTTTTCCTTCATTTCAACTTTGGTGAATCTGACAATTATGTATCTTGGAGTTGCTCTTCTTGAGGAGTATCTTTATGCCATTCTCTGTATTTCCTGAATCTGAATGTTGTCCTGCCTTGCTAGAGTGGGGATGTTCTCCTGGATAATATCCTGCAGAGTGTTTTCCAACTTGGTTCCCTTCTCCCCATCACTTTCAGGTACACCAATCTGATGTAGCTTTGGTCTTTTCACATAGTCCCATATCTCTTGGAGGCTTTGTTTGTTTCTTTTTGTTCTTTTTTCTCTAAACTTCCCTTCTCGCTTCATTTCATTTATTTCATCTTCCATCACTGAGATCGTTTCTTCCAGTTGATTGCATCAGCTCCTGAGGCTTCTGCATTCTTCACATAGTTCTCAAGCCTTGGCTTTCAGCTCCATCAGCTCCTTTAAGCACTTCTCTGTATTGGTTATTCTAGTTATACATTTGTCTAATTTTTTTTCAAAATTTTCAACTTCTTTGCCTTTGGTTTTAATTTCCTCCTGTAGTTCAGAGTAGTATGATCATCTGAAGCCTTCTTCTCTCAACTCGTCAAAGTCATTCTCTGTCCAGCTTTGTTCCATTGCTGGTGAGGAGCTGCATTCCTTTGGAGGAGGAGAGATGCTCTGCTTTTTAGAGTTTACAGTTTTTCTGCTCTGTTTTTTCCCCATCTTTGTGGTTTTATCTACTTTTGGTCTTTGATGACGGTGATGTACAAATGGGTTTTTGGTGTGGATGTCTTTTCTGTTTGTTAGTTTTCCTTCTAACAGACAGGACCCTCAGCTGCAGGTCTGTTGGAGTTTGCTAGAGGTCCACTGCAGACACTGTTTGCTTGGGTAACAGCAGCGGTTTCTGCAGAACAGCAGATTTTCATGAACCGCGAATGATGCTGTCTGATCATTCCTCTGGAAATTTTGTCTCAGAGGAGTACCCGGCCGTGTGAGGTATCAGTGTGCCCCTACTGGGGGGTGCCTCCCAGTTAGGCTGCTCGGGGGTCAGGGGTCAGGGACCCACTTGAGGAGGCAGTGTGCCGGTTCTCAGATCTCCAGCTGCATGCTGGGAGAAGAACTGCTCTCTTCAATGTTGTTAGACAGGGACATTTAAGTCTGCAGAGGTTACTGCTGTCTTTTTTGATTGTCTATGCCCTGTCCCAGAGGTGGAGCCTACAGAGGCAGGCAGGCCTCCTTGAGCTGTGGTGGGTTCCACCCAGTTTGGACTTTCCAGCTGCTTTGTTTACCTAAGCAAGCCTGGGCAATGGCGGGTGCCCGCCCCCAGCCTCGCTGCTGCCTTGCAGTTTGATCTCAGTCTACTGTGCTAACAATCAGTGAGACTCTGTGGGCATAGGACCCTCTGAGCCAGGTGTGCGATATAATCTCCTGGTGCACAGTTTTTTAAGCCCATCGGAAAAGCACAGTATTGGGGTTGGAGTGACCCGATTTTCCAGGTGTTGTCTGTCACCCCTTTCTTTGACTAGGAAAGGGAACTCCCCTACCCCTTGAACTTCCTGAGTGAGGCAATGCCTCACCCTGCTTTGGCTCATGCACAGTGCACTGCAGTCACTATCCCGTGCCCACTGTCTGGCACTCCCTAGTGAGATGAACCCGGTGTCTCAGATGGAAATGTAGAAATCACCCGTCTTCTGTGTCGATCATGCTGGGAGTTTTAGACCAGAGCTTTTCCTATTCGGCCATCTTGCATGCCCCATTTTCTTAATGCAGTCTATCATTGATAGACATTTGGGTTGGTTCCAAGTCTATGTGATTGTGACTAGTGCCTCAATAAATATACGTGTGCATGTGTCTTTATAGCAGCACGATTTATAATCCTTTGGGTATATAACCAGTAATGGGATGGCTGAGTCAAATGGTATTTCCAGTTCTAGATCCCTGAGGAATCACCTCAGTGACTTCCACAAGGGCTGAACTAGTTTACAGTCCCACCAACAGTGTAAAGGTGTTCCTATTTCTCCACACCCTCTCCAGAACCTGCTGTTTCCTGACTTTTTAATGATCGCCATTCTCACTGGTGTGATATGGAATCTCATTGTGGTTTTGATTTGTATTTCTCTGATGGCCAGTGATGATGAACATTTATTCATGTGTCTGTTGGCTGCATAAATGTCTTCTTTTGAGAAATGTCTGTTCATGTCTTTCGGGAAGTTTTGATGGGTTTGTTAGTTTTTTTCTTGTAAATTTGTTTGAGTTCTTTGAAGACTCTGGATATTAGCCCTTTGTCAGATGAGTAAATTGCAAAACTTTTTTCCCATCCTATAGGTTGCCTCTTCACTCTGATGGTAGTTTCTTTTGCTGTGCAAAAGCTCTTTAGTTTAGTTAGATCTCATTTGTCAATTTTTGCTTTTGTTGCCATTGCTTTTGGTGTTTTAGACATGAAGATCTTGCTCTTTCCTATGTCCTGAGTGGGATTGCCTAGGTGTTCTTCTAGGGTTTTTATGGTTTTAGGTTTAACGTTTAAGTCTTTAATCCATCTTGAATTAATTTTTATAAGGTGTAAAGAAAGGATCCAGTTTCAGCTTTCTACATATGGCTAGCCAGTTTTCCCATCACCATTTATTAAATAGGGAATCATTTCCCCATTTCTTGTTTTTGTCAGGTTTGTCAAAGATCAGATGGTTATAGATGTGTGTTATTATGTCTGAGGACTCTATTATGTTCCATTTGTCTATATCTCTGTTTTGGTACCAGTACCATGCTGTTTTGGTTACTGTAGCTTTGTAGTATAGTTTGAAGTCAGGTAGTGAGATGCCTCCAGCTTTGTTCTTTTCAATTAGGATTGACTTGGCATTGTGGGCTGTTTTTTTGGTTCCATATGAACTTTAAAGTAGTTTTTCCCAATTCTGTGAAGAAAGTCATTGGTAGCTTGATGAAGATGACATTAACTCTATAAATTACTTTGGGCAGTGTGGTTATTTTCACTATATTTGCTCTTCCTATCCATGAGCATGGAACGTTCTTCCATTGCTTGTATCATCTTTTATTTCATTGAGCAGTGGTTTGTAGTTCTCCTTGGAGAGGTCCTTCACATCCCTTGTAAGTTGAATTCCTAGGTATTTTATTCTCTTTGAAGCAATTGTGAATGGGAGTTCATTAATTATTTGGCTCTCTGTTTGTCTGTTATTGGTGTATAAGAATGCTTGTGATTTTTGCACACTGATTTTGTAACCTGAGACTTTGTTGAAGTTGCCTATCAGCTTAAGGAGATTTTGGGCTGAGATGATGTGGTTTTCTAGATATACAATCATGTCATCTGCAAACAGGGACAACTTGACTTCCACTTTTCCTAATTGAATACCCTTTATTTCTTTCTCCTGCCTGATTGCCTTGCCCAGAACTTCCAACACTATGGTGAATAAGAGTGGT
Source organism: Homo sapiens (assembly GCF_000001405.40). NCBI lineage: Eukaryota > Metazoa > Chordata > Mammalia > Primates > Hominidae > Homo > Homo sapiens. Next base: position 19,116,744 of record NC_000024.10, read on the forward strand.
GAAAGTGGGCATCCTTGTCTTGTGCCATTTTTAAAAGGGAATGCTCCAGTTTTTGCCTGTGTATGGTATTGGCTGTGAGTTTGTTATAAATATCTCTTATTATTTTGGGATACAGCCTATCAATACCTAATTTATTGAGAGTTTTTAGCATGAAGTCATGTTAAATTTTGTCAAAGGCCTTTTCTGCATCTATTGAGATAATCATGTGGTTTTTGTCTTTGGTTCTGTTTATATGCTGGATTACATTTATTGATTTGTGTGTGTTGAGCCAGCCTTGCATCCTAATGTTGAAGCCCACTTAATGATGTTGGATAAGCTTTATGATATGTTGCTGGATTCAGTTTGAAAAAGTTTTATTGAGGATTGTTACATTGATGTTCATCATGGATCATGATACAAAATTCTCTTTTTTGGTTGTGTCTCTTCCTGGCTTTGGTATCAGGATGATGCTGGCCTCATAAAATGAGTTAGAGGGGATTCCCTCTTTTTCTATTGATTGAAATTGTTTCAGAAGGAATGGTACCATTCCTCCTTGTACCTCTGGTAGAATTCAGATTTGAATGCCTCTGGTACTGCACTTTTTTTTGGTTTGTAAGCTATTAATTATTTCCTCAATTTCAGAGTCTGCTATTGATCTATTCCTAGACTCAACTTCTTCCTGGTTTAGTCTTGGGAGGGTGTATGTGTCCAGGAATTTATCCATTTCTTATAGATTTTCTAGTTTATTTCTGAAGAGGTGTTTTTAGTATTCTCTGATGGTAGTTTCTTTTTCTGTGGGATAGGAGGTGATATCCCCTTTGTTATTTTGTATGGTATCTGTTTGATTCTTCTCTCTTTCCTTCTTTATTAGTCTTGCTAGTGGTCTATCAATTTTGTTGATCTTTTCAGAAAACCAGCTCCTGGATTCATTGATTTTTTGAAGGATTTTTTGTGTCTCTATCTCCTTCAGTTCTCCTCTGATGTTAGTTATTTCTTTCTTTCCGCTAGCTTTTGAATGTGTTTACTCTTGCTTCTCTAGTTCTTTTGATTGAGATCTTAGGGTTTCAATTTTAGATCTTTCCTGCTTTCTCTTGTAGGCTTTTAGTGCTATAAATTTCCCTCTACACACTGCTTTAAATGTGTACCAGACATTCTGGTGTGTTGTGCCTTTGTTCTCACTGATTTCAAATAACATCTTTATTTCTGCCTTCAATTCATTATGTACCCAGCAGTCATTCAGAAGCAAGTTGTTCAGTTTCCATGTAGTTCAGCGGGTTTGAGTGAGATTCTTAATGCTGAGTTCTATTTTGATTGAACTACAGTCTGAGAGACAGTTTGTTGTGATTTCTGTTCTTTTACATTTGCTGAGGAGTTCTTTACTTCCAACTCTGTGGTCAATTTTGGAATAAGTGCGATGTGGTGCTGAGAAGAATGTATAATCTGTTGATTTGGGTTGGAGAGTCCTGTAGATGTCTATTCGGTCTGCTTGGTGCAGAACTGAGTTCAATTCCTGGATATCGTTTTTAGCTTTCTGTCTTGTTGATCTGTCTAATGTTGACTGTGAGGTGTTAAAGTCTCTCATTATTATTGTGTGGATGTCTAAGTCTCCGTGTTGGTCTCTAAAGACTTCCTTTTTGAATCTGGGTGCTCCTGTATTGGGTGCATATATATTTAGGATAGTTCCTCTTCTTGTTGAATTGATCCCTTTACCATTATGTATTGACCTTCTTTGTCTCTTTTGATCTTTATTAATTTAAAATTTGTTTTATCAGAGACTAGGATTGCAACCCCTGCCTTTTATGTTTTCCATTTTGTAAAGTATTTTATTTATCTATCAGTTATGAAGCTTAGTTTGGCTGGATATGAAATTCTGGGTTGAGAATTCTTTTCTGTAAGAATGTTAATATTGGTCCCCACTCTCTTCTGGCTTGTAGAGTTTCTGCGGAGACATCTGTTAGTGTGATTGGCTTCCCTTTGTGAGTAACATGACCTTTCTCTCTGGCTGCCTTTAACAATTTTTCCTGCATTTCAACTTTGGTGAATCTGACAATTATGTGTCTTGGAGTTGCTCTTCTCAAGGAGTATCTTTGTGGTGTTCTGTGTATTTCCTGTATTTGAATGTTGGCCTGCATTGCTAGGTTGGGGAAGTTCTCCTGAATAATATCCTGAAGAGTGTTTTCCAACTTGGTTCCTTTCTCCCCATCACTTTCATGTACACCAATCAGACATAGATTTGATCTTTTCACATAGTCCCATATTTCTTGGAGGCTTGGTTCATTTATTTTTACTCTTTTTTCTCTAACTTCTCTTCTCACTTCATTTCATTCATTTGATCTTCACTCACTGATACACTTTCTTCCAGTTGATCAAATCAGCTACTGAAGCTTGTGCATTCCTCAGGTAGTTCTCATACCATGGTTTTCAGCTCCATCAGGTCATTTAAAGACTTCTCTACAGTGGTTATTATAGTTAGGCATTCATCTCATCGTTTTTCAAGGTTTTTAGCTTCTTTGCTATCGGTTCAGACTTCCTCCTTTAGCTCAGAGAAGTTTGATCGTCTGAAGCCTTCTTCTCTCAACTCATCAAAGTCATTCTCCATCCAGCTTCATTCTGCCTCTGGTGAGGAGCTGTGTTCCTTTGGAGGGGAAGAGGCACTCAGATTTTTAGAATTTTCAGTTTTTCTGTTCCTTTTTTCCCCATCTTGGTGGTTTTATCTACATTTGGTCTTTGATGATGGTAACGTACAGATGGGGTTTTGGTGTGGATGTGCTTTCTGTTTGTTAATTTTCCTTCTAGCAGTCAGGACCCTCTGCTGAAGGTCTGTTGGAGTTTGCTGGAGGTCCACTCCAGACCCTGTTTCCCGAGGTATGAACAGCAGAGGCTGCAGAGTAGTGAATGTTGCTGAAGAGCAAATGTTGCTGCCTAATCATTCCTCTGGAAGTTTCATCTCAGAGGGGTACCTGGCCGTGTGAAATGTCAGTCTGCCCTATTTTGGTGCTGTCTCCCAGTTAGGCTACTCAGGGGTCAGGGACTCACTTGAGGCAGTCTGTCCATTCTCAGATCTCAAATTCCATGCTGGGAGAACCACTACTCTCTTCAAAACTGTCAGAAAGGGACATTTAAGTCTGCAAAGATTTCTGCTGCCTTTTGTTTAGCTATGCCTTGCCCTCAGAAGTGGAGTCTACAGATGCAGCCAGGCCTCCTTGAGCTGCAGTGGGCTCCACTCAGTTTGAGCTTCCCAGCTGCTTTGTTTACCTACTCAAGCCTCAGCAATGGTGGTCACCCCTCTCCCAGACTCATTGCCATCTTGTAGTTTGGTTTCAAATACTCTGCTAGCTATGATTGAGTTTCTGTGGGTATGAGACCCTCTGTGCCAGGAGTGGGTTATAATCTCCTAGTGTGCCATTTGCTAAGACCATTAGAAATGTGCAGTATTAGGGTGGTAGTGACCCAATTTTCCAGGTGCCATCTGTCACAGCTTCGCTTGGCTAGGAAAGGGAATTCCTTGACCTCTTGCACTTCCTGGGTGAGGCAATGCCTTGCCATGCTTTGGCTGATACTTGATGTGCTGCACCCACTGTTCTGCACCCACTGTCCAACAAGCCCCAGTGAGATGAACTTGGTACTTCAGTTGGAAATGCAGAAATCACATGTCTTCTGCATCAATAATGCTGGGAGCTGTAGACTGGAGTTTTTCCTATTTGGCCATCATCAGGAATGGTTTTTACAAGTGGGATTAGCCTCAGAGATGGGAGATGGAAGGAAATTAATCTTACAGGCATTAGAACCCAGGAGGCAAGGGTCAGGATTGATAGGATAGATAAGCAAGTCTCACTTGGTTAACATGATTTTAAGAGTTCTCCTCATGTCTGCAGGGTCAACCAACTTATTCTCTGGACCCTGCAGCTGAATGGCTTTCCTATCTGACAACCCTCAGTTCAGCTCAGGAGTACAGAAAAATTGGAAGCTGGTTTCAGGCAAACCAATGCTCCCAACTCTGAAGAATAGGGGGTTCTTAGAGAGATCTTTCCCAGAAAGCCTTACACCCATGTCTTTAGTCCGGTTGCCATGCTAGTCACTTTTAATTGGCTGACAGGTGCCTGGCATTTAGCTCACAAATTCTAAGGAAAAATAGGACACAATAGTAAGTAAAAGGGGTCTGATGGTACTCACCATATGGGGCTATCCCTGGTGAGCCCCCAAGATGTGTTCTGAGTTTTTTTTATTTCTGGTGTGTTTGTGTCCTCACTGACTTCAAGAATGGAACCATGGACCTTTGCAGCGATTGTTACAGCTCTTAAAGATGGCACAAATGCAGTTGGGCATGGTGGCTCATGCCTGTAATCCCAGCACTTTGGGAGGCTGTGGTAGGTGGATCACAATATCAGGAGATCAAGACCATCCTGGTTAACATGGTGAAATCCTGTCTCTATTAAAAATACAAAAAATTAGCCAGGCATGGTGGTGGGCACCTGTAATCCCAGCTTCTCAGGAGGCTGAGGAAGGAGAATGGCGTCAACCCAGGAGGCAGAGCTTGCAGTGAGCCAAGATAACACCACTGCACACCATCCAGCCTGGGTGACAGAACGAGACTCCATTAAAAAAAATTACACAAACACAAAGAAGGAGCATCAGGAAGATTTATTGTGAATAGAAAAAGAACAAAGCTTCCATAGCATGGAAAGGAAGCAAAGTGGATTGCCACTGCTGGCTGGGGTGGCTAGATTTTATTCCCTTATTTGTCCCTGCCCATGTCCTGCTGATTGGTCCATTTTACAGAGCACTGACTGGTGAATTTTACAAACCTCTAGCTAGCTACAGAGTACTGACTGGTGTGTTTTACAATCCTAGCTGCAGACTTCTGATTGGGGCATTTTACAATCCTCTTTTAAGACAAAAATTCTCCAAGTCCCAACCCAACCCAGAAGTCCAACTGGCTCCACTGCTCACTATTTCTCTTATTTTTTCTTCTATATCTCCTCCTGCTCCTCCTCCTTCTTCTCTGTTTCCTTCTCCTCCTCTTTCTCCTATTCTTCCTTGTCTTTCTCCTCCTCCTCTTTGTTTCCTCCTCCTTCTTTGTTTCCTCCTCTTTCATCTCCTTTTCCCTCCTCGTCTGCCTCCTCTCCTCCTTCTTCTTTCTCTCTGCCTTTCTCTTACTTCCTTTGTTCTTTTTTCCTTCCCACCTTCCTTCCCTTCCTTGTTTCTTTCTTCCTTCTTTAAGCACCCCATGCAACAAATCCCACACAGTCATTTGCAAATATGTGTGTCATTGGAATATGATTAAAGACATATTAAAAACAGTACCAATCAGCCAAAAAAAATAGTGGGTCTGATATAGGTCAGATATCATTATGAAACCACCTGTAGCTCTATTCCGGAATGGGATGGATGTTGAAGGCTGACACACATCCAACATAAAACACAGTCTCAACCACATGACCAGCAATTCCACTCTTGAGTAGGTACAGAGAAGAATTTGTGTCAGGCATGGTGGCTTCTCCCTGTAATCCTAGCATTTTGAGAGCCCGAGATGGGAGGGTCACTTGAGGCAAGGAATTCAAGACCAGCCTAATCAACATACTGAGACCCCCATCACTAAGTTAAAAAAAAAAAAAGAATTCAGAGTCCAACAGATATGTACACACTCATATTCATAGCAGTACCATGGGTTAAGCAGTGTGGTAAATGCCTGTAATCCCAGCAGTTTGGGAGGCCAAGGTGGGTATATCACTTAAGTCTAGGTGATCTGAATAAAAAACACAAAAATTAGCTGGGGGTGTTTCACAGCTGTAGTCACAGCTACTTGGAAGGCTGAGGAGGGAGAATCATTTGAATCTAGGAAGCTGAGGTTGTAATGAACCAAGCTTTTGCCACTACACTTCAGCCTGGGCAACAGATGAAGACCTTGTTGCTAAATAAATAAATGCATAGCCAAACATAGCAAGATGCAGAAGAGGCAGAAAGTAGAAACAACTTAAATATTCATCAGAGCATGAAAGCATTTACATAAATGGAGTTCACACATGCAACAGATTATTACTGGAAAATGAAAAGAAATGGAGCTCTCATTCATGCTGTCATATGAATGAACATTGAAAACATGATGTTAAATTTCAAAAGACAGACACAAATGTTTCATGTTGTATGATTCTATTTATATGAAATGTCTAGAATAGGCAAAGAGAGAGATGGCAGACTGATATTTGCTGGAAGCTTCAGGTAGGGAGAGGATTGTTGGACAAGGGGCTGATAATCATTGGATGTAGTATATTTGTGAGTTATAAAAGTGTTTTACTGGGCATGGTGGCCCACATCTGCAATACCAGCACTTTGGAAGGGCAAGTCAGGTAGATCACATAAGGCCAGGAGTTCAAGACCAGACTTGCCAACATGGTAAAGCCCTGTCTCAACTAAAAATACAAAAATTAGCCAGACATGGTCGTAGGTAACTGTAATCTCAGCTAGCTGGGAAGCTGAAGCATGAGAATCATTTGAACCTGGGAGGAGGTGGAGGTTGCAATAAGCAGAGTTCTAGCCACTGCTGTCCAGCCTGGGCAACAGAGTGAGGCTGTGTCTCAAAAAAAATAAATAAATAAATAAAAGTGTTTGAGCATTGATTGGCATAATCATTGCACAACCTTGTTGTTCACACAACACTAACTTACGGTTGTGAATGCACTAAATGCCATCAAACTCCACACTTTATTTTATTTTATTATTTATTATTATTGTTATTGTACTTTAAGTTCTGGAGTACAAGTGCAGAAAATGCAGGTTTGTTACATATGCATACGTGTGGCATGGTGGTTTACTGAATCCATCAATCCATTGTCTACATTAGGTATTTCTCCTAATGCTATCCCTCTCCTAGCCTGAAAACTCCTGACAGGCCCTGGTGTGTGATATTCTGCTCCCTGTGCCTATGTGTTCTCTTTATTGAACTCCCACTTATGAGTGTGAACATGCGCTGTTTTGTTTTCTGTTCCTGCGTTAGTTTGCTGAGAGTGATGATTTCCAGTTTCATCCATGTCCCTGCAAAGGATATGAACTCGTCCTTTTTATATGGCTGCATAGTATTCCTTATTGTATATGTGCCATGTTTTCTTTATCCAGTCTATCATTAATGGGCATTTGGGTTGGTTCCAAGTTTTTGCTATTGAGAAGAGCAAATTGTACACTTTAAATGGCTAAAGTGGTAAACTGTATGTTAGGTGTATCTTGCAACAATTAAAATAGAAAACTATAACTTCACAGTCTCAGCGATGTGACACCCATCCTCCCATGGCTAGTGGCTGATGTTCTGCCAGAGCCTGAGGCTGGAAAGAAATTCCAAAATCGGCAATGGTTTTTGAGAGGTTTCATCAACAGGTTACTATGGACACCCTTTATTAACTGTGCCTTTTGTTGGAGTGCTTTGTGGTATCCAGGTCAAACCCTGAAGGAAATGAAATCCCCTCTGCTGCTCCTGTCTTTGGGATTATGTTTCTCCCAGTTCTCAGCAGTGGCTGCATCTCATACACCCTTTGAGCTCCTCTGAGTCTGAGTCTCTAGGGAGTTGTCAGGGATATCCTCATCTTATCCCAAGCAGCAGCTGGGTGGTAGGAGCCCACCTGTGCACACCCACCCAGCAGGTACCCTTCCTTCTCTGGGAGCAGCTCGCCTTCCTGGGAGCCCCATTCCTCAGCCATGCAGAAAGCTGTGGATAAAGGGCACCTTGGAAGCACTGAAGTATTGGTGTCATTAACAGCAAAGCCATGAAACTCTACAGCAATCTTAATTCCTACCTTCTCAGGAGAAAGAATTTGACTGAGAGGCATAAGGCAGAAGGAGAGATGGAGGCAAGTTAGTGAGAATGAGTGGAAGATTTTTAGAAAACTTTAGAACATGATAGCAAAAAAGGAAAGGACCCTTGGAAGAAAGACTAGTGGGCAACTTCAGAGTCAAGTGCATGGTTTTACTATTACACTTGGGTTTTTATGCATTGACTTTTAGACTGCAATCTTGCATTCCTTCTCCCCTGATTCTTCCCTTGGAGTGGGCTATTCACAAGTGCAGGGGAATGCCAGCACTCAGGAGGAGAGCACGCACAGTGTGTTTAGTGGCTTTGTGCACGTGCTCACTTGAGGCATTCTTCCTTTACCAGTTGAGTGTCCCTAGAAGAAGGTCACATAGCAGTTACACTCTCCCATTTGTCTCTTAGTAGGCATGCTTGATTCCATTTATCCAACTCCTGAGATCTTATTGGGAAGTTGCTGATCACATTTCAGGTGTTTTCTGTGTATCAGGAGACTGTGTTTCCCTGGTGCCACGACCAATTATTATTTATTTATTGAGACAGTCTGTCTCTGTCACCCAGGCTGGAGTGCAATGGCACAATCTTGGATCACTGCAAACTCCACCTCCAGGGTTCAAGTGATTGTCCTCCTTCAGCCTCCTGAGTAACTGGGATTACAGGCGCACCCCACCATAGCTGGCTAGTTTTTGTATTTTTGGTAGAGACAGGGTTTTAACATGTTTGCCAGCCTGGTCTCAAGTGACCTCAAGTGATTCACCTGCCTCAGCCTCCCAAAGTGCTGGGATTACAGATGTGAAACAACATGACTGGCCCCAATTATTATTTTAAAGGGATAGTTTATCAATCACCTGACCATCACCTGATGGTCTTTTCACATTTCTGGTATGTGAGGGAAAAGAAAGGAGGTAGGGGGAACCCCTCTCCTGCCCATTCATGGCTGAATACCTACCTACTCTAACAATAGGAGGCACAACAAGACCAAAATTCATTTGTTTAAACCTCCTTAGAACATCTCCTAGGACTGCTTTCCTTCTGTTCAATTGCAGCTGTTTTCTGGTAATGTAAAACATTATGCTTACCTTACAGTTCCCAAAAACTCATTGGCCAAACCTCTTTTTCTCCTACAGAAGAAAATCTACCTGAAAAAAAAAACAAAAAACAAAACCGGCAACCACAGATGGATATCAGATGAAACCTATTCCCAAGGCCTCCATTAACCTGCCTTGCTGAGGGAGGGAGACTTGGCCCCATCCCTATCACCAGAAAGATGTCATGTTTTGCAGCCTTAGGTAGAACTCACTTTTCTGCAAAAAGCAAAACAAAACACTTTGGGGTACAGCTTCTGCAGACAGATCTAGGTCAGATCTTCAAAGGAACAGTTTGAAACAGGAGTCATGAGGTCTGCCTTTTCTCAAAACCTCCTCCCCATCAGGGACTTGCAAGGGAAAGGACTAGGAGATCAAATTCCATCTGCATTGTATCTGCTTGGTTCTGAGAACTCCCGGGGAAGATCTGCAGAGCCGGTTGCCTCCCCAAGCCTCATGTCCAGTCTTTTCTTTCCATCTTTTTTTTTTTTTTTTGGAGAAGTTTCTGAGCTAGACGCATTTATTTCTCCTTGTATTCAACAAGATAACCTCTAAAAAACCTGTTTGTCAGGCTTTAAGTATTCCAGTACAGAAGCATGCAGAGAAAAATATTTAAGGTGAAATGAGAGCTCTGACTGATGTTTCTGTTCCTTAGGTCCTGTGGCAGCAGGAAGTTGCTCCAAGGAAACCTCAGAAACCCAGGTGGCAGACAGGAGAGGAACCTGGCTCCCCCAAGAGCCAAACTGCAGCACTCACTACTCTAAACTGCCTTTCTGAGAGGTATTTATTTTCCACATTTGAAAAGTGGGTAAAATGAGTCAAAAGATCTTCCTATGAGACAACTTAGCTTACCTTGAGGTAATTCTAACTGCTGTGGATTCCTGCAAACACCCATCTTTGTGCACCAAGCAACTTTTTCAGTGTACAATAAGACAATTAAGAGGAACATACCATTCTGGTCCTCTGTTCAGTCTTTTTTTTTTTTTTCTATGTGATTTCAACATCAGGTTAATTGGCAATTGCAGTTAACATAAAGTGCTTCCTTGCCAGTATTAAACTAGGTTTCAAATTTGTCAAGTATTTAAAATTGTGTTCATCTTGGAAGATGAGCCCTTCCTGAAAGCTTTTATATGAAAAGTTATTGATTGAAGCATTCCAGCTTCAAAGGAAAGGGAATTCTAACACAGGCTACAGTGTACCTGAAACTTGAGGATGGCATACCTAGTGAAATAAGCCAGGCACTAAAGGATAACTATAGTGTGGTTCTTCTCATTTGAGATGATCAACATAAAAGGAAGAAACTCAGGCAAATTTAATATAAATAGAGCATTTATTTGGCCAAGCTTGAGGCTTTCATCACTGAAGAACAGACTCAAGTTGCCATGAATACACAATTAGATGCTCTGATCAGCAGAAGTTGTAAGTGTCACAGATGACAAATTCTTCATCAAGAAGTTTTAGTTCCCTGTTCTTTGTTTCTTAAGACCAACTTCCTTCTATGTCTTGTCTCCTAGCTACCTAATCTGTAAACAACTTTCCCATCTTTGCTGTGCCCTGACAAGTTCAGATATGCCTTCTCGCCTAGTAACAAACAGTTTCTGTTTCTTCCCATCTAATAGAACCTATTCAATTTTAAACCTTCCCCAGTCATGTTAGCTTAGATGGTGGGGTCCAACCTCAGCCAAAGGAGAAAGGACACAGAAGTGCTAGAAACTGCATTAGGGATAAAAATCCCTGCCCTATCCCACTTGACATGATCTTTTGATCATTACTGGGGCAAGCCGCACACCTTCTACAGAAGTAAATTTGCCATGCTGAAGAATGTTCTGCCTATGTGCTTGTTTTCATTGTGGCACTGGGCAACTGTTTCTAACAATTTGGGGGCCCATCCAAGATTCCCATTCTTCTCTGGGGAGGAATCTCTGATCATCTTTCATTAGAAGATATATGCTGCTGCCTCACTGTGGTGGTCTCAGGGGTAAGGGGTCAAGACCCACCTGCTGTGATGAATAAACATGGACTCTCAGTGATGTGGGAAGTAAAGGCCTATAGATACACAATGATCAAGTAACTTTGTGGAGAGATCAAGGTAAGAAAAACCATGGAGATGGTGAAGTATTTCCTTGGTGATCAGAACACCCTGGATGTTGAAAGTGTGTGAGATGTACAATTGAGTGCAGAGTCTGGATCTGGTCCTGAGGTCACCTCATACTGCTTAAAAGCAGCTTGCCTGTCGTGGGGTTTCTACCAACCTGCCTATGTTAAGAGCGATCTGAAAATTCCCACAAGGAAAGCAGATGGTGAAGGATGAAGCAAAAGATAAAGAGTGCCAGAAACCTGTAGCAGAGAGGGGAGGTTGAACCTCTCTGGAAAAAGAAATCTCTAGTAGCAGAGGTTGAGCCTCACAGAATTGCTAGGGTATAAGAAATCTCTAGTAAGAGACAGTGAGGCCTGTAAAGTCAGGGAAAAATACTTTCTCCAGGATGGGAAATAAAACAAGTAAGATGAAATGTAGGAAAGATCATGATCATGATAATATACACTCTGATAGTCCCCTGGGCCTAATGTTAGAATACTGAAAGGATAGTCAAAGGAGCAAACACAAGAAAAAGCAACAAATAATAAAATACTGCTGTTTTATTTGGACAAAAATACCTATCCTCAAACCCTCAGTTTTCTGGCCAACATTTGGATCAAATGAGGATTGTATCTGTCAACTCTTAATAGAATATGACAATGATAAAAATCCTGTCTCACAGGAAGAAAGAGACTATGCCTTATGCTGGCAGCAAGGTTGGGTTCTCCAGTAACCCCTAAAAGCTACAGGAGATAAGTCAAAAACTATCTCCTATGAAGAGGTTAAACCTGAACAGTATGCTTACACATGAGACCCTTTAGAGCAGCTTCCCCTACCAAATACCCCTAACCTTACTCTCCCCCAAGCAGCTGCCACCCCAAACCCTTCCTCTATGCATGTTATTCCTACCCCCATAATCCTTAGTGTCACCCCTTAAGAAGACTTCCTCATGAGATATAACAATGTAAGAAAGATATCCAAAATTTCCCTTTTTCCCCAATACCTTCAAAGAGTCTGCTCCATCTCTTTTCCTTAAGAGAAGTGCCTCTTGAAGGAGGAGGCATTGAGTTTGTGAGCACCCCCTTAACGAGCTCAGAAGTCCAAAACCTAAAAAGGGAACTTAAACTACTCTTAGATGACCTTTACAGAGTGGCATATCAAATTGACGGGTTTCTAGGATCCCAATTATATACTTGGGCCAAGTTAATGTCTATCTTAGGCATCTTATTCTCAGAAGAAAAAGGAGCATGATACACAGGGCCACTATGATAGTTTTGCAATGTGAACACCCTCCAGATCAGAACGTCCCAGCAGCTGACAAAAACTTCCCAGCCCAGGATCTTCCATGGAATAACAGCAATATAGTCCATTCAGGAAATATGAAAGACCTTAGGGAGATGATAATAAAAGGAATTTGAGAATCACTGTCCTGCACCCAAAGTCTTACCAAGGCCTTCAATATACAACAGCGAAAAGATGAGGGACTGATAACATTTTTAGAAAGGCTTAAAGAGCAAATGGGAAAATATGCTGGCCTACAATAAGAAGGCCTCCTTGGACAAGGAATGTTAAAGTTCCACTTTGTTACCAATAGCTGGCCAGGCATAACTAAAAAATTACAGAACAAATGTTTCACATGTGGAAAAATAGGTCACTTTAAAAGACAATGTCCTGAATGGGACAAGAAAGAAATAGTCATCCCACTTATGGCTTTTGAAGAAGACTAGGGAAGTCAGGGGCTCTATCTTTTTATCTTGGGTGCCACGAAGAGCCCTTGATAAATTTAGAAGTGGAATGTAAACCTGAGCTTATTACCTTTTTAATTGATTCAGGATCATCTCACTCAGCTGATTCTTATCTTCCATCCAGTGTAACTTGCTCACAAGAAGATGTTTTATCTCTGGGGTAAAAGGAGAAGAGTTTAGAGCAAAAATCTTAGAGGAGAGCAAAAGTATTAGAGGAGATGGAAGTAAAATATAAAAACTGATTAGCTAGTATCAAATTTCTGCTAATTCTAGAAGCAGGGACAAATCTGTTAGGAAGATATTTAATGCTAAAATTAGGCTTAGGCCTCCAAATTAATCATGGAAGTTTCCTCCCCTCCCTAAACTTCCTAACCACCGCAGATGAAGAACATATTCATCCTGAGTTATGGTCTAAAGATAGGAATCAAGGAAAATTATGAATTCCTTCAATTCATATTAAATTAAAAATGCCTGGGGAAGTAGTAAAGAGAAAGCAACACCTTATTCCTTTAGAAGCCAGGGTAAATTTAAAATCTATATTGAAGGTCTTCTCCATGATTAGTTTCATTAACCCTGTATGTCTCCCTACACTTCTCCATTACTACTTGCAAGGAAACCAGATGGGTCATACCAGTTACTACAAGACCTTAGAGCTATTAATCAGATAGTATAAACTACACATCCCATTTTTCCGAACCCTTATACTATTATCAGTATGATCCCATACAGCCATTAGAGGTTTACAGTAATAGATTTAAAGGATGCCTTTTGGGCTTGTCCATTAGCAGAATACAGCTGGGACCTATTTGCCTATAAGTGGGAAGATGCTAACTCCAGTTGAAAATGGCAATACCAATGATCAGTCTTACCCCAAGGGTTTAGAGTCTCCAAATTTATTTAGTCAAATATTAGAAAAGTCCTAGATAAACCTTCTTTTTCCTCACAAATGTGCCTCCTGCAGTACATGGAAGATCTTCTAATTTCAGGGAATGATAGAAAAAGAGTAGCAGCCTTCTTAACCCATGTCTTAAATTTTCTATGGGATAAAGGTCTAAAGGTCTTGAAAAAAATAAATAAAGCACTCAAATTTGTAAAACCTGAAGTAAAATATTTGGGGCATTTAATTAGGAAAGGTCAATAGAAAATTGGGATTGAATGGATTGTTCTTGCCTCTAGTGAAAACTAAACAAGAATTTAGAAAATTTTTAGGATTAGTTGGATACTGTCATCTATAGATAGGCTGTTATGCCCTAGAAACAGAACCTTTATAAAAAAAAAAAAAAAGCTCACACAGACAAGTCACACAACCTCATTTGGCAATTACTGGAAATCTGACAGGTGTAAAGGTTAAAACATCTGTTAGTAACTCCTCTTGTCCTAGCTTTACCCTCCTTAGAGCAGCCATTCCATCTTTTTATCAATGTAAACAAAGACATAGCCTTAGGAGTATTTACCCAGAAGCACGGAGGCCACTGGCCATCTGTTGCCTTTCTATCAAAACCCTTTGACCCAGTAACCTGTGGATGGACCAAAGGCATTCAATTGGTAATGGCAACTGCTTTGCTAACAGAAGAAAGTAGAAAAATACCTTTTGGAGGAAACCTCATTGTGAACACAACCCACCAGGTCAAAACTATCCTAGTCAAAAGGCAGAAAGGTGGCTTACTGACTCAAAGATTTTAAAATATGAGACTATCTTGTTAGAAAAAGATGATTTAACTCTAACCACTGATGATTCACTTAACCCTGCTGCCTTCTTAACAGGAAATCCAAACCCCCCAAAAAACCCACACCACAGACCAGAAGAACATGACATGAATGTTTAGATATTATTGTCTATCAGACAAGAGCTAGACCAGATTTAAATAAACTCCCCTTCCAACGAAAACACACCTTTTTTGTACATAATTATTCTCAAGTAATAAGAGGTAAAAGCCTTAATGGGTACTTAATGTAGACGGAGACACCCTCACAGAAATGGAAGCAGCAAGATTACCTAATGATTGGTCTGAGCAAACATGTGAGTTGTTTGCACTATAACAAGCCTTGAAATTTTGGCAAAACTGGGAAGGAATGGTTTATACTTACTCAAAGTCAAGTATGTCTTTGATGTAGCCCACACCTTTGGAAAAATTTGGGCAGAGTAAGTACTATTACTTATTAATAGTAAAGGCCAAAACTCTCTTGTAAAATGCATCTGTCAGTGCTCTGTTAAATGAGCACTCTGTAGCTAGTTATAAGTTTGTAAAATGCATGAATCAGCACTCTGTAGTTAGCTAGAGGTTTGTAAAATGCACCAATCAGTACTTTGTAAGATGGACCAATCAGCACTCTGTAAAATGGACCAATCAGCACTCTGTAAAATGAAAAAATCAACAGTCTGTAAAATGGACGGATTAGCAGGACATTGGTGGAGACAAATAAGGTAATAAAAGCTGGCCACCCCAGCCAGCAGCTGCAACCCAGTCAGGTCCCCTTCCATGCTGTGGAAGCTTTGTTCTTTTACTCTCCACAATAAAGCTTGCTGCTGCTCACTCTTTGCATCCCTGTCACTTTTAAGAGCTGTAACACTTACACAAAGGTCCACAGCTTCATTTATGAAGTCAGCAAGACCGTGAACCCACCAGAAGCAACCAACTCTGGATACATGTTTGGGGCTCCTCCAGGATGTTGTCAAGCAGTGAATACCACTGGACCCCTTTTGCTTGCTATTCTGTCCTATTTTTCCTTAGAACTCAGGGTCTACACACTGCGCACCTGTCAGTGAGTAACATGTGACTAGGTGACTGCAGAGTAAAGACATGGGTGTCAGGCTTTCTGGGAATGGGAGCTCTAACAATCCCCAACTCTTCAGAGGTGGGAGAATTGGTTTGCCTGAAACCAGCTTCCACTTTTCCTGTACTTCTGGGCTGAGCTGAGGGTCAACAGAGAGGAAAGCCATTCAGCTCCAAGGTCCCAACAAAAAGGTGGCTGACCTTACAGCCAGGAGTGGAACTCTCAAAGCTACATCACCCAAGTGAGACTCACTCATCTATCCTATCTACCCTGACCCTTGCCTTCTAGGTCCTAATGCATGTCAGAAAAACTTCCCCTTACCTCTCTTATCTGAGGGTAGTTCTGCTTCAAAAACCACTCCCTGTCCCTGGTGATCTTCTAGTTTTTCCTATAAGGATAATTCCTGGTATAAGTTTTGGGACTCTGTTCCCTTCTTTAGACACCCAGTCTCACCAATCAGAAGACTTTTTTTTAGGCAAAGTCCCATTTGGGGGGACTATCTGAAATACCATCTATCTTTTTAGGATCTGTACTCAGGCAAGCAGATGTAACAAAGGCTGTTCCCAAAGCTAGGATATAGGGAGCCTCAGAAATTTTATCCTTCCTATTCATATAATGAGAAGTGAAGCCAAAGACATCACTCTTCTAACCCTAGAGATCCTATCCCTCCATCAGGATATGACCCGCTACCCCATTTTAGGGAATATCATCTTTATAGGACAGGGGTAAGTTCCCAATACTAACAGGAGAAAATGCTTAGGACTCTAACAGGTTTTCAAGAATGTGTCAGTAAGGGCCACTAAATCCAATTTTTCTTGGTCCTCTTTGTGGTCTAAGGAAAGGCAATGGTGCTGGTTTTTGAGCAAGCATCAGTAAGGACCACTAAATCTGACCTTTCTCAGTCCTTTGTGTGGTCTAGGAGGAAAACTAGTGTTTCTGCTGCTGCATCAGTGAGTGCAACTACTCTAATCAACAAGGTCCAGGGACCATTGCTGGTTCTTTGTCAGGGGGAAGAAAACCAACAAACCAATACCATGGGTGATTTTTTCTTTAAGATGGGAAACACTCAGGCATCAACAGGCTCACCCTTGAAATGCGTTATAAGCCATTGGGACCAATTTGAACAGCAAACCCTGAAAAAGGAGCAGCTTTTTTTTTTTTTTTTTCTGCACTATGGCCTGGCCCCAATATTCTCTCTCATGAGGAAAAATGGCCAGTGAGAAAAGTATAAGTTACAATATTATCTTGTAGGTTGAACTTTCCTGTAAGAAGAAAGGCAAATGGTGTGAAAGACATTATGTCCAAGCTTTCTTTTCATTGAAAAATATCCACATCTATGCAAAGCTTGCAATTTACATCTCAAAGGAGGATCTCTCAGCTTACCTCCATACCCAAGCCTTCCTATAGCTCCCCTTCCTATTAAAGATAAGCCTCCTTTAATCTCCCCCTCCCAGAAGGAAACAAGCAAAGAAATCCCCAGGGGACCACACACAAAAAAAGAAAAAAAACAGGTTATCTGTTGTATCCCCTTCAAGTTGTAGGCAGAGGGAAATTTGCCCAACCCAGGTACATGCCTCCTTCTCCTGTATCATTTAAAGCAGATCAAGGTAGACCTGGGGAAGTTTTCAGATAATCCTGATAGGTATATATATGTCCTACAGGTTTTAAGGCAAACCTTTGACCTCACTTGTAGAGATGTCATTCTATTATTAGATCAAACACTATCCTTTAATAATAAAAAAAAAAGGTGGCTTTAGCTTTAGCCCAAGAGTTTGGAGATGCCTGATATCTTAATCAAGCAAATGATAGAATAACAGCTGAAGAAAGGGACAAATTCCCTAGCAATCAGCAAGTTGTCCCCAGTATGGATCCCCACTGGGACCTTGGCTCAGATCATGGAGACTGCAGTCACAAACATCTGCTGACCTGTGTTCTAGAATGACTAAGGAGAATTAGAGAAAAGCCCATGAATTATTCAATTATGTCCACCATAATTCAGGGAAAGGGAGAAAATCCTTCTGCCTTTTTCCGAACAGCTACTGAAAAGGTTAAGAAAATAATATACATCCCTGTCACCCTACTCACTCGAGGGTCAATTGATCCTAAAAGATAAGTTTATTACCCAATCAGGCACAGCTATCAGGAGAAAGTTCCAAAAGCTAGCCCTGGGCCCTGAACAAAATTTGGAGGCATTATTAAACCTGGAAATCTTGATGTTCTATAGTAGAGACCAAGAGGAGCAGGACAAAAAGGAAAAGAAAGATCAGAGAAAGGCCATAGCATTGGTCACAGCCCTCAGGCAAACAAACCTTTGTGGTTCAAAGAAGACAGAAAATGGAGCAGGCCAATCACCCTGTAGGGCTTGTTGCCACTGTGGTTTGCAAGGGCATCTTATAATGATTGTCCAATGATAAACAAGCTGCCCTCTCACTTACGTCCACTATGCGAAAGCAATCACTGCAAAGCATGCTGCACAAGAGGGCAAAGGTTCTCTGGGCCAGAAGCCCTCAACCAGATGATCCAACAACAGGAATGAGGGTGACCTGGCCAAGCACCAGCTCATGACATCACCCTCTCTGAGCCCTGGGTATGTTTAACCACTGAGGGCCAGGAAATTGACTCCTCCTGGACACAGGCATGGCTTTCTCAGTGTTAATCTTCTGTCTTTGATGGCTGTCCTCAAGGTCCGTTACCATTCAAGGAATCCTGGGACAGCCTGTAACCAGGTATTTCTCCCACCTCCTCAGTTGTAATTGGGAGACTTTGCTGTTTTCAAGTGCTTTTCTTGTTATGCTTGAAATTCCCACACCCTTATTAAGGAGGAACATATTAGCTAAAGCTGGAGCTATTATGTATATGAATATAGGTAACAAGTTACCAGTTTGTTTTCCCTACTTGAAGAGGGAATCAACCCTGAAGTCTGGGCATTGGAAGGACAATTTGGAAGGACAAAAAACGCCCACCCAGATCAAATCATGCTAAAAGACTTCACCACTTTTCCTTGTCAAAGGCAGTATCCTATAAAGCCTGAAGTTCATAAAGGATTACAAGATATTGTTAAATATTTGAAACCTCAAGGTTTAGTAAGAAAATGCAGCAGTCCCTGCAACACCTCAATTCTAGGAGTACAAAAACTGAATGATCAGTGGAAAGTAGTGCAAGATCTTAGACTCATCATTGAGGCAGTAATTCCTGTATATTTAGTTGTACCGAACCCCTATAATCTGCTTTCTCAAATACCAGAGGAAACAGAATGTTTCACTGTTCTGGACATCAAGGATGTCCTCTACTGTATTCCCCTGTACTCTGACTTGCAGTTTCTCTTTGCCTTTGAGGATCCCACAGACCACAAATCCCAACTTATGTGGATGGTCTTGTCCAAAGAGATTAGGGACAGCTCTCATCTCTTTGGTCTGGCACTGGCCCAAGATCTAGGCCACTTCTCAACTTCAGGCACACTAGCCCTTCAGTAAGTGGATGATTTACTTTTGGCTCCCAGTTTGGAAGCCTCATGCCAGCAGGCTACTCTAGATCTCTTCAGCATTCTATCTAATTGAGGTTACAAGGCATCTAAATCCAAGGCCCAGCTCTGCCTACAACAAGTCAAATATCTAGGTCTAATCTTAGCCAGAGGATGCAGGGCTCTCAGAAAGGAATGAATACAGCCTATACTGGCTTATCCTCATCTTAAAACATTAAAACAGTTGTGTGGGTTCCTTGGAATCACTGACTTTTGCTGACTATTGATCTCTGGATATAGCAAAATAGACAGGTCTCTCTATACTGAAATCAAGGAGACCCAGAGGGCATATACTTATCTAGTAGAGTGGGAACCAGAGGCAGAAACAGCCTTCAAAACCTTAAAGCAGGCCATAGTACAAGCTCCAGCTTTAAGACTTCTAACATGACAAAATTCCTTATACATCACAGAGAGAGCAGGAGTAGCTCTTGAGGTCTAACTCAGACTCATGGGACAACACTACAACCCGTGGCATATCTAAGTAAGGAAACTGATATAGTAACAAAAGGCTGTCCTCACTCTCTAAAGACAGTTGTGGCAGTGGCCAACTTAGAGTCAGAGTCTATCAAAATGATACAGGGAAAGGATCTCACTGTCTGGACTACTCATGATGTAAATGGCATCATGTGCAGCGCTCAACCCTGCCAAATTTCTCCTACAGGATGGAGAACCAATCGAGTATGACTGCCAACAAATTATAGTCCAGCCTTATGCCACCTGAGAGGATCTCTTAGAAATCCTCTTAGCTAATCCTGACCTTAACGTATATACTGATGGAAGTTTATTTGTGAAGAAGGGGATATGAAGGGCAGGTTATGCAATAGTAAGGTAACAGTAGTTGAAAATAAGTCTCTTCCCCAAGGGACCACAGCCCAGTTAGCAGAACTAGTGGCACTTACCTGAGCCTTAGAACTGGAAAAGGGAAAAAGAATAAATGTGTATACAGATAACAAGTATGCTTATCTAATCCTACATGCCCATGCTGCAATATGGAAAGAAAGAGAGTTCTTAACCTCTTAGGGAAACCCCATTAAATAACAAAGAGAAATCATGGAGTTATTGTATGAAGTACAAAAACTCAAGGAGGTGGCAGTCTTACACTGCCAAAGCCATAAAAAAAAATGAAGCGTAAAAGGCAGAAGCAAACCATCAGGCAGATGCTGAGGATAAAATGCTGCCAGGTGGAACCTCCCATTAGAAATACCTATGGAAGCACTCTTGTTATGGAACTATTCTCTCCAATAGATTAAGCCTCAGTATTCCCTGACTGAAACAGAATGGGATTTTCATGGGGGTATAGTTTCCTACCATGGGGTGATTAACTGCAGAAGAGGTAAACATACTCATACCTAAAACCAGCCAATGGAAAATACTTAAGACCCTCCACAAAAGTTTTCATATTTGTATTGAGAACACACATCAAATGGCCAAATCCCTATTTACAGCGCCAAATTTCCTCTGGGCCATCTGATAGGTAGTAAAAGCCTGTGAGAGTGCCAAGGGAATAATCCCTTTGTTCTTTGTAGGTCCCCTCTAGGGGAACAAAGAGTAGCTCACTATCCCAGAGAGGACTTGCAGTTAGACTTCACCCATATGCCTAAATCAAAGGTATTTTAATACTTATTGGTCTGTGTTGATATCTTTACAAATTGGATAGAAGCCTTCCCCTGCAAGACAGAGAAGGCTTAGAAGTGGTTAAACTTTTAATTCATGAAATAGTTCCTAGATTTGGGCTTCCCCAAAATTTGCAAAGTGACAGTTGTCTGGCTTTTAAAGCCATGATAACTCAGGGAATTTCCAGGTGATACAGTATCACTTTCACTGCACCTGGAGACCACAATCCTCAGGGAAGGTGGAGAAGGTAAATGAAACACTCAAGAGACAGTTAAGGAAGCTAACACAAGAAACTCATCTCCTATGGCCTACTCTCTTGCCCATGGCTTGCTGAGAATCTGAAAATCTCTTCACAAAATGTGGTTCAGTCTATATGAAAGGCTGTATGGATGACTTTTTCTCACAAATGACCTCCTACTTGATCAGGAAATGGCCAACTTGATCAAAGATACAATTTATTTGGCAAAATATCAATGAAACCTTAAAAACCTGCCAGAAGAATGTCACAGAAAAAAAGAGAATGGAGTTATTTCAACAGGAGATCTAGTGTTGGTCAAATACCTCCCCTCTACCTTCCCATGTATGGATTCTTATGGGAAGAACCATACTCGGTAATCCTCTCTACCCCCACTGCAATGAACATGGCAGGAGTGAAATCTTGGATTCACTACACCCAGTTAAACTTTGGACAACCCCCGTGGAACCTGTGGGACCGACAGCTCAGAAACCCAAAGATTAGCCAGACCAGCCTCCATACACCTGTGAGCCATTGGAAGACTTCCATCTCCTATTTCAGAAGGAAACATCCCAGACTAAAAAGACTCCTATAGCTGATCCTGAGGAAAAATCTCTTCCTACTTAAAAAAGATAAGTGAAAACCTACATTATTTTTAACTCCTCTCCTTGCCCCTTTAATGGAATCCTTTTACTGTTTCATCACATTATTAAGCAGAATACTAACCATACACTTTGCAATAGGGTTATATACTGTAGCTCCTGCAGGGATAAAAGTCCTAGTCACATCAACCTTCTTTCTATCGTCCTTCCTTCTGACAGTAATTTACTCCTACCTCTAACTCAGACTGGATAAAATGATCTCATATTCCAGTGCCTGCTTTTGACCTTCCTACTTACTCTTTGCCTACCTATCCCTCCTGCTTCCTTGGATACCCCATACAGTCACCCCTCCCCTTCCACTAGCTCCAAATGACCTCTACAAACTCTCAGCTTAACCCACTCTCTGTTAAACCAGTCCAACCCTTCCCTGACAAATGACTGTTGGTTTTGTATCTCTCTATCTACCACTGCTTATGTTACCACTCCTGTTGCCTCAAAAAAACTGGGTGTGTACTAAATTAACCTACCACCCTCTTTAGGAAGGAAGATGCTCTTTCTGACTTCTAAATATGCAATCATTAGCCAACTTCACCATCTCTGATAGGACCAAGGATACCCTAACATGTCATGCAATTCAACTTTTACATTCTTACATTTCCAATCTCACTCATTACCCAAGCAATAAAAGCCCATACATGACACTGTACATGCAAATACCGTCTTAACTTCCGAAGACCCTTTATGCATCCAATGCAACCTGTTATCAGGCCTGACTCTGGGGTACCTACCTCCCCATCAGTGTAATTGCACCCTACAACTTCAAGCCCCAACTGATCATAGTAACTTCCGAGTCACCCATACAGCTCTTGATTTAGATGGCTTGTTCACTTGTCAGGGCCTCCATAAATCATCACCTCCTCCCTGCTTAATAAACAGTCCAAGTTTTGCAATGGCAACCATACTCCCTGCATGGTCATTCACCCCTGGACCCCCTGCAGCAGTGTCCTCACCACTAATGAATGCTTTCTCATCCCCTCTTTCAATAACTCTTTTAAATGGTACCTAGTAGGAACAAAATGCTTTTTTCTCCAATGGGAAAATAGAACACAGGGAGCCACTTAGTTTGCTCCCAACACCCGTTTCCAGCTGCTCACTGGAGCTGCCTTGACAAGTACTCTAGTGGCATGGGAAAATAAAAACAAAAAACTCACTTGTCTTTTTAACATACACAACCAGTTCTGTCTACCCAGCCAAGGCATATTGTTCTTATGTGGAACTTCAACCTACATATGCCTCCCCACCAACTGGACAGACACTGCACCTTAGTCTTCCTAAGTCCCAACATTAACATTGCCCAAGGAAATCAGACCCTATCAGTGCCCCTCAAAGCTCAAGTCTATCAGCACAGGGCCATACAACTAGTTCCCTACTCATAGGGTTAGGAGTGACCACCACTACAGGAACCCGAATAGCAGGTTTTTCCACTTCACTATCCTACTACCACACACTCTCAAAGGATTTCTCAGACAGTTTGCAAGAAATAACAAAATCTATCCTTACTCTACAATCTCAAATAGACTCTTTAGCAACAATGACTCTCCAAAACCGCCAAGGCCTAGATCTGTTCACTGCTGAGAAAGGAGAACTTTGTACCCTCTTAGGGGAGGAGTGTTGCTTTGACACTAACCAGTTGGAGATAGTACGAGATGCTGCCCAGCATTTACAGGAAAAGGCTTCTGAAACCAGACAATGCCTTTCAAACTCTTATAGCAACCTCTGGAGTTGGGCAACATGGTTTCTTCCTTTTCTAGGTCCTGTGACAGACATCTTGCTATTATTTGCTTTTGGGCCCTGTGTTTTTAACCTCCTTGTCAAATTTGTTTCCTCCAGGATCAATGCCATCAAGATACAGACAGTCTTACAAATGGAACCCCATATGAGCTCAACTAACAATTTCTACTGAGGACACTTGGACCAACCCACTGGCTCTTTGGCTGGCTTAGAGAGTTCCCCTCTAGAGGACACTAAAACTTCAGGGCCCCTTCTTTACCCCTGTCCAGTAGGAAGTAACTAGAGAGGTCATCACCCAATTCCCAACAACAGTTGTGGTGTCCTGTTTAGAGAGGAGATTGAGAGGTAGAGAAGAGATTGAGAGGTAGAGAAGAGATTGAGAGGTGAAGTCAGCTGGACTTCGTGTGTTGAGTGGGGACTTGGAGAACTTTTCTGTCTTACAAGAGGTTTGTAAAATACATCAATCAGTGTTCTGTTAAAACAAACTAATCAGCACTGTGTAGCTAGCTAGAGGTTTTTAAAATGCACCAATCAGTGCTCTGCAAAATGTACCATTACAGCATTCTGTAAATTGGACCAATCAGCACTCTATAAAATGGACCAATCAGCAGGACATTGTTTGGGACAAATAATGGAATAAAAACTGGCCACCCCAGACAGCAGCAGCAACCAGCTTGGGTACTCTTCCATGCTGTGAAAGCTTTGTTCTTTTGCTCTTCACAATATATCTTGCTGATGTTCACTCTTTTTGTTCGTGCCACATTTAAGAGCTGTAACACTCACCGCAAAGGTCTGCAGCTTCATTCTTGAAGTCAGTGAGACCACGAAACCACCGAAAGGAGTCAACTTCAGACACAGTTGCATAGTGTGCAGAAAAACCAACAAACAAATCCTGAAAAGAAAGTGGGAATACCACACACCATGGAGTACACCCTCATCAGGAAAAGTAGAGTCTATTTCCCTGTTGAGAGTATGAACTGCTCTCTGAAAAGACATAGGCCTATACCCTTATGAAATTCTTTATGGATTGCCTTATCTAAATTCTACTACTGATGTTCCTACATTTGGAACAAAAGATCAGTTTCTTTGAAACTCTGTATTAGGTCTATCTTCTACCCTCTCCTCCTTCAGGACTCAAGGCCTCCTGACACATACACCACCCCTTAAATTCCCACTTCATCAACAGCAGCCTGGAGACCACCGTTCTTATCAGAAGTTGGAAAGAGGTAAAGCTCAAACTCACTTGGGAGTTTGAGTAGTGCTACTCACAAATGAGACAGCAGTCCGGACCACTGAGAGAGGATGAATACATCATAATAGAGCCAAGAAAGTGTTACCCTTTCCAAAGTCATGGAATGTTGTTTCAGGACCTACACCCACCAAAGTAACATTAAAGAGAAAAGCTTAATCTGCCTCTTCATCCCTTTCCTCTTTTGCCAAGTTACCCGACACCTTATTATTAATAATACTAATTCTACCTCATCTCAAACTTCACTGTTAATGCTTGTCTTGTTATACCCTGTGGAGATCTGCAAAGTCAAAGAAAACTCTCTACTTCAGAAATGTATCTTTGCCTCTCCTGGCTCTCCTCAGAGGAAAATCAGTTAACCGGGATGAATTAGTTTGGGAAGATTTTAACGGAGATTCTGGTAATTGATAATCTTGTCCTGCTAAAGCAGAGCATTAGAATCTGTGCCATAGTTGGCCCAATGTTCTGTGGACCACAAAAAACCAAGGATAGACTGTCCCAATGAGTAGTTGTATATTTCCAAAACCACACATTTATTTTGCTAAAGGGAATATTCCCAATTGCCAATATAACCAGTGTAATCTTGTACAAATTTCCATTACTATCCCAACATCCCAAGATTCTTACCCTTTCTTGAGCCATTTTTATAAAAGGAGCAGAAGTCTCAGAAGAGACTCTATAGAATATTTCAAAATGAGCTTCATCGTTCCTCCTCCTCTTTCACCCTCTTCTCCCTCTCCTCCTGAACCCTGCTCTAACAAAAATTTCTCACTTCATACCAATGATAAAACTAAGGTAGCAATTGTATAAGTTAAAGATTTAAAGCAAACTCTAGCTATTGAAACAGGAAATCAAGATGCAAATGCCTCGTTGGAATGGATTAAATATTCCATCCACTCACCAAATAAAAGTGACTGTTATACTTGTGTGACAGCTAGGCCAGAAACCCAAATTGTTCCCTTCCCACTTGGATGGGTATCTAACAAGGCATGAGCTGTATGGCAGCTCTCTTCCAGAACCCCACAATCTGGGGTAATGAGTCATGCAAGACTCTTTCACTGCTGTTTCCTGAACTTAAAAGCCCTATCGTTAAGCCCCCGAGGACCATCCAGCTTCCAGCCTCCAATGTTAATTTCACCTCATGCCTTTCACAGCAGGGGGAAAAGTTAGTATTCCTTGGAGACCTAACTAAGTGCAGCGAAACATAGCTTTTTCAAGAGCTTATCAATCATTCTGCCCTTGTTCACTGCCGAGCAGATATATGGTGGTATTGCAGGGGACAATTTCTGGGTACTTTGCCAAGTAACTGCAGCAGCACTTGGGCTCTAATTGGCTATCCCTTTCACCTTGCATTTCATCAGCCAAGAAAATTGAAGACAGAATATCATAAAGAGAGAGATGTCTGTCATGAATCCTTTGATCCTCATGTTTATATACAAGCTATTGGAATACCATGAGGGGTACCAGATGAATTCGAAGCCCAAAATCAAATAGCTGCAGGACTGCAGTCTATATTGTTCTGGTGGTCAACCGTAAACAAAAGTGTAGCTTTGATAAATTATGTCTATTACAGTCAACAGTGCTTTGTTAATTTTACTAGAGATGGAATTAATGGAATAGCTGAAAAATTAGGCCATACTAGTCAAATGGTCTGGGAAAATAGAATACAACTTGACACGCTATTAGCTGAAAAAGTTGGGGTTTGTCATGATTGGAGTTCAGTGTTGGACTGTTATTCCTAATAACACCTCCCTGATGGAATAATAACAAGCCTTGCAAGCACTTAACTCCTTTTCAAATGAGTTGGCTCAAAATTCTGGAATAGATGACCCCTTTACAAGTCTCATGGAGAAATAGTTCAAGAAATGGAAAATAATTATGACCTTAATATTTACCTCCCTTATAATCATTATAAGTGTGCTCATTCTTGTAGAATGCTGTATCATACCCTGTATTTGTGGTTTAGTACAATGACTTATAAAAACAGTTCTCACCAAAACCTCTCTTAGTTTATTCAGATAAAACCTTCCCACCTTATTCAGATAAACTCTTCCTACTTGATGCCCAAGAAGAATAACAGAGCCTAGATATGCTAAGGAATTTTGAAGAGGTAAAATTATAAAATCAAGAGGGGGAAATTGTCAGAAATGATACATTTCTCTTCAAAAAGCTTTAGTTCCCTGGTCTTTGTTTCTTAAGACCACCTTGCTTGTTTCCTAGATACCTGCTCTGTAAACAACTTTCCCACCTTGGCTGCACCCAGACAAGTCCATATACGCCTTCCAGCCTAGTAATGGACAGTCCCTCTTTCTTCCCACTTAATAGATCCTATTAAATTTTAAACCTTAGCCAATCAAGTTAGCTTAGATTGTGAGGTCCAACCCCAGCCACTGGGGAAAGGACATAGAAGTGCTAGGAACTGCGTTAGGGATAAAAACCCCTTCCCTAACCCTCTTTTTGTGCTCTTGCAATCATGACTGGTGCAAGCTGCATCCTTCTGCAGAAGTAAATTTGCCATACTGAGGAATTTTCTGCCTATTTGCTGGTTTTCTTTGTGGCACTGGGTACTTACTCCTAACATAAGTAAATTATTTGTTTGTTTGTTTGAGACAGTGTCTCACTTTGTCACCAAGGTTGGAGTGCAATGGCACAAACACGACTCACTGCAGCCTCGACCTCCCAGGTTCAAGTGACTCTTCTGCCTCTCAGCCTCCCAAGTATCTGGGAGCACAGGTGCATGACAGCACAGCCTGCTAAATTTTATACTTTTTGTAGAGATTTGGTTTCCATGGGGAGTGGATTGATACAAAGTTGTTTGTCAGAAATTCTTACCATTTACAGAAATAATACTGATTCATGATTGACCATCTCTTGTTAAGCCACAGGATAGGATGAGGCTTGTGGAGTCCAGATGGCATTACAAGGTTAACTTATAGCTACCTGTGACAGTGGTGTGCAGTTTCAATAGATGTATACATAGCTAAAAGCAGGAACTAGGACATGATTGCTGTCTCATTATAATGCCTTTCTGGGTCTAATAATTTGAAAGTGCTCAAATTCCTCAGGTAAAATACTTCTTTTTCCTGAAAATACTTGGAATAGTCAAAACTGTAGAAACAGAAAATATGACGATGCTGCCATAACTTGAGGGAGGAGGAGATGAAATCTGAGGACAGGATGCAACTATTTTAACACAATAAAAAAATAAAAGGCTGGGTGCAGTGGGCAATGCCTGTAATCCCAGCAATTTAGGAGGTTGAGGCAGGTGGATTACTTGAGCCCAGGATTTGAAGATTAGGCTGGGCAACATGACAAAATCCCTTCTCTACCAAAAATATAAAAAATATACCAGGTGTAGTGACATGCCTGTAGTCTCATCAATTTGGGAGACTGAGGAAGGTGAATTGCTTGTGTCTGGGAGGTGAAGGTTGCACTGAGCAGAGATGACATTACTGTGCTTTAGCCTAGGTGACAGACAGACCCTATCTCAAACCAAAAAAAAAAAAAAAAAAAAAAAAAAAGAAAGAAAGAAAAGAAAGAAAGAAAGAAGGAAAGAAAGAAAGAAAAACAGATGGAAATGTGCCATCCCCTTTTATAGTATGCAAACTACATCTAAAGTAAAGCTGTTATAAAAAAGTTATTGATTGAGATGCTGTTTTTAAATGTATGAATAAGAATATTCCAACTGTGAATTTTCTCTAAATATTGAAATAAACAGAGAGCTGTATATGGTGGTTCATGTCTGTAATCCCAGCACTTTGGGAGGCTGAGGTGAGCCAACTACTTGAGGTCAGAAGTTTATGACCAGCCTGGCCAATATGGTGAAAGCCCATCTTTACCAAAAATATAAAAATTAGCTGGCTCTGGTGACGTGTGCCTGTAGCTCTTGGGAGGCTGGGGCAGGAGAATCACTTGAACCAAGGGCAAAGAAGTTCATTACTCCCATTCTCTCTCTCACCTTCAGCTAATGAGAATGACACAGTAATACAGTTTGATTATGTCCCCACTGAAACCTAATCTTGAGTTGTGGCTCCCATAGTCTCCACATGTCATGGGAGGGGCCCAGTGGAAGGTAATTAAGTCACGGAGGTGGATTTTTCCAATGGTGTTCTCATGATAGTAAATAAGTCTGATGAGATCTGATGGCTTTACAAAGGGACATTCCTCTGCACAAGCTCTCTTACCTGCCACCATGTAAAATGTACCTTTGCTCCTCCTTCACCTTCTGCCATGACCATGAGGCCTCCCCAGCCATGCAGAATTGGGAGTCCATTAAACTTCTTTTTCTTTAAAAATTACCCAGTCTCAGATTTTTTCATAACAATATGAAAATAGACTAAAACAGTCACCCAAAGGTATTATGTAAGAAATCATAATAGATCTCTCTGGTCCTCTTTGCATAGAAAGACCCAGGAATGACCTCCCTTTTATGAAAATAATGTAAGAAGCATTTGAACCAGAGTGACTCCATCTTGAACAGGAGCTGGGTAAAACAAAGCTGAGACCTATGGGGCTGTATTTCTAGGAGTTTAGGCATTCTAAGTCACAGGATGAGATAAGTGGTCAGCACAGGATACAGGACACAAAGTCCCAGGTGATAAAACAGGATGCAGCGAGAAGCTAGTGAAAACCCACCAAAACCAAGATGTTAATGAAAGAAAGTTCTGGTCATCCTTACTGCTTATTATATGCTAATTATAATACATTAGCATGCTATAAGATACTTCCACCTGTTGTACCCAATTGAGTTAGAAAAAAGCCACACTTTGAAAAGAATTAAGAGTCCTTTATTCAGCTGGTGGCCAAAGAGATGGCTAACGCTCAAAATTCTCTCAGCCCTGAGGAAGGGGCTTGATTAACTTTTATACTTTGGTTTAGGAAAGAGAGGGGAGCTCAAATGCAACAACCCTTCAGAAGTAAAAACATGCAAAAAAATTAAAAGGACAAATGGTTACAGAGAAACAATGTAAAAGACAAATGCCTACAAAAAGGCAAGGTACCAGGTGCCGAGCTCTAAATCCTGCATAAGAGTTAGATATGGGCACTACGCTGGACAAAAACTCAAGGCTTTATGGTGTTATCTTTTGAGCAAAATCCTGGTAACTCCATACATTGTTTGTTCCAGTACCTTATCAGTTAATTGGACTCTTTGATATGTTGAGAACCTGCTTATGCAAGTTGACTCCTTGAGGAGAGGGGGTGGGTAAGGAGTCCTTAATGTCTTGTAAATCAAGGGGGCCAGATGGAGCTCCTCTGGCTTTCTCAGCTAAGGGAGAGTCTATTCACATGGAAACGAGGCTAGGTGATTAAGGGAGCAAAAGGGAGAGTCTAAAAACAGGGTTAGTGAAAACAAGGTTGGGAATTACACACCAGCATTATGCAGTTGACAAATGCCATGGCAACATCAGGAAGTTACCCTATATGGTCCAAAAAAGGAGTCCTCAGTTGTGTAAGTTGCCCACTCCTTTTCCAAAAAACTCATGGATAATCAAACCCTTGTTTAACATACAAGCAACTTATTAGACTATTCTCACACTGCTATGAAGAACTTCCCAAGACTGGGCAATTTTTAAAGGAAATAAATTTAATTGACTCATGGTTCCCTATGGCTGTGGATGCATCAGGAAACTTATAATCATGGCTTAAGAGGAGATAGTCATGTCCTACATGGTGGCAGGCAAGAAAGCATGTGCAAGAGAAAGCAGGGAAAAAGTGCCTTATAAAAGCATCAAATCTCTTGAGGACTCACTATCATGAAAAAAGCATGGGGAAAACTGCCCCCATGATCCCATTACCTCCAACAATGTCCCTCGCTCTACATATAGAGGTTATGAGAATTACAATTCGAGATGAGATTTGAGTGGAGACACAGAGCCAAACCATATCAATCCAGAAGTAACTATAAGTGTAATCTGTTGAGCAGCCCATACTGATGCTCTGCCTATGGAGTAGCTATTCTTTTATTCCTTTACTTTATTCATAAGCTTGTTTTGTGGATTTTCCCTGAATTCTTTCTCATGTGAGGTCCAAAAACCCTATCTTGGGGTGTGGATAAGGACCTGTTTCACCTAACAGTACCAACCAATATCCACCGTTCTGGGACCCATCCCTTCTGGAAAGGGAGTCCTTTGATCTTGCTCCAAGCCCTCTCTGGTTTTAGCTTTCCCCATTCCAGGACCCATGGGAAAGAAATAGTGTGTAGGTGAAATATGGATATGTGAGGCTGTAGCAGCATCAGAGTTTCCATAAATGTATTGATAGCACATACGGCAGAGTAGAGAACACTAAAATGTGAGTAGGTGTGACCAGAAAACTATTCAGAGAAAAGGAGGCCTACTGTATAGTAGGATGCAGAAGTGTCCAAAACAGATATTGTTTCTACCCATTGGAGCAATCAGTTAATGTTCCCAAGGGCCATGATGCGCAGGAATGAAGCTCTCCAGGAAGCTGTGAGTGGTTTTAGACTCTTGATAGCTCAGTGAAGATATTTTCATTGCCAGCTGTGAAACAGTCCCTATAACCTTTATAAAATTAATCATGGAGGAAGAGAAGGGAGAAAAGAAAATAAAGCAAGCTTGCAGCCTATGCGGCATTCATCCTGAGGTCAACCTGCTGTCTGCCTTTGCAACCTCATGGTTTGGTGCCTCTTGTCCTAGAAGCACAGAGATGCTACATTTTACTTTGCCTGAACTACTCTGGCAACAGCAACTTGAATATTAGGAAATATTACATTTTACCTATGAGATATTTTTCACACCTTGGCTTTCTCCATTCCTATAACAATAATTGCAGCAAGGCATGTGTAGAAGCTCAAACTTGGGGATAGTGATGGTGATGAGAAATCTATATAGGGGTTAAAATTTTATGGTACTACACATGCACATACATTTCACATAAAACCCATGAAAACAAAACGATATTATTTAGTGAAGACATTGCATCAATGTCAGTTGACTGGGTTTGATGATCTGTGATAGTTAAGTTAGATGCTTTTATTGGAGAAAGCTAAGTGAAGGATACACAGGAACTTTATCATTTTTGCAATAATTTCTGTGTCTTAAAAAATTATCTTAAAAGAAAAAGTTAAAAACCCTTAATGAAATGCATGATGGTTTCGTTTCTACCCGTTTGAATCAGAGAAGAGGAAAATGTGAAATCATTTTATTTTAAGATTTGTTCAACTAGAGGAGCACTGAGTGGATCAGTCTCTCTGGACAATGGCCAGAAGTGACCAGTAAAAATCAATCCTGTAGACTTCTGCATTCACAGTATATATTTGGTCTTTCAATCACTTGAATGGGATCAGGGTAAATTCTAAAGCTCATTCGATGTTTGCAATGAACTGATATAGCCAATTCTCAATACTCTCAGCAGTGATTTTATAAAACCACCAAAAACACTGAATTAGCAAAGACTGAACCTTGGTACTTTGAGAAATATGAGATTAGGTTCCTGTTAGGGTCTAGTCACATTTTCATCAAATAATCAATACATAGCCTTGTTTTAGGTGTGTGTCTGTTTAAAGCACATTATTAAATAGATATTTATGACTTCTTTTTATTGAACTCATGTCCAACAACTATAACTCCTGCCTGAATACCTGACAGAAGCTTCTCTAACATACGTATTTTCTCTATAAACAACATCACAACCTTCTTGCACTTAGAAGAACTAGACAGCACTCAGGCGTTACACTTGGGGGTCTTTTTAAAAAGCAAAATTACCAACAGGAAGAGGTTACATTTTGCAAAATTGCAAAAAGCATGACATTCAATAGACCACAAAAAGACGTGTGTTTACAGTATGAGTTGAAATAAAAAGGTAGAGCTCGTCCTAGCTCAGCTGGAACTGTGCAAGTCAAGTGCAAAGGAAATGTGCACATGGGTGGCACCTTCCAATTTTTTATTGCTCAAATTTCCATTAAAATGCAATGAGTATTTAATTGGGGCTACAAAGGGATTAGAGCAAGTACTTGAATTTGCAAAGAGAGAATCTGTGAGCAATGAAGATTGACTCTACTTAGGTAATCCGCAAAAGACCTTGGTCTCTGGCATTCACAACCTTGTTTATACCATTCTGCTGGACCAGAGTAGCACTGGGATATAGTTTATCCAACCCTATGTGGCCGAAGGTGACTGCACTCATCCTGGGTTTAAAAAGGACTGAAAATTTCTGCTTTGTGACATGGGATAAGTCACCCTACAACTACTTTGAGGCAGCTATATTGACAGAAGCCTGAATGGCCCTTATGGAGGAGAACCAAGGACAGTCAACAGCAATACTGAGCTCTTGATCTTCAGACAGCATTTCTCTGCCATGCCAACACATAAGGCCATCTTGGGAGTAGAATGCTTTAGTCACACACAGATGTATCTGCTTATGTCCCAGAAAGCAGAGCAGTGCTATGTCTACCAAAGTTTTCTAGGTGTCAGGATCCCAAACAGATGACTGAAATGGGCATAGTCATAGCCCATTTTCAGCTGTTCTTTCACTACCTGATACACAGCTTGCTACTATGAGATGGTTGCCTTGGCTTCTAAGACTGTTTACTCAAATTCCACTTGTTTTGAAATGCAAATGTGCACCTTCCCAATGCAAGGGATCTCTTCCAAGAATTAAAGAAACTAAACAGGATGCTACCCTTCAGCTCTCCTGAAATGTCTATGACCAATTTCAAACATCAATCACAGTCACTAGGAGGTTCTATATTTTCCTAAGCCTGTTTTTTGCCATTGTCTACTTTGTTTTTGAAACAGCTATGTTATGCATCTGGGAGAGACTAACAAGGGTTATGTTTTGGCTGAATATTTATTATTTAGTGTTGCTAGTCAAATTATTTCTTACAAGGTTATGTCCAGGTGGAAGAAAGGTAAATATTGACAGAATGTGATGTTAAACACTTACTCTATGACCTGAAGGTCAATCAACCCAAAGTATATTAGTAACAACAATTTTTCATTTATATATATGGCCTCTCAACATCCTGGAAGGTAAATGACCTGAAATAGGTAAATGATCTGAAATAAATAATAGTATACATGATGTATAGATGGATACTTCTTGTGTTTACCTAAAAAAAGGTGGTGAACACACAAGTTTATTTGCATCCCCAAGACAGAGCCCCATATGGCCCCAGTGGGCCTACAATGGGTGGGTCTGGGCAGAGCAGCCCCAAATCTGTTAAACAAGAAATGAAACTTAATCACAAGCGTGCCATGATGGTGATAAACAATGTCTACCTAACTCTCTAGGGCTCCATGATTAGATATTTAAGTTGGGAAC
Source organism: Homo sapiens (assembly GCF_000001405.40). Classification (NCBI taxonomy): domain Eukaryota; kingdom Metazoa; phylum Chordata; class Mammalia; order Primates; family Hominidae; genus Homo; species Homo sapiens. Next base: position 19,150,493 of record NC_000024.10, read on the forward strand.
AAACTATGCATTACCTATAGTTGGAATGAATTTTTAAGCTCATTAGTTAAGTGATAACTCCAGGAATGTTCTGCCACATGTCTGTAGGGTGTCTAGGGATTTTTAGCACAGCACAATTCCCAAAAGAAGACTGGTAATAACATCAGAAACCATGCTTCTAAGGGAAGTCTGCAGAGGGAGAGAAGTAGGAGTTGTTTGAATGAACGCACCAGAACATTCAAATTGTCAGTTGTTCTGGAGACAGAAATAATAGAAAGCCACCTTCAATACATGACATGTCAGTATGAGCGAAGTGAACTGAAAATGTAATGTGCAATTAGTTTTATTTTTTTGCCTAACGATGTGAATAGAAAGTCATTTCTACCAGGAGGACTTTTACCTTCTTCCACTTTTGCATGTTGTCTGGGTCAGAAATATTCATTTGGAACAAAGTAAACAATAATTTGCTGCTGTTGTCAGCAAACCAGATGCAAGAAAAGGGCAAGACACCATCTAGCAATCTCAAGAATACAATTATGCAGTTAGCAGAACTGAATAACTATTTTAAATAAATAAAAAATAAACATAACTCCTAATTCAGCCCAACCTTCCTAAAACTATACCTTTCTACCCCCTGGGAGGTACTGAGACACCTGAGAAGAACAGAATGGACGCTGATTTCTTGAGACTTTGACATCCTAGAATACTCTTGTTTTAATCCATTTGTGCTGCTATAACAAACTACTATAGACTGGATGGCTTAAACAACACACATTTATTGCTGACAGTTCTGGAGGCTGGGAGCCCAAGATCAAGGGGATGTGGCAAAATCTGAGTCTGATGGGGACCTTCTTTCTTTTCCATGGGTGGTGCCTTCTTACTGTGACTTCACATGGTAGAAGGGGGCAGGGGAACACTCTGGGATGCTCTCTTTAGAAGGGTGATAATCCTATTAATGAGGTTCCACCCTCATGACCTAACCACCTCCTAAAAGTTCACCTGTTAATACCATCACCTTGGGAGTTAAGTTTCAAGCTATGCATTTTGGAGGGACATATTCAGTAAATAGCAACTAAGTTTCCACTGCAAATAGACTAAAGTGGCCATTTAAGAGAGGGTGAGCCTTGCACAAACTTTTCCAAGCAGCCACGTGGGAGTATTCAGCAAGACGTTTTGATATGAAATTTTTTCATCTTTCTCCTAAGTGAAATTCAAATTTGTTAAAACTACCACAATAGATATTAAATAATAGAGAAGTGGTAAAGGTGAAGGTATTCTACGTAAAGTAACTGAGGTCTTGGCTGGGGGCAGTGGCTCACACTTATAATCCCAGCACTTTGGTGCTCCACACAAAGGTGTTTGGCATTTTGTAGCTGGAGCATATGACTCATGGCCAGGCTTTTTCCACCCATGGACAGCCTTCTAAGGAAGAATTCCTGCCTTCACTTCTGATTTTACATCAGAAATAAATAGTGTATGATTGTATGAGTTAGCTGCTGCCATGTAACAAATGATCACAGTCTTCGTGACTTAAAGCAACACACATTTACAATCTCACCATTCGCAGGCACAGTAAGTCTGGGTGTTCTGCTCACAGTCCCACAAGGCGGAAATCAACAGACGAACCATTTTATTTGAATTTTGAGTCCTCTCCTGAGCTCTGTGGCTATTATCAGGATTTGGTTCTTGGTGGTTGTTGGAATGAGGTTATCAGTCCATTTCCTGGCATAAGGCCCTCTTCATTAATGTGTTAATTTTCTTCTTTAAGGCAAAAAGGAGGATAATTTTTGTTGTTTGAAATCTCTTTGTCTTCTCTTGCCTTTTGTCTATAGAAGCACTTATTAAAAATTCACTTGATTAACTCAGGTCCATCCAAAATAACCTCCTTTTTCATTAACATAAAGTCATTTAATGAGCTATCTCAGTTACTTTGTTTTTTGTTTTGTTTTGAGATGAAGTTTTCCTCCTGTTTCCCAGACTGCAGTGCAATGGTGCAGTCTCAGTTCACTTCAACCCACCTCCTGGGTTCAAGCAATTCTCCTGCCTCAGCCTCCTGAGTAGCTGGGACTACAGGGTCCTGCCACCACGCTATGCTAATTTTTTAATATTTTTAGTAGAGATGAGGTTTTCCCTTGTTGGCCAGGCTGGTCTGAAGTTCCTGACCTCAAGTGATCCACCTGCCTCAACCTCCCAAAGTGCTGGGTTTATAGATGTGAGACACTGCACCCAGCCAAGACCTCAGTTACTTTGTGTAGAATACCTTCACCTTTACCATGTAATGTAATCTAAATACAGGAGTGACATTCATGCTATTTCACAGTCCTACCCAAATTCAAAGGGAGAAAATTAAACAGCGTGTCTGCATTGAAGGCAAGAATCTTGAGATCATTTTATTTTTCTTTCATTATAGATTCAGAAGTTACACTTGCAGTTTTGTTTCAAGGGAACCCACTCCTGATAATTCATGTGGTTCTTTTCTATTTTCCAGTCTGAGAAATAAAGGGAAAAAATACAAAAGAGAGAAATTTTAAAGCTGGGTGTCTGGGGGAGAAATCACATGTTGGCAGATTCTGTGATGCCCCCTGAGCCATAAAACCAGCAAGTTTTTATTAGTGATTTTTCAAAAGGGGAGGGAGTGTATGAATAAGGTGTGGGTCACAGAGGTCACATGCTTCACAAGGTAATAAAATATCACAAGGCAAATAAATGGAGTCAGGGTGAGATCACAGGACTGGGGCAAAATGAAAATTGCTAACGAAGTTTGGCCTAGACATGCATTCTCTTTCTCAGTGTTGTTCCTTGCTGAGAAAAATAATTCAGTGATATTTCTCCTATTTGCTTTTGAAAGAAGAGAAATATGGCTCTGTTCCACCCTGCCCACAGGCAGCCAGACTTTGTCACCCTTGTTCCCTGAACATTGATTTTATCCTGTTCTTAAGGTGCCCAGATTTGATATTGTTCAAACAAACATGCTCTATGAACAATTTGTGCAGTTAAGGCAATCATCACAGGGTCATGAGGTGACATTCTTCCTCAGCTTATGAAGATGACAGGATTAAGAGAATAAAGTAAAGACAGGCATAGGAAATCACAAGAGTATTGATTGGGGAAATGATGAATGTCCATGAAATCTTCACAATTTATGTTCAGAGATTGCAGTAAAGGCAGGTGTAAGAAATTATAAAAGTATTAATTTGAGGAACTAATAAATATCCATGAAATCTTCACAATTTATGTTCTTCTGTCATGGCTTCAGCCAGTCACCCATTCATGATCCCTGACTTCCTCTAACAGTCAGATGCAGGGTTTGGGTTTCTGTTGAATCCACCATGCAAATAGTGAACCTAGTACCCAATAGGACATTTTACAGCCTTTGTTCCCTCCCTTCCTCACCCCTTTTGAATCCACCGCTTTTGAAGTTCATTGTTTCCATCTCTACACCCATGTGTATTCACTGTTTAGCTCCTACTTATAAGGGATAACATGTGATATTTGGGTTTTCTCTTTCTGCATTTATTCATTTAAGATAATGTCTACTAGCTGCATTCATGCTGCAGAAAAACACGTGATTTAATTTTTTTATGGCTGCACAATATTCCACGGTGTACATGCATAATATTTTCTTATGGAACAGAGCCATATTTCTCTTCTTTCAAAAGCAAATAGGAGAAATATCGCTGAATTATTTTTCTCAGAAAGAACAACACTGAGAAAGACAATGCATGTCTAGGGGTAAGCCTCTAAAATGGCCACTTTGGGGACATCGGCCTTTTATGGTTGTAGATAAGGGAGGAAATAAGCCCTGGTCTCCTGTAGTCCTTCCAGGCTTATTTGGGTGAGGAAATAACCACCTAACAAATTTTCATCAGACCAGTTGTCTGCTCTCAAATCCTTTCTCAATCTGCCATGATGGACACTTACGTTAGTTCCATGATTTTACTATTGTGAATAGTGCTGCAATAAACACATAAGTGTGTGTGCCTTTTTGATATAATTATTTTTTTCTCTTTGAGTAGATACCCAGTATTGGGATTGCTGGGTAGTTCCATTTTTAGTTGTTTGAGAAATCTCCATGCTGTTTTCCATATAGTTTACACTAATTTATATGCCCACCAGCAGTGTATAAAAGCTTGCTTTCCTTTGCAACCTAGTTAACATCTGTAATTTTCTGACATTTTAGTGATAGTCATACTATTTTATTTTGGTGTTAATTTGCATGTCTCTGATGATTAGTGATGGTGAGCATTTCTATATTTTTTGGACTGCTTGTGAGTCTTCTTTTTTAAAAAAATTTATTATTATTTTTAAAAGAGTCTTGCTCCTTCTCCCAGCCTGGAGTGCAGTGCCATGATATTGACTCACTGCAACCTCCAAATCCTAGGTTCAAGTGATTCTCCTGCCTTAGTTTCCTGAGTAGGTGGAATTAGAGACAAGTGCTGCCACACCTGGCTAATTTTTATATTTTTAGTAGAGACGGGGTTTCACCATGTTTGCCAGCCTGGTCTCAAATTCCTGACTTCGTGATCTGTCTGCCTTGGACTCCCAAAGTTTATGTAGTGTATGTCTCCTTTAAAGGAGTATGGGCCAGGCATGGTGGCTCATGCCTGTAGTCCCAGGAGGCTCCAGTGAGCTTTAGTCATGCCACTGTTCTCCAGCCTGAGCAAGAGAGTAAAACCCTGTCTCTAAATACATACATACATACATACATACATACATACATACATACATACATAAAATGTAGCCTGGGATGGTTTACAAAAATTTGGAAAAATTTTAGCCTGGAACAGGCCTAAGTTGTCACAAGCAATTCTCATAGGCAACTGGTACAGCACAGCATGCAGCACTCTGTAGGCAACAGTCTGTTTGTTTCTCTGCCCACTCTACGTAAAGATGTTTTAATGTGAGTTGCTGCAAAAGCTCTCAAAGATGCTGTCAACTCAATCACAAGCCATTGAGGGGTGAAGCCAGTTGGACTTCCTGGGTCTAGTGGGGACTTGGAGAACTTTTCTGTCTTACAAAAAAAGGACTGTAAAGTGAACCAATCAGCAGCTTCTAGCTAGGATGTAAAATGTACCAATCAGTGCTCTGTAGCTAGCAAGGGGATTGTAAAATTCACAAATCAGGGCTCTGTAAAAATACACCAATCAGCACTCTGTAACTAGCATTAGTATTGTAAATTGCACCAATAAGCACTCTGTAAAATGCACCTATTAGTGCTCTGTAAAACACACTAATCAGTGCTCTGTAAAATGCACCAATCAGCACTCTGTAAAACACACCCATTAGCAGGATCCTAAAAGTAGCCAATCGCAAGGTGTATTTAAAACAGGACATTGTGATAGGACAGAAATGGAACATGGGCAGGGATAAATAAGGGAATAAAGCTGGCCACCCCAGCCAGCAGTAGCAACCCACTTGGGTCCCCTTCCATGCTGTGGAAGCTTTGTTCTTTTACTCTTCACAATAAATCTTGCTGCTGCTCACCCTTTGGGTCTGTGCCATCTTTAAGAGTTGTAAAACTCACTGTGGAGGTTTGTGGCTCCATTCTTGAAGTCAGTGAAACCACAAATACACCAGAAGGAACCAACTTTGGACATACCATGATGCCCCCTTTTGGAGGCTTAGCTGGTCCTTCCATCTGAGGCTCCAAGTAAAAGAATATTTGTAGCTCTCTGATATCTCCTCCATCGTTAAATAAGCTAAAGTCTTCCCATAAAACTTACAGGTGAAGATAAAAGCCCTGGGCCTTTTTATTAATTTTCCTTTTCTAAACTCATGCAGATCCACAGACACCAGCATTTATGACTGTCATTTGCCCATAAGTTAAAAAGGAGACCCTGACTGGGTGCAGTTCCTCATGCCTAAAATCCCAGCACTTTGGTAGGCTGAGGCAGGTGGGTCACAATGTCAGAAGTTCAAGGCCACCCTGGCCAACATAGTGAAACCTTGTCCCTACAAAAAATACAAAAAATTATTGGGGCATCTTGGTGGCTGCCTGTAATCCCAGCTACTTGTGAGGCTGAGAGAGGAGAATGGCTTGAACCAAGGAGGCAGAGGTTATAGTGAACTGAGATAATGTCACTACACACCACCCCAGGCTACAGTATAAGACTCCATCTCAAAAAAAAAAAAAAAAAAAGCTAAAATAAAAGAGCAGATGCCTGCAGTCTGGACAACTTTCTCCAAAAAGAAGCCCTAGTATCGCTGTCCCTGATCTTTCTTTGAGAATAGAAAAGGAAACAAACCTCAGGCAATCGTCTAGAGTTGAGGTATTCACTTAACATACAAGCAGGAAATAAGAGCCTGACATTGACAGGAACAAACAACAGCTCCCTTTATAACTGTAATTATTATCCCATTTACACTGGGATGTGAATTCAACAAGAAAAAAGAAAACTCAGTAGGTGTGGTCAGGACAATTGCATCCCAAATACCCATTAAAGAACAGATGATAAAGTCTCTGTGGTTACATTTTGAGCATCTTTTGTCCTTGAAGAAGGATGACAAAACTCTCTTTTTTTTCTTTTTTTATTTTTAGTGGGATTCAGTTGGATTCCCTTTGTATCCCTCAAGGATCTCTCACATTTTAGGCTGAGGAAGGCCAGAGAAGAGAATGGAGAATTCCATCATCATAATTCCACAGAGAAAGACCAAGTTTCAGGATGTCTTCAGGTGGACAGTGTCCAGTGTGTCATAGATCTCAGGCTCTTACAAAGTGATGTGGGAGATCCCCAATACATGTCTCTTTTCTCCTGCTGCACCCCTTCCTACTGCTAATCTAATTAACCCATCTCTTATCCTCCCACTGTGAGCTTCACCTCTTCCTTCTACTCTGAGATAGGCTTCTAACTGTTTAGCTAATGTCTCTCTCCCCTTTCTCCATATTATCCAGAATTTAATTTTGTTTTAGGTCGTCTCAGTTTAAAGGCTACAACCCCACCCTCCTCTGTTACTATGAGATTTTGAATGGGGTCTGTTGGGTGGCGCCTCTGTGAAAGCTGTGAAAAACGAAGTGCATTTGGAGATTTCTCATAGAACTTAAAACAGAACTACCATTCAACCTAGCAATCCCATTACTGAATATATAACCAAAGGAAATAGGTTGTTTTACCAAAAATAACATGCATTCATGTGTTTATTGCAGTACTGTTCATATTAGCAAAGGCATGGATTTAACCTAGGTGCTTGTCAATTGCAGATTGAATGAAGAAAATGTGGTAGTTATACACCACATGAAATACCACAGCACCATAAAAAAATAAAATTAGGTTATTTGCAGCAACATCATTGCATTTGGAGGCCATTATCTTAGCCAAAGTAACACAATTCATGTTTCTTAGTGGGAGCTAAATATTGGCTACTCAGCAACATAAAGATGGGGACAATAGATACTAGGGACTACAAGTGTGGGATGGAAGAAAGGTTAATAAACTAACTAGTGGGTAATATGCTCAGTATCTGGGTTATTTGATCATCCCAAACCTTGGTATCAAAAACATACCTATGGAACAAACTGGCACATGTACTGCCTGAATCTAAAATAAAAGTTGAATTTTATTTCAAAAAAAAAGATACAGGAGGTGTAAGCCAAGATGGCCTAATAGGAAGAGCACCAGTCTGCAGCTCCCAGCATGATGGACACAGAAAAAGGGTGCTTTCTGCATTTCCAACTGAGGTAAGTGGTTCATCTCATTGGGACCAGTTGGACAGTGGGTGCAGCCCATGGAGGGTGAGCCAAAGCAGGGTGGGGCATCGCCTCCCTCAGGAAGTTCAAGGGGTCAGGGGATTTCCCTTTCCTAGCCAATGGAAGCTGTGAGAGACTACCTGGAAAAAGGGAACACTCCCACCTATATACTGTGCTTTTCCCAAGGTCTTAGCAACAGGCAGACACACTGATTCTCTCCTGTGCCTGGCTCAGTGACTCTCATGCCCACGGAGCCTTGCTCACTGCTAGCACAGCAGTCTGGGTTTGATCTGCGAGACAGCAGTCTAGCTGGGGGAGAGGCATCTGCCATTGCTGAGGCTAGAGAAGGTAAACAAAGTGACCAGGAAGCTGGAACTGGGTGGAACCCACCACAGCTCAACAAGGCCTACTGTCTCTAGACTCCACATCTGTGGGCATGGCATAGCTGAAGAAAAGGCAGCAGACAACTTCTGCAGACTTAAATGCACCTGTCTGATAGCTCTGAAGAGAGCAGTGGTTCTCCCAGCGTGGTGTTTGAGCTCTGAGAATGGACAGACTGCCTCCTCTGGTGGGTCCCTGTGTAGCCTATATAGGAGACAACTCACAGCAGGGGCAACAGACACCTCATACAGGCTGATGACCCTCTGGGATGAAGTTTTCAGAGGAAAGATCTGGCAGAAATATTTGCTGTTCTGCAATATTTGCTGTTCTGCAGCCTCTGCTGGTGATATCCAGGCAAACAGGGTCTGGAGTGGACCTCCAGCAGAATCCAACAGACCTGCAGCTGGGGGACCTGACTGTTAGAAGGAAAACTAACAAACAGAAAGCAATAGCATCTACATCAACAGAAAGCTTACCTATACCAAAATCCCATTTGTAGGTCACCAACACCAAGTACCAAATGTAGATAAAGTCACAGAGATGGGGAGAAATCAGAGCAGAAAAGCTGAAAAATCTAAAAATCAGAGTGCATATTCTCCTCCAAAGGCTCATGGCTCCTCATCAGCAACACGACAAAACTAGATGGAGAATGACTTTCATAAGTTGTTGGAAGTAGGCTTCAGGTCATTAATGACAAAATTCTCCAAGCTAAAGGAGGGAGAATGTTTGAACCCATCTCAAGGGAACTAAAAACCTTGAAAAAATATTAGATGAATGGCTACTATAATAAACAGTGTAGAGAAGACCTTAAATGACCTGAGGGAGCTGAAAACCATGAATTTCATGATGCATGCACAAGCTTCAGTGGCCAATTCAATCAAGAGGAAGAAAGTGTATCAGTGATTGAAGATCAAATTAATGAAAGAAAGTGAGAAAACAAGGTTAGAAAAAAAAGAGTAAAAAGAAATGAACAAGGCCTCCAAGAAATATGGGACTATATGAAAAGACCAAATCTAAATTTGGTTGGTGTACCTGAAGGTGATGGGGAGAATGGAACTTAGTTGGAAAACACTCTTCAGGATATTACCCAGGAGAACTCCCCCAACTTAGCAAGGCAGGCCAGCATTCAAATTCAGAAAATACGGGAAACACCACAAAGATAATCCTCAAGAAGAGCAACCCTAAGACCCTTAATTGTCAGATTCGCCAAGGTTGAAATGAAGGAAAAAGTTTTAAGGGCAGCCAGAGAGAAAGGTCAATGTTACCACAAAGAGAAACTGATCAGAATAACAGAGGATCTCTCAGCAGAAACCCCACAAGCCAGAAGATAGTGGGGGCCAATTCAACATTCTTAAAGAAAAGAAATTTTAACATAGAATTTTATACCCAGCCAAACTAAGCTTCAAAAGTGATGGAGAAATAAAATCCTTTACAGACAAGAAAATGCTGAGAGATTCTGTCACCACCAGGCCTGCCTTACTAAAGCTCCTAAAGGAAGCATTAAACATGGAAAGAAACAACCAGTACCAGACACTGCAAAAACAGGCCAAATTGTAAAGATCATTGATGCTAGGAAGAAACTGCATCAATTAATGGGCAAAATAACCAGCAGACATCATAATGACAGTATCATATTCACAAATAACAATATTTACCTTAAATGTAAATGGGCTAAATACCCCAATTAAAAGACAAAGACTGGCAAATTGGATAAAAAGAGTCAACATCCATCAGTGTGCTGTATTCAGGACACCCATCTCATGTGCAAAGATGAAAATAGGCTCAAAACAAAGGGACAGAGGAAAATCTACCAAGCAAATGGAAAGCCGAAAAAGCAGGGGTTGCAATCCTAGTCTCTGATAAAACAGAAAAGATCAAAAGAGAAAAAGAAGGTCATTACATAATTGTAAAGGGATAAATTCAACAAGATGAGCTAAGTATCCTAAATATATATGCATCCAATACAGGTGCACCCAGATTCATAAAGAAAGTCCTTAGAGACCTATAAAGAGACTGAGACTCCCGCACAATAATAATGGGCGACTTTAACACCTCACTTCAGTATTAGACAGATCAATGAGACAGAACCTTAATAAAGATATCCAGGACTTGAACTCAGATCTGCATCAAGCAGAACTAATAGACGTCTACAAAACTCTCCACATCCTTCTCAGCACCACATCACACTTATTCTAAAATTGACCACATAATTGGAAGTAAAGAACTTCTCAGCAAATGTAAAAAAACAGAAATCACAAAAAACTGTCTCTCAGACCACAGTGCAATCAAATTAGAACTCAGGTTAATAAACTCACTCAAAACTTCACAACTACCTGGAAACTGAACAACTTGCTCCTGAATGAATACTGGGTAAATTATGAAGGCAAGGCGGAAATAAACATGTTTCTTGAAACCAATGAGAACAAAGACACAATGCGTCAGAATCTCCGGGAAATATTCAAAGCAGTGTGAATATGAGGGAATAGAGGGAAAAGAGTGAATAGAGGGAAAATCTGATACCCTAACATCACAATTAAAAGAACTAGAGAAGCAAGAGCAAATAAATTCAAAATGTAGCAGAAGGAAAGAAATAACTAAGATCAGAGTAAAACTGAAAGAGATAGAGACACACACACACAAAAACCATTCAAAAAATTAATGAATTTAGAAGCTGGTTTTCTGAAAAGATCATCAAAATTGCCAGACCACTGAGAAGACTAATAAAGAATAAAAGAGATAAGAGTCAAACAGATGCAATAAAAAATGATAAAGTGGTATCACCACTGATCCCACAGAAACAAACTACAATCAGAATACTATAAACATCTCCACACACAAAAAAAATTAGAAAATCTAGAAGAAACGGATAAATTCCTGGAAACATACACTCTCCCAAGACTCAACCAGGAAGAAGTTTAATCTCTTAATAGACCAATAACAGGCTCTGAAATTGAGGCAATAAATTAATAGCCTACCAACTAAAAAGTTCATAACCAGACAGATTCACAGCTGAATTCTACCAAAGGTACAAAGACGAGCTGGTACCATGTCTTCTGAAACTATTCCAATCAATAGAAAAAGAGGGAATCCTGCCTAATTAATTTTATGAGTCCAACATCATCCTGATACCAAAGCCTGGAAGAGACAAAACAACAGAAAAAGAGAATTTCAGATGAATAACCCTGATGAACATAGATGGAAAAATCCTCAATAAAATACTGGCAAACCAGATCCAGCAGCACATTGAAAAGCTTATCCACCATGATCAAGTCAGCTTCATCTCTGGAATGCAAGGCTGGTTCAACATACAGAATAAATAATAGCACTCCAACACATAAACAGAACCAATGACAAAAACCACATGATTATCTAAATAGACACAGAAAAGCCCTTTGACAAAATTCAACAGCCCTTCATGCTAAAAACTCTCAATAAACTAGGTATTGATGGAATGTATCTCAAAATAAGAGCTATTTATGACAACCTCAGAGCCAACATCATATTGAATGGGCAAAACCAGAAGCTTTTACTTTGAAAACTGGCACAAGACAGGGATATCCTCTCTTACCACTCCTATTCAACATAGTGTTGGAAGTTCTGGCCAGGTCAATCAAGCAAAAGAATGAAATGAAGTGTGTTCAATTAGGAAATGAGGGAGACAAATTGTCCCTGTTTACAGATGACATGATTGCATATTTAGGAAACCCCATTGTCTCAGCTCAAAATCTCCTTAAGTGGTTAAGCAACTTCAGCACAGTCTCAGGATACAAAATCAAAGTGCAAAAATCACAGGAATTACTACAAACCATTAACAGACAGAGAGCTAAATCGTGGGTGAACTCCCATTCACAATTGCTACAAAGAGAATAAGATACCTAGGAATGCAACTTGCAAGGGATGTGAAGGACCTCTTCAAGGAGAATTACAAACCATTGCTCAACAAAATAAAAGAACACACAAACAAATGGAAGAATATTCCATGCTCATGGATAAGAATAATTAATATTGTGAAAATGGCCATACTGCCCAAAGTAATTTATAGATTCATTGCCATCCCCATCAAGCTACCAATGACTTTCTTCACAGAATTGGAAAAAACTACTTTAAAGTTCATATGGAACCAAAAAGAGCCCGAATTGCAAAAACAATCCTAAGCAAAAGGAACAAAGCTAGAGGTATAACTCTACCTGACTTCAAATTATACTATGTGACTACAGTAACCAAAAGAGCATGGTACTGACACCAAAACAGATATATAGACCAACAGAACAGAACAGAGACCCCAGAAATAACACCACACATCTAAAACTGTCTGATCTTTGACAAATCTGACAAAAACAAGCAATGGGGAAAGGATTCCTTATTTAATAAATGGTGCTGGGAAAACTGGCTAGCCTATGTAGAAAGCTAAAACTGGATCCCTTCCTTACACATTATACAAAAATTAATTCAAGATGGATTAAAGACTTAAATGTTAGACCTAAAACCATAAAAACCCTAGAAGAAAACCTAATCAATATCATTTGGGACATAGGCATGGGCAAGGACTTCATGTCTAAAACACCAAAAGCAATGGCAACAAAAACCAAAATAGACACATGGGATATAATTAAACTGAAGAGCTTCTGTATGGCAAAAGAAACTACTATCAGAGTGAACCAGCAAGCTACAGAATGGGAGAAAAGTTTTTAAATCTACCCATCTGACAAAGGGCTAATATCTAGAATGTACAAAGAAACAAAAAAATTTACAAGAAAAAAACAAACAACCTGATCAAAAAGTGGGCAAAGGGTATTAACAGACACTTTTCAAAAGAAGACATTTATGCAGCCAAGAGACATGTGAAAAAAATGCTCATTATAACTGGTCACCAGAGAAATGCAAATGAAAACCGCAATGAGATACCATCTCATGCCAGCTAGAATGGCGATCATTAGAAAGTCAGGAAACAACAGATGCTGGAGAGGATATGGAGAAATAGGAACCTTTTACACATTTGATGGTAGGGTAAATTAGTTCAACTATTGTGGAAGACAGTGTGGTGATTCCTCAAGGATCTAGAACTAGAAATGCCATTTGATCCAGCAATTACATTACTGGGTATATACCCAAAGGATTATAAATTATGCTACTTTAAAGAAACATGCACAAGTACATTTACTGTGGAACTGTTCACAATAGCAAAGACTTGGAACCAAACCAATGTTCCTCAATTATAGAGTGGATTAAGAAAAAGTGGCACATATATACCATGAAATACTATGCAGCCATAAGAAAGAATGAGTTCATGTCTTTTTCAGGGACATGGATGAAGATGGAAACCATCATTCTAAGGAAATTATCACAAGGACAGAAAACTAAACACCGCATTTTCTCACTCATAGGTGGGAATTGAACCATGAGAACATATGGACACATAGCAGGAAGCATAACACACTGGGGCCTGTCAGGGGGTGGGGGCCTGGGAAAGGGATAACATTATGAGAAATACCTAATATAAATGATGTGTTGATGGGTGCAGCAAACCAACATGGCACATGTATACCTATGTAACAAACCTGCATGTTGCACACATGTGCCCTAGAACTTAGGGTATAATAAAAAATAAATAAATAAATAAATTCAGGATTGAATGAAAAGGTCCCAGATGGCTATTCAAAAATTGATGTGCTCCATGGTTATAAAAATAATGTAGAGATATGTCAGGATGGTATGTATACCTCACTCGGTTTTTTCCAAAAGTCTTCACCAAAATAAAAATATGGAAGTACACATAAGTGAAAGAAGGGTGTTGGTATGGATGATAGATTATTCAAAATCAGAAATTTGTACTGTAATCTGATCAAAAGAAAGATGAAATCAGTTAATCTAAACCTGTGGTGTTCACACTGTTTTTTATTATGTTCAATAGCTAAACATTTTGAGTTATACTCACTATGCATTCAATTATAATTGCCAATTCATACGTTACCAATTAATAAATTTCATGTTCTCCCATTTAATAAATGAAATCAATAAAAGTACAAGTTCTATGTAATCCCAGTACTTTGGGAGACTGAGTGGGTTGATCATTTTACATTAGTACCTCCAGACCAGCCTGGCCAACATGGTGAAACCCTGTCTCTACTAAAAGTACAAAAATTAGCCAGGCATGATGGCATGCACCTGTAATCCCTACTACTCAGAAGGCTGAGGCAGGAGAATCTCCTGAAGCCGGAAGGCAGCGGTTGCAGTGAGCCCAGATCTCACCACTACCCTCTAGGCTTTGCCACGAAGCCAGACTCCATCTCAGAAAAAAACAAAAAACAAAAACAAAAAAACCAAAATAACAACAACAAAAAACCCAACAAGTTCTAATATTTTTCTGTAGCCAAACACCCCTTTCTTTATAAACCTCTCATCCAGAAGAGTCTATGAAGAAAAAGAGGAGATATCAGCTCAAATGCAACATTAAGGCTGCATTTACACAGCCAAGAGACAGATCATTCCAACCTCCAAAACACCCCAAGCATCATGGGCCTCTGGAAATGGAGGAACCAAGCATCAGGACATTTTGCTCCCTCAGGCCAAGGTGTCAAGTCCTAACTTGATTAAAATTTGTGTAGTCTCAAAAGTTTTATTTATCTCCCTGAATACAAACTATGCTCTCCTCACCCTACTTTTGAGCCTGCACCTATAGATATTCCATCATGTATATTTCAACAGTTTTCTTGGCACCACTTAGTGCTCGTACCGAAAATGAAATAGAAAGAGCTGGAGCCATTCACCCATCCTTCTCTGAACAGATGCCTGATTTCTCCAACAATGGGACTCAGAATCTACTCTGGTGCATCTCCTTGTGTATCAGAGAACCATTAGTTGAGTTGCTTGATAAAATCAGGATTACTGTGGTCCGTCCCCAGCCTCATTAATCTCTGGGCTGTGGTGTGCCCCACAACCCCAACAGTATCCCGAGGTGATCACTTCTCCGTTTCTTTTCTTTTCTTTTCCTTTCCTTTCTTTTATTTTCTTTTTATTACTTTTCTTATTTTTAGTAGAGATGGGATTTTACCTTGTTGGCCAGGATGGTCTTGAACCCTTAATCCTAAATGATTTGCCAATCACAAGTTCCCAAAGTGTTGGCATTACAGGTGTGAGCCACTGGGTCCTGCCTATGTCAATGTTTGTAGTTGAAAATAATTGCAAATATCTGTGGTGAAAAACATGATGTTTTAAAAGACATATCTATAGTAGAATGGCTAAATCAAGCTACTTAGCATATGCATAATCTCACATTCTGATCTTTTTTTGTTAAAATCTACTCAGTTAGCAATTTCCATACATATAAACATCATTAATAACTATATTCACCATGTGGTGCAATAGTTAATTCACCTGTCATATTCACATGTAATAGAACATGATACTATAAAAATAATAAACATTAGAATTTGGAGAGGACAGCAGAAAATGTTGTATTTTAGATAAATTGAATAGATCACTGCATTTGATGTCAGAGGTTAATAACTTGGGTCAGACAGATAATCTTCTGTGTCTGCCCTCCACAAATTGGGTGAACAGAGAGTCAGGAAACAACCTCCCCAAGGAACAGATTCTCCATCTGAAAAGTGGAGAAAAGAATAATAGAAACTTGGATACTCTTAGTCCAGAGAATCTGGGAGATCAACAGAAGTTTACCCTACCTGGGTGCAGTGGCTCACACCTGTAATCCCAACACTGTGGGAGTCCAAGGCAGGAGGATGACTTAAGCCCAGGAGTTCAAGACCAGTCTGGGCAACATGGTGAGAACCCATTTCCACAAAAGTTTTAAAAAATTACCTGGGGATGGTGGTGCATGCCTGCAGTCCCAGCTACTCAAGAGGCTGAGACAAGAGGATTGCTTGAGTCCATGGGGTTGAGGCTGCAGTGAGCTATAATTGCACCACTGCACTCCAGCCTTGGTGACAGAGCAAGACTGTCTCTGAAAACAACAACAACGACAAAGCTTACCCTTGTTTAGTACTGGTGAAGATTATCATGGTGACAAGTTGAGTTTAGGGAGTTGAGAGAGGTACTTCTATAAATGGAAACTAAAATATAAAAATTATTGTGTTAGGCCGGGCGCGGTGGCTCATGCCTGTAGTCCCAGTACTTTGGGAGGCCGAGACAGGTAGATTACGAGGTCAGCAGGTTGAGACCATCCTGGCTAACACGGTGAAACCCCGTCTCTACTAAAAATACAAACAAAAAAAAAGTTAGCCAGGTGTGATGGAGGGCGCCTGTATTCCCAGCTTCTCAGGAGGCTGAGGCAGGAGAATGGCATGAACCCAGGAGGTGGAGTTTGCAGTGAGCCGAGATTGTGCCACTGCACTCCAGCCTGGGTGACAGAGCAAGATTCTGTCTCAAAAAAAAAAAAAAAAAAAAAAAAAAAAAATTCTTGTGTTATCAGTCTTATCACATTTTATTTTTATATTATTTCATTCTGATAAAATAGGATAGTGGGATATGGGGGATTTATTTTTTCTTTTTTTTCCCCTTTTATTTCATTTGCTTCTTAAAGAGGTTTCATTTTTTGTTGCTGCTTTTAAAAGGACTTTCCAGATCAGGAATCAATATAGCCCATTTATTAAAAAGTTTGTAGGCATGGTGATGTGCACCTGTAGTTCCAGCTACTCAGGATGTGGGAAAGAGGGTTTATGGAGTGACAGTTGAGTTGGTCTCCCCTGTGTGAGACATCCGTGGGGAGCCACGGGCAGCCTCTGAGGAGAAAAGTCTCCCTATTAAGCCTTCATGTTTTATGCTCCGAGAGCATAAGTGCTCAGCAGCATTCCCAGGTTGCTCAGGGAGATAACACTCCCTTGAAGCATTGCAGCATAATCAAACACCTTGGCTCCTCCTGAAACTCATTCCCACACATTTCAGTCCCAATACGTTAAAGATCTTAAATAGTTTAGACACATGCCGTTGTTCAAGGAAATTCATAGAAACCGCCACTGCTATACATCTTATCGAATGACTCACGAGTTCTCCTTCACTGATTAATCCTTTTTCTCATCCCTTCCTCCCCCTCCCATCTGCCTTAAGAACAAAGAGCTTATAAACCAATACATTGGGCAGAGCCCGAGAGCTCAGGGCCGTGTTGAAGCCTCCGATGCTCTCATCCCCTGGACCTGCCTTTTAAATGCTTATTCTGTCTCTTTCTAACTCCTTTGTCTCTGCTGGACACAGGGTAGGCGCTGTGTGGTGTGGGTCTGGTTTCCCCAACACAGGAGGCTGAGGTGGCAGGATCACTTGAGCCAAGGAGGTAAAGACCAGCCTGAGCAACATAAGAAACCCCAACTCTCAAAATATTTAAAAATCAGCCAGGAATGATGATGTCCCTGTGTTCCTTGCTACTTGGGAAGCTGAGGTGAGAGGATTGCTTGAGCTTAGGATTTATAGCCTGCAGTCAACCATGACCTGTCAACCAACTCCAGTCTTGTTGACAGAGTGAGAACACATCTGTAAAAAAAAATTTAATGTTTTATAAAGCTCCTATATGATCTTGTAGTTTCCGGCAGGTCTGCACAAGTCATGAGTCATTCTCCAGTCAAGCGAGGCTTGCCTTGAGTCAAGGGTTCAGTCCTGATCCTTCCAGCTCCAGATTTCCGTGAGTGTCAGAGGTTGGGGACAGGATCATACAATGGGCATGTGAAAGGGAAATAAATCTTAGGGCCCTCAAATCACTAAACTAAAGGGAAAAGTTATGCTGGGAAGTGCTTAGGGAAAACTTTCCTCCCATTATATTCAATAACTGCTCTGATCACTGAGATAAATGCATATCCGACTGTGTGCTTTGAAAAAGCTAATCATCTCAAAAGAATTTACCTGGCTGTTTCGCAATTACCTTTTACCTGGAAGCCCGTCCCGGCTTCAAGTTGTCCCGCCTTTCCAGAAGGCACCAATGTATATCTCCCTAAAATGTAGAAAACCAAGCTATGCCCTGATCATGTTGGGCCCACCATCAGGACCTCCTGAGGCTGTGACATGGGGTGCATCCTCAATCATGGCACCTGGTGACCTGTGCCAGATATTTGGGCTTCACTGGTAATAGAATAGGGAAGGTTGGCATTTTCCTTGTTGAAAGTAAGATGTATCTTCTAGTATCACATGCAGCTCCCAGCTGATTCTCCTTGGGATAACTGCCTTGGAGGTAACTGATTCAAGGATAATTAAATAATGTATGTTAGTCAAACATACTTCTGCTTTATCCAAATTCCCACCACTGTTGCCTCTACAAAAACTCTGTCAATTCCAATATGTATCATTACAGGTTTAGTTATTTTTTGAAACTCTTCCCCTGTTAGCTGTTTGCTAATACAAATACCTACCAGGTGAGTTTCCTTGGTTTTTGTCCTTTACACACTAGAACCAGATTGCACATTAAGAACAAGTCAGAATTATCTTCTAATTCATAGATGGTTGATGGTTACCAAAAACAATTGTGTTCTATAGGTTCACCCATAGAGACAGCAGGTAGATGAGTCATTTTGAGGGACTGGCTGAGGGAGTGATGTGAGACTAATTAGTGGTATGTGGGCTCCTTTTATGGTGACAAAATGTTTTCAAACTAGATAGACATCATCATTGCCCAACATTTTCAATGTACAACATATCACTAAATTATACACTTTAAAATCACTTTATGTTACATTAATATAAAGTTTTTAAAAAGAAATTACATTCTAAATCGTAAAAATTTTATTCAAGGCAGGCCATATTGAGCATAAAACCATCAACATTTTGCCTCACCATTTTTACCCTGACTGTCTCCTTGAGTCATTCATAAGTTCAATATTCTGTAATTAATTGGTAGACACAATAACAGACTGCAAAACAGCAGGACTTGGGGAGGAGCCAGGATTTCCACCTGCACCACTGGCCAAAAAATCTGACTGAGGACTGACTCAGTCAGAAATCAGGGTCCCATCACAACAAAGTCACTGGAATAGTCAGAGGTCTTTGAGTCAGAGCAACTTCATCTTGAAGAGTAACAGGGTAAAATGAGGCTGAGATCTACTGGGTTGTATTCTCTGGAGGCTAGGCATTCTAAGACACAAAATGAGATAGGAGGTCCCCACAAGATATGGGTCATAAAGTCCATTCTGATAAAACAGTTTGCAGTAAAAAAGCCGGCCAAAACCCACGTATTGGAACAACTAAGTTCCTCTTCAAAGACTCAACTTTCTGGTAATAAATTGTAAACTAATCCTACCCTGTATTCTTTCAAAAATCATGTGTTTACCCTGTCTGGAAAAATTTAAGTCTTAGCTAATTGGGATCAGCTTAGATTGTGTGGCCTAAACCCAGTCAATAGGGGAAGGACACAGAAACATGAACTGTGTTAGGAATATAAACCCTTTCTGTCCTTTGTTTGGTGTGCTTTTGTGATTGCATCATGTGTAAGCAGCACCCTTCTGGAGAAGTAAATTTGCCTTACTTAGAAATTTTCTGTCTAAGTATGGGTTTCTTTTGGCTATGCTGAGCCTTTGTTTCCAACAAATTTAGGGAATCATCTGGGATATTATTCTCCTTCAAAAGTCACTATCAATTATCGTTCATGTGGAGATGCATTTTACTACTTCATTATGGTGGCCCGGGAGCAGAGGATTGAGTCTGGCCCAAAGTGATGAATAAATCTGGACTCTCAGCAATGTGGACATTAGGGAGAATACTTAATTAAGAATTCCACAGTTACTAGGTAACTCTGTGCACAGACCAAAGTAATAAATGTCACTATTGGGGTGACAATCTATTCCTTGGTGGTTGGGTCTCTGGAGGTTGAAAGTATGTGAGTGAGATGCAACATTGGGTGTGAAGTGAGTGTGGTGTTTGGACTTGGTTCTGTTGTCATCTCATACAGCTTAGGGCAGTTTCCCAATTGGGAGATTATACCAACCTGCCATTGCTAACTTCAGCCTAAAATTCCTTTGTGGGAATGAGGGAAGTGGACAATAAGGATGAAGTGAGTGCTCACAAGAGTGCAAAAAACCTCCAGGAGGAAAAGTGGAGGTTGAGCCACTAGGACATGTGAGTGGAAGAAATCACTAATATGAGAGATTGAACCTCACAGAAGAGCAAGAAATCTGTAACACGAGAGATTGAGTCTCATGGGAGTGCAAGAATTCTATAATATGAGAGATTGAGTCTCCCCAACCTCCAGAATTGGAAAAACTCCAAGTAAGACAGGAATTCTAAGATACAAAGCAAATAATCAAATTCCCCCTGACAGTCCCCTAGGCCTTATGTTAAAATACTAGAAGGATAATGAAAGGACCAAACACAAGAAAAGACAGCAAATTAAAGTACTGCTGTTTTATTTGGACTAAGGAACCCATCCCACCTACCTGTCTGCCCCAGGCTGAACACTCCCTCCCTGATGTAACACTGCCCCATGAACCTTGACACCCCCACTGGCCAACAGGAAATAGAACTATACCAAAAGGATACTCAAAATTTTTCTTTCCCCTCTTCCTCAAAGAAGAATACCACAACCTTTTTTCATTAAGTGAAGTACCACTAGGAGGAGGTGATAATGGCTTTGTAAATGCCTCCTTAACTAGTTCAGAGTTTAGTTTAGTTTAGAAATCTAAAAAAAAAAAGGAGGGGACTCAAATATCTGTTAGATGACCCTTTTGGAATTGCAGATCAAATTGACCAATTTCTGTGGTCAAGACTGTACATGTGGGCTGACTTAATGTCTATTCTAGGTATTCTCTTATCAGGAGAGGAAAAAAAAACATTACCCACATTGCCACTATGCTAATCTGGGAGTGCTAGTGTCCCCTGGTCAAAATATCCTTACAGTGGGGCATAAACTCCCAGCCCAGCATCCTCAATGGAATAATAACAATGCAGACCAGTGAGAAAACATAAGAGATCTCAGAAATATGATAATTAAAGGGATTTGGGAGTCAGTTCCTCAAACCCAAATTATTTCTCAAGCACTTAATGTATAGCAAGGAAAACATGAAGGGCCCATGGATGACTTAAACAGACTTAAGAAACAGATAAAAATGATATGCAAGTTTGGACATAGAAAATCCACTGGGTCAAGGGATGTAGAAACTCCTCTTTGTCCCCAATAGCTGTCTGGATATTACAAAGAAATTACTAAAAATAGAAAATTAAAAAGACCATTCCATAGAGAAACTTTTAAAAGAGGCCCAAAAGCTATATATATGGAGGGATGAGGTAAGTCAAAAGCAAAAGGCAAAAATTATGCTGTCCACCCTACAACATTCAACAGAGAACACTTCAACAGGGAGCACAGGAAAATAGAACTTGTAAACCTTCTAAGTAACCAACTGCCAGACCCTATACAGGAAGCCAAGGTATGAAACCCAAGAGTCAGGAAACAGGAAGGGGAAAATAAAAAAACAGACAATTCAGGTTTGGAAAAACCAGGACACTTTAAAAGCAAATGTTCCAAATGAAAAAGAAGAAATAAGGCCCTTTCATAAAAGGGCCAGGACATATATATCCATCCCTCAATCCATGTGAGTGCCCCTCATCAACTCAGAACCATTGTTAACCAGAAGGCAGGGAGATGGCTCATTGACTTAAGAATCTTACAATATGAAGCTATCTTATTAAAGAGAGATGACCTAACACAAACCACTAACAATTCCCTAAACCTCACTGCTTTCCTAATAGGAAATCCAAACCTGGAGGAATGTGAGCATAAATGCTTAGATCTAATCAGGTATCAAACTAGAGTCAGATGGGATGTGAGTGAAACCTCCTTCCAAACAGGGTGTCACCTCTTTATAGATGGTTCCTCCTGGGTCACTGAAGGAAAAAGGCTAAAAGGGTACTCTGTAGTTGAGGAAGAAACCCTCACAGATGTAGAATCAGGAAGACTGTCAAATAACTGGTCTGCCAAAACATGTGAACTCTTTGCGTTAAACCCAGCCTGAAAATTCCTGTAGCAGGCAGTTCCAAGATGGCTGAATAGGAAGCGCTCCAGTGTACAGCTCCCAGCATAAGTAAAGAAGAAGATGGGTGATTTCTGCATTTCCAACTGAGGTACTGGGTTCATCCCACTGGGGCTTGTTGGACAGTTGGTGCAGGACAGTGGGTGCAGCCCGGCAAGCATGAGTCAAAGCAGGAAAAGGTATCACCTCACCCAGGAAATGCAAAGGGTCAGGGAATACCCTTTCCTAGCCAAGGGAAGCTGTGACAGACAGCACCTGCAAAATTGGGTAACTCCCAACCCAATACTGGACTTAGCAATGGTCTTAGCAATGGTCTTAGCAACTGGCACACCAGGAGATTATATCCTGTGCCTGGCTCTGAGGGTCCCATGCCCACAGAACCTCACTCATTGCTAGCACAGCAGTCTGAGACCAAAGTGCAAGGTGGCACTGAGGCTGAGGGAGGGGTACCTGCCATTGTTGAGTCTTGAGTAGGTAAACAAAGTGGCCATGAAGCTCTAACTGGGTGGAGTCTACTGCAGCTCAAGGAGGCCTGCCTGTCTCTGTATACTCCACATCTGGGGGCAGGGTATAGTCAAACAAAAGGCAGAAGAAACCTCTGCAGACTTAAAGGTGCCTGTCTGACAGATTTGAAGAGAGTAGTGGTTCTCCCAGCATGGAGTTTGAGATCTTAGAGCGATCAGACTGCCTCCTCAAGTTGGTCCCTGACCCCTGAGTAGCCTGACTGGGAGGCACCCCCTAGTAGGGGCAGACTGACAACTCACACAGCCAGGTACCACTGTGAGATGAAGTTTCCAGAGGAAGGATCAGGAAGCAACATTTGCTGTTCAGCAATATTCACTGTTCTACAGCCTCTGCTGCTGATACCCAGGCAAACAGGGACTGGAGTGGACTTCCAGCAAACTCCGACAGACATGCAGCTGAGGGTCCTGACTGTTAGAAGGAAAACTAACAAACAGAAAGAACATCCACATCAAAACTCCATCTGCATGTCACCATCATCAAAGACAAAGGGAAGATAAAACCACAAAGATGGGGAAAAAACAGAGCAGAAAGCTGAAAATTCTAAAACTCAGAGTGCCTCTCCTCCTCACCAGCAGCTCCTCACCAGCAATGGAACAAAGCTGGATGGAGAATGACTTTGATGAGTTGAGAGAGGAAGGCTTCAGACAATCAAACTTCTCCAAGCTAAAGGAGGAATTTTGAACCAATAGCAAAGAAGCTAAAAACCTTTACTAAACTAAAAAGTTTAGATGAATGGCTAACTAGAATAATCAGCATAGAGAAGCCCTTAAATGACCTGATAGAGTTGAAAACCATGGTTCAAGAACTATGTGATGAATGCACAATTTTCAGTAGCTGATTTGATCAACTGGAAGAAAGGGTGTCAGTGATTGAAGATCAAATTAATGAAATGAAGTGAGAAGAAAACTTTAGATAAAAAAGAGTTAAAAGAAATGCACAAAGCCTCCAAGAAATATAGGACTATGTGAAAAGACCAAATCTACGTCTGATTGGTGTACCTGAAAGTGATAGGGATAATGGAAACAAGTTGGAAAACACTCTGCAGGATATTATCCAGGAGAACTTCCCCAACCTAGCGAGGCAGGACAATATTCAAATTCAGGAATTCCAGATAATGCTACAAAGATACTCCTCAAGAAGAGCAACTCCAAGACACAGAATTATCAGATTCAATAAAGTTGAAATGAAGGAAAAAATGTTAAGGCAGCCAGAGAGAAAGGTCGGGTTACCCACAAAAGGAAGTCCATCAGACTAACAGCAGATCTTTCTGCAAACTCTCTACAAGCCAGAAGAGAGTGGGGGCCTATATTCAACACCCTTAAAGAAAAGAGTTTTCAACCCAGAATTTCATATCCAGCCAAACTAAGCCTCATAAGTGAAGGAGAAATAAAATCCTTTACAAATAAGCAAATGCTGAGAGATTTTGTCACCACTAGGCCTGCCCTAAAAGAACTCCTGAAGGTAGCAATAAACATGGAAAGGAACAACCGGTATCAGCCCCAGATAAAACATGCCAAATTGTAAAGACCATTCATGCTAGAAAGAAAGTGCATCAACTAATGAGTAAAATAACCAGCTAACATCATAATGACAGGATCAAATTCACACATAACAATTTTAACCTTGAATGTAAATGGGGTAAAGTCTCCAATTAGAAGACACAGACTGGTAAATTGGATAAAGATTCAAGACCCATCAGTGTGCTGTATTCAGGAGACCCATCTTAAGTGCAGAGACACATATATTCTCAAAGCAAAGGGATGGAGGAAGATCTACCAAGCAAATGAGAAACAAAAACAGCAGGGGTTGCAATCCTAGTCTCTGTTAAAACAGACATTAAACCAACAAAGATCAAAAGAGAAAAAGAAGACCATTACATAATGCTAAAGGGATCAATTCAACAAGAAGAGCTAACTATCCTAAATATATATGCACCCAATACAGGAGCACCCAGATTCATAAAGGAAGTCTTTAGAGACCTACAAAGAGACTTAGACTCTCATACCATAATAGTGGGAGACTTTAACACCTCACTGTCAATATTAGACAGATTATTGAGACAGAAAGTTAACAAAGATATCCAGGAAGTGAACTCAGCTCTGCACCTAGCAGATATCTACAGATGTCTACTAATAGACATCTACAGAATTCTCCACCCCAAATCAACAGAGTATACATTCTTCTCAGCACCACACCTCACTTATTCAAAAATTAACCATATAGTTGGAAGTAAAGCACTCCTCAGCAAATGTAAAAGAACAGAAATTATAACAAACTGTCTCTCAGACCACACTGCAATCAAACTAGAACTCAGGATTAAGAAACTCACTCAAAACTGCTCAACCACATGGAAACTGAACAACCTGCTCCTGAAGGACTACTGGGTACATAAGGAAATTAAGGCAGATATAAAGGTGTTCTTAGAAACTAATGAGAACAAAGTCACTACATACCAGAATCTTTGGGACACATTCAAAGCAGTGTGTAGAGGGAAATTTATAGTACTAAATGCCCACAAGAGAAAGGAGGAAATATCTAAAATTGACACCATAACATCACAATTAAAATAATTAGAGAAGCAAGAGTAAACACATTCAAAAGCTAGCAGAAGGCAAGAAATAACTAAGATCAGAGCAGAACTGAAGGAGACAGAGACACAAAAAACCCTTCAAAAAATCAACGAATCCAGGAGCTGTTTTTTTTTGAAAAGATCAGTAAAATTGATAGGCCACTATAAAGACTAATAACGAAGAAAAGAGTGAGAAATCAAATAGATTCAATAAAAAATGATAAAGGGGATATCACCACCCATCCCACAGAAATGTAAACTACCATCAGAGAATACTATAGAAACCTCTACACAAATAAACTAGAAAATCCAAGATAAGTGGATAAATACCTGGACACATGCACCCTCCCAAGACTAAACCAGGAAGAAGTTGAATCTCTTAATAGACCAATAACAGGCTCTGAAATTAAGGCAATAATTAATAGCCTACAAACCAAAAAAAGTCTAGGAACAGATGGATTCACACCCAAATTCTACCAGAGGTACAAGGAGGAGCTGGTACCATTCCTTCAGAAATTATTCCAATCAATAGAAAAAGAGGGAATCCTCCCTAACTCATTTTATGAGGCCAACATCATCCTGATACCAAAGCCTGGCAGAAACGCTATGATAAAGATAATTTTAGACCAATATCTCTGATGAACGTTGATGCAAAAATCCTCAATAAAATACTGGCAAACTGAATCCAGCAGTACATCAAAAAGCTTATCCACAATGTTTATGTGGGCTTCATACTTGGGATGCAAGGCTGGTTCAACATACACAAATCAATAAACATAACCCAGCTTATAAACAAAACCAAAGACAAAAATCACATGATTATCTCAATAGATGCAGAAAAGGCCCTTGACAAAATTCAACAGCTCTTCATGCTAAAATCTCTCAATAAATTAGGTATTGATGGGACGTGTCTCAAAATAATAAGAGCTATTTATGACAAACCCACAGCTAATAACATACGGAATGGGCAAAACTGGAAGTATTCCCTTTGAAAACTGGTACAAGACAGGGATGTCCTCTCTCACCACTCCTATTCAACATAGTGTTGGAAGTTCTGGCCAGGGCAATCAGGCAGGAGAAAGAAATAAAGAGTATTCAATTAGGAAAAGAGGAATTCAAATTGTCCCTGTTTGCAGGCGACATGATTGTATATTTAGAAAATCCCATTGTCTCAGCTCAAAATCTCCTTAAGCTGATAAGCAACTTCAGCAAATCTTGGGATACAAAATCAATGTGAAAAAATCACAAACATTTTTATACAAAAACAACAGACAGAGAGCCAAATCATGAGTGAACTCCCATTCACAATTGCTTCAAATAGAATAAAATACCTAGGAACCCAACTTACAAGGGAACTGAAGGACCTCTTCAAGGAGAACTACAAACCACTGCTCAATGAAATACAAGAGGATATAAACAAGTAGAAGAACGTTTCATGTTCATGGATAGGAAGAATCAGTATCAAGAAAATGGCCATAACGCCCAAGGTAATTGATAGATTCAATACCATCCCCATCAAGCTTCCAGTGACTTTCTCCACGGAATTGGAAAAAACTACTTAAAGTTTGTAGGGAACCAAAAAAGAGCCCGCATTGTGAAGACAATCCTAAGCCAAAGGAACAAACCTGGAGACATCACGTTACCTGACTTCAAAAGTATACTACAAGGCTACAGTAACCAAAACAGCATGATACTGGTACCAAAACAGAGATATAGACCAATGGAACAGAACAAAACCCTGAGAGGTAATGCCACACATCTACAACTATCTGATCTTTGATAAACCTGACCAAAACAAGACATGGGGAAAGGATTCCCTGTTTAATAAATGGTGCTGGGAAAACAGGCTAGCCATAGGTAGAAAGCTGAAACTGGATTCTTTCCTTAAACCTTATACAAAAATTAATTCAAGATGGATTAAAGACTTAAATATTAGACCTGAAACCATAAAAACCCTAGAAGAAAACCTAGGCCATACCATTCAGGACAGAGGCATGGGCAAGGACTTCATTTCTAAAACAGGAAAAGCAATGGCAACAAAAGCCAAAATTGACAAATGGGATATAGTTAAACTGAAGAGTTTCTGCACAACAAAAGAAACTACCATCAGAGTAAATAGGCAAACTACAGAATGGGAGAAAATTTTTGCAGTCTACTCATCTGACAAAGGACTGATATCCAGACTCTACAAAGAACTCAAACAAATGTACAAGAAAAAGTAAACAACCCCATCAAAAAGTGGGTGAAAGATATGAACAGACACTTCTCAAAAGAAGACATTTATGCAGCCAAAAGACACATGAAAAAATGCTCATCATCACTGGTCATCAGAGAAATACAAATCAAAACCACAATGAGATATCATCTCACACCAGTTAGAATGGCAATCATTAAAAAGTCAGGAAACAATAGGTGCTGGAGAGGATGTGGAGAAATAGGAACACTTTTACACTGTTGGTCGGACTGTAACTAGTTTAACCATTGTGGAAGGCAGTGTTGCTACTCCTCAAGGATCTGGAACTACACATACCATTTGACCCAGTCATCTCACTATTGGGTATATACACAAAGGATTAGAAATCATGCTTCTGTAAAGACACATGCACACGTATGTTCATTGTGGCACTATTCACAATAGCAAAAACTTGGAACCAACCAAAATGTCCAACAATGATAGACTGGATTAAGAAAATATGGCATATATACACCATGGAATACTATGCAGTGATACAAATGGATGAATTCATGTCTTTGTAGGGACATGGATGAAGCTGGAAACCATCATTCTCCACAAACTATTGCAAGGACAAAAAATCAAACATCACATGTTCTCACTCATAGGTCAGAATTGAACAATGAGAACATTTGGACACTGGAAGGGGTACATCACACACAGGGGCCTGTCGTGGGGTGGGGAGAGGAGGGAGAGATAGCATTAAGAGATATACTTCATGTAAATGACCAGTTAATGGGTGCAGCACACCAACATGACACATGTATACATATGTAACAAACCTGCACATTGTGCACATGTGCCCTAGAACTTAAAGTATAATAATAAAAAACGTTCCTGTAGAATCGGAAGGAACTATTTATAAGGAGAGTCAGGAAGACTGCCAAATATCTGGTTGCCCAAACATTTGAACTCTGCATTAAACCAAGACTTAAAATTCCTGCAGAATCAGGAAGGAACTATTTACACTGACTCCAAATATGCCTTCTGAGTAGTCCATACCTTTGGGAAAATATAGACTGAATGAGGCCTTGTAAGTAGTAAGGGTCAAGATATGGTCCACAAGGAATTAATTATGCAAATGCTAGAAAATCTTCAGCTGCTGGAAGAAATTGCAGTTGTCCATGTCCCAGGACACCAAAACAACCCTTCTCTGAAAGCCAGGGAAATAACCTCCTAGATCAAATAGCTAAGCAAGATGTCTATTCCCATGAGGCCCCTATTTTTTATCTAATCCCTTGTCCTCCCCCTCCAGTTGTGATCCCCATCTTCTCCCACAAAGACCAAGAGAAACTACAGAAAATAGGAGCTAAGGAAAGTCCAGAGGGAAAGTGTGTACTACCAGATGAAAGGGAAATGCTGTCTAAACCCCTTATAAGGGAAATATTGTCACAGCCTCATCAAGTAACTGAGGTCATAAGGCTATGTGTGATTTTGTCCTCAGAGTCTATGGGTGTGTAGGGATATACAACCTCCACAGGAAAGTGGCAGCTGGTTCCACAATGTGCAGAAAAAGTAATAGGCAAATCCAAAAGAAGCAAACTCCCAGGGTAAGAAACCCAGAATTGAAGCCATTCCAAAGTGTCCAAGTTGACTAAACTGAAATGCCCTCAATAGGCCACCTCAAGTATTTTCTAGTAATAGTAGACCATCTCTCCCCCTGGGTAGAAGACATGCCTTTCCCAGGCACAGTGGCCAGTGATGTAGTCAAAGCCCTGTGGAAGCATATCATACCCGGGTTTGGACTAATAGAGAACACTGATTCAGTCAATGGAACCCACCCCACTGCACACATCATTAAGGGGCTGACCTAGGCATTAGAAATACTTCCTAGCATTAATCCTCATCAGGGAAAGTAGAAAGAATCAATCAAACTCTAAATAATCACCTAACCAAGATGCCATGCCTTTCCAGACTGAACCAATGTACATTTTACATATACCGACTGATGTCTCATGTCTCCCTAAAATTTATAAACACTGTTACCATGAGAAAACACCTTTCAATTGATTTACTAAGAATCCAAATTGCCCTTGAAAAAATCCTGATCTCCAGGCTGCCTTATCTAAAATCCACTACTGACCTTCCTACTTTTGAAACAAAATATCAATTTCTCAAAAACTATATGTTGGTCTGTCTTCCACCCTTTCTTCCCTCAGGACTCAAGGACTCCTAGCGCAAACTGCAATACTTGAATTCCTCACCAGACCAGAGATTATGTCCTTTTCAAAAGTTAGAAGGAGGAAAATCTTGAACCAACCTGGTAAGGACTTTATCTAGTACTTCTAAATACTGAGACAGCAATCCAAATGGGCAAAAAGGGATGGACCTATCACACTTGAGTAAAAAATGCCCCACCCCTTGCACAGTCATGGACCATAACTCCAGGATGAATGCCTCTAAACTAACATTCAAAAGGATTTAGTCTGTCTTTTTCTTCTTCCTTTAGCTACCCAAGGACATCTTATAATCAATATAACTTGGTCACCCTCTTCTCAAACAATTACTTTTGATGCTTGTCTTGTCATGCCCTGTGGGGAACACCAGAGTCAAAAACAGCTAGCTTATTCAGAAAAGTACCTCTGCCCCTCCACCCCCATCAGACAGACCAGCAGCCCCAGTCCTTGCAATCAGTGACCACAAACCTTCTTGGGGTTATGTTATAGTTGGGGTGATGTTATCTGGACCATCCAATATCAGGCTGGTCCTTTTCGGGGGACTGCACTACCCTAAAATCTTACATCCACTTTACCAAAGGAGACACACCCTCAAATTGCCAAAACCACCAGTGTGACCCAGTATTTCTCAGTATTCTTATTCCCACCTCAACCGACCCTAATACCACTTTAGAGTGCCTTTATAGACTAGAAGTAGATGTCACTGTAAAAGACCCCACAGGTGCCTTTGAAATAAGCCTTATTCCTCTTCCTCCATCTCCCACCATTACTCCCTCCACAAACAAACAGAATCAAACAATTTCTTCATTCATGCCAAATGACAAAACCAAAGTAGCTATATTAGAGAACAAGGGCTTAAAGTAAACCATAGAAATAGAAGCCGGGTATTGAGATGTAAATGCCTGGCTGGAATAGATTAAATATTCCATTCACAATCTAAATAAAAGTGATTGTTACACTTGTGCAATGGGTAGGCCAGAAATCCAAATTGTTCCCTTTCCACTTGGATGGGCCGATCAACCAGGCATGAACTGTATGGTAGCTTCCTTCCAGCACTCCACAGCCTGGGGAAACAAGTCATGCACCACTCTTTCACTACTTTTCTAAAAGGTTGTGAGCCCTATTGGACAACACCCAAGGGCCATTAGATTTCCAACTCTAGATGTCAATTTTATCTCGTGTCTCTCATGGCAAGGGAAAAATTTGACATTCCTTGGAAACCTAACTGGACGTAGTGGGCCTAAACATTTTCAAGAAGCTAACCAGTCTGTCGGCCTTAGTCCATCCCAAAGTGGATGCGTGATGTTATTGTGGGGGGGGGGCAATATTGAGTACACTGTCAAACAACTGGAGTGGCACTGGTATTGTAATCCAATTGGCCATTGCTTTCAACTTGGCATTTCATCAAGAAGAGAGGAAGCAGCTAACCAGGAAAAAAAGAGAAGCCCCTCACATGTCCCTTAACCCATATGTTTACATAGACAGTATCAGGGTCCTGTGGTGGGTGTTAAATAAATTCAAACCTTGAAACCAAATGGCCACTGGTTTTGAGTCTGTCTTATTCTGGTGGTCCACTATAAACAATAATGTAAACTGGATAAATTATATATACTACTGTCAACAACAATTCATCCATTATACCAGAGAAGCCATAAAGGAATAGTTAAACAATTAGGTCCTATGAGCCAAATGGCCTGAGAAAATAGAATAACCCTTGACATAATATTAGCCAAAAAGGGTGGAGTCTGTGTCATGATTAGGGTCCAGTGTTGTACATTCATCCCTAATAATACAGCTTCCAATGGGGCAACACAAAAACCTTACAATGCCTTATAACCCAAGCAAATGAATCAGCTGAAAACTATGGAATGGAGTACCCCTTTACAGGCCTGATAGAAAGGATGTTTGGAAAATGAAAGGGACTTATGACATCAATCATTACTTCCCTTGCAATTGTTACAGGTGCACTCATTCTTGTGGGCTACTGTATCATACATTGTATTTGTGAGTTAACAGAAAGGCTCACAAAAACCTCACCTACCTCTCCCACTTGTACACAGATAAGCTTTTGCTCCAAGATGATCAAGAAAAACAACAAACCAAATCCTGTTAAAGAAATTTGAAGAGGAAGAATTATAAAACAGAAGAAGGGAAATTGTTGGGACAACTAAGTTCCTCTTCAAAGTCTCAGCTTTCTGGTCATAAATTGTAAACCAATCCTACCCCTCCTTTTCTTTCAAAAACCATGCATTTACCCTATTTGGAAAAGTTTAAGTCTTAGCCAATCAGGATCACCTTAGATTATGTGGTCCAACCCCAGCCAATAGGAGAAGGACACAGAAACAGAAACTGCATTACAAATAAAAAAACCCTTCTCTCCGTTGTTTGGTGTGCTTTTGCAATTGCATCAGGTGCAGACTTTAGAAGTAAAATTGCCTTGCTGAGAAATTTTCTTTCTAAGCATGGATTTCTTTTGGCTATGCTGAGCACTTGTTTTCAACATACCAAAACCAAGATGGTGTTGACAATGACCTTGGGTCCTTCTCACTGCTACACTTCCAACAGTATCATGACAGTTTACAATGTCAATGTCATGGCAATGTCAGAAATTTACTCTATATCAAACCAGAAAATCTGAGACAGGTCTCAGTTAATTTAGAAAGTTTATATTGCCAAGGTTTTGCCTGTGACACAGCCTCAGGAAGTCCTGATGACATGTGCCCAAGGTAGCCAAAGGACAGCTTGATTTTATACATTTTAGGAAGACAGGAGATATCAGTCAGTACATGTAAAAAGTACATTGGTTCAGTCTGGAAAGGTGTGGCATCATGAAGCAAGGGCAGGAAGACTTCAAGCATGGAGGGAGCTTTCAGGTCTTGGATAGATGAGACAAAAACAATTGCATTATTTTGACTTTCTCATTAGCTGTTCCAAAGGAGACAATCAGATATGTATCTGTCTTAGTGAACAGAATAACTTTAAATAGACTGAGATGTGGGTTTGCCCTAAGCAGTTTCCAGCTTGACTTTTTCTTAGTGATTTTGGGGGTCCAAGATAATTTCTTTTCACACCTACATGGTCTCAAAAGGGAAGGAATGAGTAATCCATCCCTTGTTTAGCATATCATCAAGAAATAATGATAAAAATGGGAAATCAGCAGGCCTTGGCACTGCTCTGTCTATGGAGTAGCCAATCTTTTATTCTATTACTTTCTTAATAAACTTACTTTGCTTTGCACAATGGATTCACCCTGAATTCTTTATTGTACAAGATCCAAGAACCCTCCTTTGGGGCCTTGATTACTACACCTTTCCTTTAACAAAATGAATGAAGTTGAGCCATGGCAAAGACTGTCTACTTTCTGTTCTTCCTCAATACATAGTGATACCATTGATTTACCATTATGAAACCAAATAATTCAATACAACTCTCTGATGATTATTTTTGACTCAGTCACATTTTTATGAAGTCTAAAAATTAAAAGCAGACAAAAGGCAAAACTCTAGGGAAAGTCAAAAGATCAGTGTTTGCCAGCGCCCTGGGGGAGAGAGAGGAGGAGGAATACAGGAAGCATAAGTGATTTTGATGGCAGTGAAACTTCTGTATAATATATGCAGACAGTATCTTGTATCTGCAAGACTTTCTCTGTTTGTCATAACCCATGGGACTGCACAGCACAAAGAGTGAACCCTCATGGAACCTGTGAACTCTGGTTAATGATGTGTCCCACTGTCAGCTCAGTAATTGTAACATGTGTACCATAATAAGGCAAGTTGTCAAGCATGGGGCAAACTATGTTGTATATACAGGAAAGAGGGTCTAGGAGAACACTCTGGACTTCCTGCTCAATTTTTTTATAAACTTGAAACTGCACCCTAAGCAAAGTTTATTCATTTAAACAATTGAGTAAGTGGCCTTTGCAGGAACTTGGATGGACTTGGAGGCCATTATTCCTTTATTTTTTTTTCTTGAGACTTTTCAGACAACAAAGTTCCTCTTTAAAGACTCAACTTCCTGGTGATAAGTTGGAAAAGTTGTAAAACCACCCTATCTCCTTCTCCTTCCCTCTTCTCCTTTTCTCATAATTGTGCTTTTACTCTATTTCAAAAAACGTTAGGCCTAAACCAACTGGGATGAGAAGTAAAGTTGTCTTGCTGAGAAATTTTCTGTCTGAGTGCTATTTTTTTTTTTTGGCTATGCCAAGCACTTGCTTCTGACAAGGTGGAGTCTTGCTCTGTTACCCAGGCTGGAGTACAGTGGCAAGATCACAGCTCACTGCAATCTCTGCATCCCAGGTTCAAGTGATTCTTCTGCAGAGGCCATTATTCAAAGTGAAATAACTCAGGAATGAAAAACTAAATATCTGTGATAGTAAGTGGAGTACATTCTTACTTACAAGTGGAAGCTAAGCCATGAGGATACAAAGACATAAGAGTGACATAATAAACTTTGGGAATTTGTGGGGAAGAGGAGGAAGAGGTGAGGGAAAAAAGACTACATATTGGATATAGTGCACACTGGTCAGGTGTCAGGTGCATGAAAATCTCAGAAATGACCACAAAAGAACTTATCTATGTGATATGGTTTGGCTATGTCTCCACCCATATCACATCTTGAATTGTAGTCCCCATAATTCCCACATATCATGGGAGGACCCAGTGGGAGGTAATTGAATCACCGTGTGGTGTCTTTCCTGTGCAATTCTCCTAATAGTAAGTCTCATGAGATTTGATGGTATTATAATTGGGAGTTTCCTGTACATGCTCTTTTGCCTGTTGCCATGTAAGACATGAATTTGCTTCTCCTTTGCCATATGCCATGATTGTGAAGTGTTCCCAGACATGTAGAACTGTGAGTCCTTAAGCCTCTTTCCTTTATAAATTACCCATTCTTGGGTGTGTCTGTATTAGCAGCATGAGAACAGGCCAATACACTAGGTGACAAAAAAACTACTTGTTTCCAAAAAACTATTGAAACAAAATTTTAAAACTTTAAAAACTGAAAAATAGAATAAAACTAGAAAACTAAATAAAATAGACAAAAGAAAAACCACCCACCTTGCCCCTGTATATTTTCTTTTTTAAAAAAACAAATTATATATATATATATATATATATATATATATATATATATATATATATATATATATATATTTTAAGTTCTAGGGTACATGTGCACAACATGCAGGTTTGTTACATATGTATACATACTTCATGTTGGTGTGCTGCACCTGTTAATTCATCATTTACATTAGTTATATCTCCTAATGTTATCCCTCCCCCTTCCCCCCACTGCACAACAGGCCCCGGTGTGTGATGTTCCCCTTCCTGTGTCCAAGTGTTCTCATTGTTCAATTCCCACCTATGAGTAAGAATATGCAGTGTTAGCTTTTTGGCCTTGTGATAGTTTGCTGAGAATGATGGTTTCCAGCTTCATCCATGTCTCTACAAAGGACATGAACTCATCAATTTTTTATGACTGCATAGTATTCCATGTGCCACATTTTCTTAATTCAGTCTATCATTATTGGACATTTGAGTTGGTTCCAAGACTTTGCTATTGTGAGTAGTGCCACAATAAACATACGTGAGCCTGTGTCTTTATAGGCATATGTCTTTATAGCAGCATGATTTATATTCCTTTGGTTATATACCCAGTAATGGGATGGCTGGGTCATATGCCATTTCTAGATCTAGATCCCTGAGGAATCACCACACTGTCTTCCACAATGGT
This sequence comes from Homo sapiens, assembly GCF_000001405.40. NCBI lineage: Eukaryota > Metazoa > Chordata > Mammalia > Primates > Hominidae > Homo > Homo sapiens. The sequence continues at coordinate 19,185,729 of NC_000024.10, forward strand.
TGAACTAGTTTACAGTCCCACCTACAGTGTAAAAGTGTTCCTATTTCTCCACATCCTCTCCAGGACCTGTTGTTTCCTGACTTTGTAATGATCACCATTCTAACTGGTGTTAGACGATATCTCATTGTGGTTTTGATTTGCATTTCTCTGATGGCCAGTGATGATGAGCATTTTTTCATGTGTTTTTTGGGTGCATAAACGTCTTCTTTTGAGAAGTGTCTGTTCATATCCTTCACCAACTTTTGATTTTTTTTCTTGTAAATTTGTTTGAATTCTTTGTAGATTCTGGATATTAGTTCTTTGTCAGATGAGTAGATTGCAAAAATTTTCTCCCTTTCTGTAGCTTGCCTGTTCATGCTGATGGTAGTTTATTTTGCTGTGCAGAGGCTCTTTAGTTTAATTAGATCCCATTTGTCAATTTTGGCTTTCGTTGCCATTGCTTTGGTGTTTTATACATGAAGTCCTTGCCATACCTATGTTCTGAATGGTATTGCCTCAGTTTTCTTCTAGGGTTTTTTAAGGTTTGAGGTCTAACATTTAAGTATTTAATCCATCTTCAATTAATTTTCATATAAGGTGAAAGGAAAGGATCCAATTTCAGCTTTCTGCATATGGCTAGCCAGTTTTCCCAGCACCATTTATTAAATAGGGAATCCTTTCCCCATTTCTTGTTTTTGCCAGATTTGTCAAAGATCAGATGGTTGTAGATGTGTGGAATTATTTCTAAGGGCTCTGTTCTGTTCCATTGGTCTATATCTCTGTTTTGGTACCAGTACCATACTGTTTTGGTTACTGTAGCTTTGTAGTATAGTTTGAAGTCAGGCAGTGTGATGACTCCAGCTTTGTTCCTTTGGCTTAGTATTGACTTGGCAATGTGGGCTTCTTTTGGGATCCATATGAAATTTAAAGTATTTTTTTTCCAATTCTGTGAAGAAAGACATTGGTAGCTTTGATGGGGATGGTATTGAATCTATAAATTACCTTGGGTGTTATGGCCATTTTCACAATATTGACTCTTCCTATCCGTGAGCATGGAATGTTCTTCCATATGTCTGTGTCCTCTTTTAGTTCATTGAGCAGTGGTTTCTAGTTCTCCTTGAAGAGGTCTTTCACATCCCTTGAAAGTTGGATTCCTAGGTATTTTATTCTCTTTGAAGCAATTGTGAACGGGAGTTCACTCATGATTTTGCTCTCTGTTTGACTGCTATTTGTGTATAAGAGTGCTTGTGATTTTTATAGATTGATTTTGTATCCTGAGACTTTGCTGAAGTTGCTTATCAGCTTAAGGAGATTTTGAGCTGAGATGATGGGTTTTTCTTGACATACAATCATGTCATCTGCAAACAGGGACAATTTGACTTCCTCTTTTCCTAATTGAATACCTTTATTTCTTTCTCCTGCCTGATTGCCCTGGCTAGAACTTCCAACACTATGTTCAATAGGAGTGGTGAGAGGGTGCATCTCTGTCTTGTGCCAGTTCTCAAAGGGAATGCTTCCAGTTTTTTCCCATTCAGTATGATATTGGCTGTGGGTTTGTCATAGATAGCTCTTATTATTTTGAGATACATCCCATCAATACCTAATTTATTGAGAGTTTTTAGCATGAAGGGCTGTTGAATTTTGTTGAAGGCCTTTTCTGCATCTATTGAGATAATCATGTGGTTTTTGTCTTTGGTTCTGTTTGGTAATCTGCTGGATTACGTTTATTGATTTGCATATGTTGAACCAGCCTTGCATCCCAGGGATGAAGCCCACTTGATCATGGTGGATAAGCTTTTTGATGTGCTGCTGGATTCGGTTTGCCAATATTTTATTGAGAATTTTTGAATCAATGTTCATCAGGGATATTGGTCCAAAATTCTTTTTTTTTTGTGGGTCTCTGCCAGGCTTTGGTATCAGGATAATGCTGGCCTCATAAAATGAGTTAGGGAGAATTCACTCTTTTTCTATTGGTTCGGATAGTTTCAGAAGGAATGGTATGAGCTCCTCCTTGTACCTCTGGTAGAATTCGGCTGTGAATCTATCTGGTCTTGGACCTTTTTTGGTTCATAAGCTATTAATTATTGCCTCAATTTCAGAGCCTGTTATTGTTCTAATAAGAGATTCAACTTCTTCCTTGTTTAGTCTTGGGAAGGTGTATGTGTCAAGGAATTTATCCATTTTTTCTAGATTTTCTAGTTTATTTGGGTAGAGGTGTTTATAGTATTCTCTGATGGTAGTTTGTATTTCTGTGGGATCGGTGCTGATATCCCCTTTATCATTTTTTATTGCATCTATTTCATTCTTCTCTCTTTTCTTCTTTATTAGTCTTTCTAGTCATCTATCTATTTGTTGATCTTTTCAGAAAACCAGCTCCTGGATTCGTTGACTTTTTGAAGTGTTTTTTGTGTCTCTGTCTCCTTCAGTTCTGCTCTGATCTTAGTTATTTCTTGCCTTCTGCTAGCTTTTGAATGTGTTTGCTCTTGCTTCTCTAATTCTTTTAATTGTGATGTTAAGGTGTCAATTTTAGATCTTTCCTGCTTTCTCTTGTGGGCATTTAGTGCTATAAATTTCCCTCTACACACTGCTTTGAAATGCATCCCAGAGATTCTCATATGTTGTGTCTTTGTTCTTGTTGGTTTCAAAGAACATCTTTATTTCTGCCTTCATTTCGTTATGTATGCAGTAGTCATTCAGGAGCAGGTTGTTCCGTTTCCAAGTATTCGAGCAGTTTTGAGTGAGTTTCTTAATCCTGAGTTCTAGTTTGATTACAATGTGGTCTGAGAGACAGTTTGTTACAATTTCTGTTCTTTAACATTTGCTGAGGAGTGCTTTGCTTCCGACTATGGGTCAATTTTCAAATACGTGTGGTGTGTTGCTGAGAAGAATGTATATTCTGATAATTTGGGGTGGAGAGTTCTGTAGATGTCTATTAGGTCTGCTTGATGCAGGGCTGAATTTAATTCCTGGATATCCTTGTTAACTTTCTGTCTCATTGATCTGTCTAATGTTGACAGTGGGGTGTTAAAGTCTCCCATTATTATTGTGTGGTAGTCTAAGTCTCTTTGTAAGTCTCTGAGGAGTTGCTTTATGAATGTGGGTGCTCCTTTATTGGGTGCATATGTATTTAGGATAGTTAGCTCTTCTTATTGAATTGATCCCTTTACCATTATGTAATGTCCTTCTTTGTCTCTTCTGATCTTTGTTGGTTTAAAGTCTATTTTATCAGAGACTAGGATTGCAACCCCTGCCATTTTTGTTTTCCAGTTGCTTGGTAGATCTTCCTCCATGCCTTTATTTTGAACCTATGTTTGTCTCTGCACATAGATGGGTTTTGTGAATACAGCACACTGATGGGTCTTGACTCTTTATCCAATTTGCCAGTCTGCATCTTTTAATTGGAGCATTTAGCCTATTTACATTTATGCTTAATATTGTTATGTGTGAATTTGATCCTGTGATTATGACGTTAGCTGGTTATTTTGGTCGTGAGTTGATGCAGTTTCTTTCTAGCATCAATGGTCTTTACAATTCAACATGTTTTTGCAGTGGCTGGTACTGGTTGTTCCTTTCAATGTTTAGTGCTTCCTTCAGCAGCTGTTGTAGGGCAGGCCTGCTGGGGACAAAATCTCTCAACATTTGCTTTTCTATTGAGGATTTTATTTTTCCTTTACTTATGAAGCTTAGTTTGTCTGGATATGAAATTCTGGATTGAAAATTCTTTTCTTTAAAATGTTGAGTATTGGCCCTCACTCTCTTCTGGCCTGTGGAATTTCTGCCAAGAGATCAGGTGTTAGTCTCATGGGCTTCCCTTTGTGGGTCACCCTTTCTTTCTCTCTGGCTGCCCTTAAAATTTTTCCTTCATTTCAACTTTTGTGAATCTGACAATTATGTGCCTTGGAGTTGCTTTTCGGAAGGAGTATCTTTGTGGCATTCTCTGTATTTCCTGAATTTGAATGTTGGCCTGCCTTGCTAGGTTGGGGAAGTTCTCCTGAAGAGTGTTTTCCAACATGGTTCCATTCACCCCGTCACTTTCAGGTACACCAATCAGACATAGATTTGGTGTTTTCACATAGTCCCATATTTCTTGGAGGCTTTTTCATTTCTTTTTATTCTTTTTTCTCTAAACATCTCTTCTCGCTTCATTTCATTCATTTGATCTTCAATCACTGATACACTTTCTTGCAGTTGATCAAGTCAGCTACTGAAGCTTGTGCATTCACCACGAAGTTCTCATGCCACAGTTTTCAGCTCCATGAGGTCCTTTAAGGACTTCTCTGCATTGGTTATTCTAGTTAGCCATTCATCTAATCATTTTTCAAGGTTTTTAGCTTTTTCTGTGATGGGTTCAAACTTCCTCCTTTAGCTCAGAGAAGTTTGATCATCTGAAGCCTTCTTCTCTCAAGTCGTCAAAGTCATTCTCCATCTAGCTTTGTTCCATTGCTGTTGAGGAGCTGCGTTCCTTTGGAGGAGGAGAGGTGCTCTGATTTTTAGAGTTTTCAGTTTTCTGTTCTATTTTTTCCTCATCTTTGTGGTTTTATCTACCTTTGGCCTTTGATGTTGGTTACATGCAGATGGGTTTTCTGTGTTCCTGTCCTTTCTGTTTGTTAGTTTTCCTTCTAATCATCAGGACTCTCAGCTGCATGTCTGTTGGAGTTTGCTGGATGTCCAATCCAGACCCTGTTTGCCTGGGTATTGGCAGCGGAGGCTGCAGAACAGCGAATATTGCTGAACAGTTAATGTTGCTGTCTGATCACTCCTCTGGAGGTTTTGTCTTATAGGTCTACCCGGCCATGTGAGGTGTCAGTCTGTCCCTACTTGGGGGTGCCTCCAAGTTAGTCTATTCAGGGGTCAGGGGCCCACTTGAGGGGGCAGTGTGTCCATTCTCAGATCTCAAACTCTTTTCTGGGAGAAATACTGCTCTATTCAAAGCTGTTCAACAGGGACATTGAAGACTGCAGAGGTTTCTACTTCCTTTTGTTCACCTATGCTCTGCCCCCAGAGGTGGAGTCTCCAGAGGCAGGCAGGCTTCCTTGAGCTGTTGTGGGCTCCACCCAGGTCAAGCTTCCTGGCCACTTTGTTTACCTTCTCAAGCCTAAGCAATGGTGGGTGTCACTTCCCTATCCTTGATGCTGCCTTGCAGTTCAATCTCAGACTGTGTGATAGCAATGAGCAAGGCTCCGTGAGCATGGGACCCTCTGAGCCAGGCACAGGATATAATCTCCTGGATGTGCCATTTGCTAAGACCATTGGAAAAGTGCAGTATTAGGGTGGGAGTGACCTGATTTTCCATTTGTCACAGCTTTGGTTGGGTATGAAAGGGAATTTCCTGACCCCTTTTGCTTCCCAGTTGAGGCTATGCCTCACACTGCTTCAGCTCACACTCGGTACACTGCACTCACTGTCCTGCACCGACTGCCCAACAAGTTCCAGTGAGATGAACCTGGTACCTCTGTTGGAAATGCAGAAATCACCTCTCTTCTGCGTTGCTCATGCTGGGAGCTGTAGACTGGTGCTGCTCCTATTTGGCCATCTTGGAACCACCCCTCACCCCTGTATGTTTTCTAAACAACTCTTTTCATTATAAGAATTATGAAACAAATAAAAAATAGTCAAAAAATGCAGAGAGTCAAATTTTTAGTGAAACCAATAGTAATAAAAATAATAGGCTAAGTATGGTGGCTCATGCCTGTAATCCCAGCCCTTTGAAAAGTTGAGCCAGAAGGGACACTTGAGCCCAGGAGTTCAAGACCATCCTGGGCAAGATAGAAAGATGCCAAATCTACAAAAAGATTTAAAATTAGCAAGGCATGACAGCACACGCCTGTTGTCCCAGCTACTAGGGAGGTTGAAGAATGAAGATGGTTTGTGTCTGGGAAGTTGAAGCTGCAGTGAGCCATGATTCACTCCACTGCACTCCAGCATGGGTGAGAGAATGAGATCCTGTCTCAAAAATAATAGTGATAATAACAAGCACACGTGTGACCTTACTTGGGGACTTTGTATTCAAGCTCTGGGATTCTGAAGTACTTTCAAGAGCAAGACTGGAATTAGTCCCGGTGATGAATTGATCCTCTGGGTAGGTTATGTATTTGAGCACATTCCCATCAGCTTGAGATTTTTCTGCTTTTGCCTACAAATTATCAATTTCATGCTTATGGCCATTACAGAGTAATTAACATATCAGATGCTTAGAAGTTTCAGTCCAATGTTAATGATAAATTGATATCCTTAAAGGGGCTATCTCTGGGCAAATATATTGTTTGTGGTTGTGCAAATGCTGATATTTCTAAATACCATTCACTTTTTATTTTGCATTAAAGTGTGAACTTTAAAAGCAACTGTGCTTAGCAAAAAGTGTCCTTAAACTTTGTAAATGCTTACTGACTGGATTTTCCTATATTTTTAGAAAAGAACTAATTTTAATTTTTTTTTCTAAACATGAAAACTTTTTTTTTGAGATGGAGTCTCACTGTGTGGCCCAGTCTGGAGTGCAGTGGTGCGATTTCAGCTCACTGCAAACTCCACCTCCAGGGTTCAAGCAATTCTCCTGCCTCACCCTCCTGAATAACTGGGATTACAGGCACCCACCCCTACAGCCACCTAATTTTTGTATTTTTAGTAGAAATGGGGTTTTCACCATGTTGGCCAGGCTGGTCTTGAACTTCTGACTTCAAGTTATGCACCCGCTAAAATGCTTGGATTAAAGGCGTGAGCCACTGTGCCCAAAGAATAACATATTTTTAAAAATGGTAACAGCCAGGTCCAGTGGCTTAAGACTTAATCCCAGCATTTTGGGAGGCTAAGGTGGGAGGTTAGGTTGAGCCTAGGAGTTTGAGACCAGTCTGGACAACATGGCAAAACCCTGTCTCTACAGTAAAATAATAATAATAATAATAATATTTTAAAATAATAATGACAATAATAAAGCATATTCATTTGAAATGATTGGGCATCCCAAACCAGTCTTCCTTATCTTTACACATTGTCAGCCAAAGGCAGGTTTTTAGCTACAATACAGATATACATTTTTCCGTCCAAATTCCCACTTTTCAAACCCAAAGCAAGCATACTACTCCAGACATTTAGAAGAATTTGACAGAAAGTGTTTTCATTTTGTTAATGACATAAACTCCTGCATAACCATATTCCAAAATACTAAGTTATTGTTTGCTTGGGTGAAAGCATCAATTTTCTTTTTTATTGGACTCCCCAATAACTGGGATTACAGGTATGCACCACTATGCCCAGGTATTTTGTGTGTTTAGTATAGCTGGGGTTTCCTAATGTTTGTCAGGTTGGTCTCAAACTCCTCACCTCAGGAGAAAGCATTCTTTGCTTTTTATTTCTTCTTTGACATTATGACTTTCAATCTGAGGCAGGCTCAAACAAGGTCTGTCAAGGAAAAACATTTGTTACAATGTTGCTTTCAATTCTCTCATGTCATTTCTCATAGTTGAAAAAAAAAAAAAAACTTCAGTTAAAGAGTTGAGACCTGCTTCATCAAAACTTAAACCTTTATGCTTCAAAGAGACTGCCAAGAAAGGAAATGACAGTTACAGGGTGGGAGAAAATACTTGCACATCATATACCTGATAAAAGACTCATATCCATCATATAAAAATAATCCCTCTAAGGCGATAATTAAAGTATTTTTTCAATTCAATTTAAAGTGGCTAGGTCCAGGTGCAGTGACTCCCGCCTGTAATCTCAGCACTTTGGGAGTCTAAGGAAGGTGAATCACATGAGGCCAAGAGTTTGAGATCAGCCTGGCCAGCATGGTGAAACCCTGTCTCTATAAAAATACAATAAAAATTGGCTAGGTGTGGTGGCATGTGCCTGTAATCCTAGTTACTTCGGAGGCTGAGGCACTAGATTTGCTTGAGCCTGGGAGGCAGAGGTTGCGGTGAGGCAAGACAGTGCTATTGGACTCCGACCTGGATGACAGAGCAAGACTGTGCCTCCAAAAAATAAGAAATAAATAAAAATATAGGTCAGTAAAAGATTTGAATTGTACATTCTTCCAAAAAAGATATATAAGTAGCCAATAAACACATCACAAAATGTTATTAATAGCATCAATGACATGCAAATTAAAGACACCATCTGAACACTTACACACTGCTAGTGAAAGTATAAATTAGTTCAGGCCTTGTGGAAAGCAGTTTGGAGATTTCTCAAAGAACTAGAACTAAAACTAACCCTTGATCCAGAAATTGCATGATTGAGTATCTGCCTAAAGAGAAAGAACTCATTCTACCAAAAATATATCTGCACTCACATGTTTATAGTAGTACTATTCACAATAGAAAAGACATGGCATGAAGCCAGGTGCCCATCAATGGTGGATAAAGAAAATGTGTTAAATACACATCATGCAATGCTACACATTCATAAGAAAGAATGACATATTGCCTTTTGCAGCAATATGGATAGAGCTAGAGGACATTATTCTAAGTGAACTAACTAAAAAACAGATAATCAAATAATGCATGTTCTTATTTCTAAGTGAGAGCTAAGCATTGGGTTCTCATTGGACACAAAGATGGAAACATTAGACACTGGAGACTTCTAGAAAGAGGAGAGAATGGAGCAAGGGTTAAACATCTAAACATTGGGTATTTTGTTCACTATGTGGGTGACATGTTCAACAGATGCTCAAACCTCAGCGTCATGCAATATAGCCATGTAACAAACCTGCATATGCACCCCCTGTATCTAAATTCTTAAAAAAATCCAACATCAGATTCACTTCATTTCTGGCCCCTAGAATGGCTAGAGACAAAGTCAGATAATAACACTTGCTGGGGAGGATGTGTAGAAATCAGAGCCCTCCTACAGTGTTGGTGAGGATGTAAAATTGTGCAGCCACTGTGGAAAACAGTCTGATGGCTCCTTAAAATGGGATCCTTTGTAATTATTAAGGATATAAAGGGGTCCTGAGACTAAAAATTTGAGACCCACTACTTAATAAAAATATTGTCTAATACATAACTTGAATTTGTTGAATTGTTTTGAATTCAATTGTTGTATTCAATAAAAAAGGGGAGACATCCTTTCTCTACAGAGAACTTGAATTTTGTCTTTATTTTCTCACCAAAGTCAATGAGAAAGACACATGAAGCCTCCTGTAATAGCCCCTAAATTATAAGAGACCAGATGAAATCCAGGTGATGACAGCATGAAACAGACAGTCTAAACAAAGTCATTTGCTAACATGGAGCTGTAACTATTTGTAAGCCAATGTTAAGTACTTTTCTTTACCATACTGTATGCTACAAAGTCAACTCTGAGATTGAAACTGGCTCTACCTCTGTTCAACACTAAGTACAGTTGTTACACAAGCCAGTGATTTTTTTTTATGAATAAAATTTTAAGAGAACACAAATACTCCTGTTGATTTAAGTATTGTCTATGTCTGTTTTCTGCTTCCTGGACAGAGTTGACCTGTTGCTACAGAGACTGCATGGCCTGCAAAGCCAAAAATATTTAGCATGTAGGCCTTTAGAGAGAAAGGCTAAATGATATGAATTATACCCAGATTTTGCAGAAATTGCAAGTGTAAGCTTGCAGAATGGAGATGCAAAAGGTAGAAATGGGCAGATCTGAGTTCAACAGGAATTTCAATGTTAGGGTGAGATCACTGGCCAAAGGGGCTTGCCCAGCTATGAAGTCATGCCAGGTCTGGTTTTGCTACATCAGAACACAGTCTGCTGCATGGGGCTGGGAGACTGAAAATAAAATCAGTTAATGGCCAGGTCGTATATAAAAATAGAATCCTGGGGTGGGCAGGGTGGCTCAGGCTTGGAATCCCAGCACTTTGGAGGTCGAGACAGATGGATCAGGAGGTCAGGAGATTGAACCATCCTGGCTAACAAGGTGAAACCCTGTCTCTACTAAAGGAAAAAAAAATACAGAAAAATTAGCCGGGCATGGTGGTAGGCACCTGTAGTTCCAGCTACTTGGGAGGCTGAGGCAGGAGAATGGCTTGAACCTGGAGGCAGAGCTTGCAGTGAGCTGAGATTGCACCACTGCACTCCAGCCTGGGGGACAGAGCAAGACTCCATCTCAAAAAAGAAAGAAAGGAAAAAAAATAGAACCCTGACCCAAGATCTCTAGCAACCAGCCTGGAAATCAATCCATTGACTGTAATAGCCAGTCCAGAAAGCCAGCTTACTAACTATGAGTTACACTTGTAGTGAGACAGACCAATGTCTGCAGTAGCAGTCCAGGGAGCTAAACAACAACCCCTGTAATCATTGGCCCCAAATGACCACGACTTGTTTAATATCTGAGAGCTTCCCTATTTTTGTCTTCACTTAGGGCCAACAAGTGACTGCCACATATGCACTTGTAACCAATAGCAAAGAATGTCCTGCCTCTAGTGAGCCTCCTATGGCTCCCTGTGCCAGCCACCTCCAGTCAGGGCACACCTGAAACCTTTCCTTTTCTCCTCTATGAAGCTGTCCTGCTTCTTTTTATGCCTGTGAGTCTGCAAAATGCTTTTAATAGATGAATAGGTGGATAGAAGGATGAATAGATATTGAATGGATAGATAAATGAATGATGGGTGGATTGATAGATCAATGGACAGAAAGATGCATAGATAATGGATGATTGGATGAACAGAAAAGGATAAATGGATGGATGGATGGTGAATAAATAGATAATCTGTAAATTAATGTATTGATGGATGAATAGAAAATGGTCTAATGATGGATGAATGAATAGATGAAAGGAAGGATGGATATATAATGGATTGGTGAGTGATAGAATGACTGATAGATTGATGAATGAAAATCTTCTGGATGGGTAAATGAACAGATAGGAGAATAGATTGATGGATGATTGATGGATGAATTGATAAATATATAATGAATGAATGGATGGATGAGTGGGTGGATTGATGGGTGAATGGATGTGTGGGTGGGTGGATGGGTGATTGATGGATGGAGGGAAAGATAAATGGTTAAGTGGCTGGACTGATGGATTAATGGATGGATGATGGACAGATGAATAGATAATGTACACATGAATGGATGATGAATAAATCGGTGGGTGAATGGATAAATAGGTAATTTACAAATCAATGGGTAGATAGGTATATAACAGGTGAACAAATGGATAAACAGATGGGTGGTTGGATAGATATATAATGGGTGGATGGATGAATATATAATGAATGAATGAATGGATGGATGGATGGATTATGGGTGGGTTGACAGATGGATATATAATGTATGCATTAATGGATGGGTGGATGGAAAAATGGATGGATGGAAACATAGATGGATGATGTGGCTGAACCCCTTGCCACAGAAGTCTCTGAAGAGACAAACTTCATATGTTCTCATGTTCTTGGTCTTTGTTTATTTCCACAAAGCAAAGCAGCAAGAGCTAGCAATTGGTGCAAAATTCACAATTGGGTCAGCAGCTGAGTGCTGTACTTAGATGGATGAAGGCCATACATGGCCAAAATGCAGGAGCAAGATCAAGTTCACCAAGAGAGAGACATAAGGACCAAGTCTGACATCTCTATTCTAGCATGGAAATTGGTTGATATGGTGATAGGGAGAAGAACGTAGAGCTACATATGGATGAGGAATTTCTGCGTTATCAGATACTGACAAGTCCTGGCCCCAGTCTTTGATTCTTCCAGCTGGTGAAGGCATCCTTAGAGCCTGTTGAGGCCTAATCAGAGCAGAACACAAAGGCAGGAGGGCTGTAGTATCTGTGGCAGGGAGAGGCTGAGAATGGTGGCAAAACACACAAATAAACAATAAAAAAGAGGAAACCTCCAAGTTTGACACATCCATAGACAAGTGAGAAAGAAGAGTAGCTTAAAAAACAGAAATGCTTATAAAATAGTTATTTTTTTTCCTTAAAGGAACTGACTGCTTTTAAAAGGAACTTAGAAATTAGGAAACAGACTAGAGCTGAGTTACAAATAGAAATATCAATAGATATTTATAATCCCAAGTAGACTACCTATGTTAGGTGTTACAGCTTCTCTACTTATATTAGGTATTGAAGCTTCTCTCAAACAGCAAGGTACCACACAACTCACACTTTATCTCAATATTGGGGGACTCTGTCCACTTTCAGAGGATTAGATATTGTATAACTTAAAATGCTCATGATTCTTCACATTCATCTGCAAATGCAGAGACAATATTTTAAGACTTTATTTTGACACCTAGAAAAATGGTACTTAATTCTGCAACATCCAATTGAAAAGCATTGGCTTATGTTAGAGGGCACGGGGAGCTATTAAAAATGTATAAAACATATGCATATTAATATAATGACTAGATTTTTATCTATTACTAAGCAGAAAAATAAGAAAATATATTATTATTGATGTTAAGTAGTGCTTATCATTGATTAGTCACTAAATGCCAAATATTATGATAAATTCTTTACATAAAATGCCTTGATTTCACAAAAATCCCCTGAGATGCAGGACCAGGATCTAAGACCACATCAATTGGATTTTTTGTCTCTTTATTTTGAGACAGGGTCTTTCTCTGTTGCCCAGACTGAAGTACAGTGGTACAATCACTGCTCACTGCAGCCTCAATCACCTGGGCTCAAGTGATCTTCCCACCTCAACCTCTGAGTTGCTGATACTACATGTGTGTACCACTATGCCTAATGTTTTATTTTTGTAAATTTTTGTAGAGACAGGGTTTCACTATGTTGCCTTGGCTGGACTGAGACTTCTGGTCTCAAGCAATCCTCCTGCCTCAGGCTTCTGAAGTGCTGGGATTACAGGCATGAGCCACTATGCCCAGCCTTAATTTGATTTTCAGACTAATTTTCCTAACATTGACAGTCTATTGGAAACATACACGGAAAACAGGAAAAAAAATAATGCTGCTTTTAGAACCACAACTACCTTTGAAGAAGAGAGAATCAACTTGAATGGCAACCCTGATGTTCCACTGGGTGCCCCAGTGGGCTAGAAGTGTGTTTTGGGAGCAGAAGCTGTAGAGGGCTGGGTGAATTTTCAGAATCAATGATAGAGGAGAAGAAGGAAACTGCAGGGAACCAAAGAGGGGAGAAAAACAGAATAATGCATTGTAAACTCTTTCTCTGCTTTCTCTCTCAGCACTATATTTGCTGTCTGCTGTGATACACTGAGAGGACTGCATCAGTGTGGTGTGTTTGCTTGAAACTTGCGGAAGAGGATTTCTTTCCTTTCATTTCAGATTCTGGGGGGTTGGGGGCAGGGTGTGCAAGCAGATATCCAGAAGACAGGGCTTCTATAAAAAGGTAACCTTCCTTCCAGCCCCTAGGAAATTCACAAAAATGGAGGAACAGATATAAATTTTCATGCGAAGTAAAAATCAGAGCATGAGACAATTTTGTCTCCACTTAAGGGTGCCAAAGTCTCCAGCTGACATTGGTACACAAATGTTTCTGTAGAAACATACACAAACACAACTTTCTGTAGAGCCTTGTCCATAATCACAATTTAGATACAAAGGGGTTTGCCTAAATTAATTACAAAGGAATAAAATATTAGTGTCAGGGCCAGAACTGGAGCTTTTAGAACACTGGGTCATTTTCCATTAGGCCATCCATATTACGTCTAAGTATTCATCTATGCATTCATTTACCTAACATCCATCCATCCATCTATCCTTCCATCCATCCATCCATCCATGTATCCATCCATCCATCCATCCATCCATCCATCCATCCATCCATCCATCTGTATTCCATCATCCATTCAATCCATTTGTCCATCTATCATCCTTTTATGCATACAACTATCAATCAATCCATTTATCCATCTATCATCCTTTTATGCATACATCTATCAATCCATCAACATGTTAGCTATTCATTCATCCAACCTCCATTCAATCATTCATTATTCATCTATCTATCCAACCATCCACTACCCATCTATCAATTCATCCGTTATCAACCATCCATTCATCCATATTTTATATATACATCCATCATCTATCCATTGTCTTCCATCTATCCATCTACCTGCATGCATCCATCATCTATTTATTTATCATAGTCCTTGGTCATGGTTCTGAATAAGAAAATCCTTGACGGTCTTGAACAGGAATTAGTCCTCTCATCGACCAAGTCCAGCAGGCTGGAACCTGGACACAGAACAGGTTCATAAGAGTGGTTCCACATTGGAGCAACCATGGACATAGGCAAAGCCCTGCCTAGGGAAGTATAGTGTTACTAGTTCCCCAAAACAACTGAAAATAGAATTATCATCCAACCCAGCAATTCCACTTCTGGGTACATACCTAAAAATATTGAAAACAAGATCTCAAAGAGATATTTATATGTGCTCATAGCAGCATTACTCACAACAGCCAAAAGATGGAAGCAACTCAAATGTCCATCGATGAACAGATAAAAAATGTGGTACATGAATTCAATAAAATATTATTCATCCTTCAAAAGGGAGAAAATTCTGACATATGGTACAATATTGATAAATCTTGTAGACATTATGCTAAGTGAAAGAAGCACATTACGATAAGACAAATAATGTATGATTCCATTTATAGGAAGTCACTCAAAGAGTCAAATATTTGGAGACATAATGTAGAATGGTTTTTGTCAGGGGATGGTGGGGAGCAAAAATGGAAAATTATTACTTAATTGGGACATTGTTTTTGCTTGGGGTGAAGAAAGTGTTTTGCAAATAGATCATGGTGATGCTACAAAGAATTCACTGGTCAAATGATAAAAAATGAGCCTGGGTAACATAGTGAGATCCTAGTTCTACCAAAAATACTTTTAATTAGCTGGGCATGGTGCTGCACAGCTGTGGTACCAGCTATTTGGGAGGCTGAGGCAGGAGAATCGCTTGAGCCCAGGATTTCAAGGCTCCATTGAGCCATGATCACACCACTGCACTCCAGCCTGGGCAATAGAGTGAGAACTCAGGAATGTTAAAAAAAAAAGAAAAAAAAAAAAAGAGAAAAAGACACAAAATGTCATTTAGACAGGATGGATAAGTACAAGAGCTCTAACATATAAAATGATGACCAGAGTAAATAACAATATATTTTATTGTTGGCAAATGATGAAGGCATTTACTGTTAAGTGAAAATTACCAAGAGAGTAGATTTTTAAGTGTTCTTACCATGAAAACAAAACATAATTAGTTCAATTTAGCCATTCTACAATGGATACATGTATCAAAACACCATAAATATATATATATCATTTGATTTGTCAATTAAAAAAGATGCCAATATAAGTGTGTTTAAAGTGAAAAAAGAGAAAAAAGAGTATAGAAATATGTAGAAAGTAAATACTGAAAACATTAAAGAAAATATGTTTAATATATTAAATATATTTAATAATATATTTATGCAAAATAATTAAAATGAATAATTTCAATTTCTGAAATTGAAATGAATAATTTCTGCCTGGGAGGCAGAGGTTGTGATGAACCAGGAGAGTGTCATTTTACTCCTAACTGGGCAACAAGAGTGAAACTCTATCTCAAAAAAAAAAAAAAAAGAAAAGAAAAAGAAAAAGAAAAAAGAAATCCTGGGCTCAAGTTTTCTCCTACCTCAGCCTCTTGAGTAGTTGGGACCACAGACATGCCCAACCAATTTTAAATTTTTCAT
Organism: Homo sapiens; assembly: GCF_000001405.40. NCBI lineage: Eukaryota > Metazoa > Chordata > Mammalia > Primates > Hominidae > Homo > Homo sapiens. Next base: position 19,201,331 of record NC_000024.10, read on the forward strand.
AGAGACAGGGTGTTACTACATTGTCCAGACTGGTTTCAAACCTCCAGCTTCAAGGTATCCTCCTACCTCTGCCTCTAAAACACTGAGATTGCAGACATGAGCCATCATGCTTGGCCTTTAATTTTAAGTTTAATTTTTAGTCTTGTCAAAGTGATAGATGTATAAGGCTCAAAAGTGAAGCAGTACCTCTTGCCCTCAATGTTCACTCTTATATTTTTTTTTCCTGGGATGTATTTCTATTTTGAAATAACATATTTGTTCAGAAATCTCGAGTGTGTTTCTTTTTTTTAGATGGTGCCTATTAATTTTCTATTTTCATCTTCCTGATGTGGCTACATCACTAATGTTTACTAAATGAATAGTCAAGCTTACATTATGTGAATTCTCTAAATACTGAGATGTGCTTAACTTCCCTTCTTTGTATAAATTCTTGCATTTTCTAAACTTGCTTCCAGTTCATGTCTTCCCTATTAAAATTATTTTCACAGACTTACGATGAGCCTGCCAATCCCTTCCAAATACAATCAGCCACCTAAGGTAGTCACAGGATGATGTTAAACACAGTCTCCTGGGGTCCTACAGTTCCTTTTCCAACCTGGACTCACCACTTTCTAAGACATCCACAGAGACATCAACCCTAGTATGTCCTGTTTCCAAGTGCCTTGAGTTTGTGTCCTGGCTTGCTTCTTCTGGTATCTTAGTCAGATAAGTTGGCCTTTCTGCAACTCAGCTTCCATAGCTGGCTGGAAAGTGGGAATAGTAATAGTCATGAGCATTAAATGTGATCACAGTTGTAAAATGTTAAGGTCAGTTTCCTACTAATTGTACACAGGATGTTTATTTTTGTGGTCATCTTGAAAATTCCCCAATAATTCCTTCATGTTAGCAATGTCAGTTTCTAAATTTCATGTCTCCCTCATGCTCAAATTGCCTTCCCTCATTTCCTCAAATCCAATATTCAAAGACATTACCATCAAGAGTGCATGGAGATTACCGTTATGAAGCATTCTGCATGTACAAGAGTTCTGACCTTCATGCTCAGCTACTCTTGGGTCACGGCTGGGTTCTATATGCAATCCTAGACATTCCTGCAACAGGTGAAGGTATCACTGTTAATGTTGGGCTTCCAGTGCTGCTGAGCCTAAGGCAAAGTCCAATCCCCTTTTTATTTCTCAAGACTTTGCATCTCTTTCTTTTTCTTTCTCTTTCTTTTTCTTTCTCTTTCTTTTCCTTCCTGTCCACTCCTCTCCTCTTCTCTCTTCTCTTTTTCTTTTTTTTGATGGAGTCTCACTCTGTTGCCCAGGCTGGAGTGCAGTGACATGATCTTGGCTCACTGCAACCTCTGCCTCCTGAGTTCAAATGATTCTGTCCTAAGTAGCTGGAATTACAGGTGTACACCACCACACCCAGCTAATTTTTGTATTTTTAGTGGAGATGAGGTTTTGCCATTTTGGCCAGGCTGGTCTCAACCTCCTGACCTCAGGTGATCTGCCCTCCTCAGCCTCCCAAAGTGCTTGGATTACAGGCATAAGCCACGGTGCCTGGCCTCTCATTTTGTTTCTCACTTTCTCTATCTCTTATTCTCCCTTTCATTTTCTTTCTGTCTTCCAGTCTCTTTCTCTCTTTTTCCCTGCCACTCTGTCTTTGTGTGCATACTTCTGTCATTCTCTTAGTCTCTCATTCTCTCTTGCATGATCTCTTTTTCTCCCTCTCTCTTTTTGAATTACTCTGTCATTCTCTCTCTCTCTGTCTTTCTCCTTCTGCCTTCCCACTCCCCAAACTATTCTAGAGTCCTTTCTCTTCACCCTTCACACTCTAAAATATCACAACAATGTTCCCTCATGTGAGTCATTTGCCTCCCTGTCTCCTGGGGACCCAGAAACTTAGAGGTTCTTCTATACTTTCATAAAACATTCTCATTTCAAGCTGGGCATAGTGGCTCATTACTGTAATCCCAGTGCTTTGAGAGGTTGAGAAGGGCAGATCTCTTGAGTCCAAGAGTTTGAAACCAGCCTGGCAACATGGTGAAACCCTGTCTGCTAAAAACACAAAACAAATTTCCCTGGCATGGGGGTGAACACCCATGGTCCCAGCTACTCAAGGGGCTGAGGTGGGAGGATCACTTGAGCCTGGGATGTCAAAGCTGCGGTGAGGCATGATTGCACACTGCACTCCAGCCTGGACAACAGAGTAAGAACCTGTCTCCAAAAAAAAAAAAAAAAAGAGAGAGAGAGAGAAAAACCATTCTCATTTCCAGCCATTTACCCCTTCTTTTCTTAAACATAGAAGCAACCTTGGTTTAATTTCTCTAATTTTCAATGTAGCATGTTTAAAGAGTAGAAGAGATACCTTGACCTCTAGAAGCAAATTAACATAGGCATTGATGAGTCTCATCTTCCTACTTAATGAACATGTTCTGATTGATGGCTCATGTTTTGAGGCAGCGCACTGAGGATCAGAAATAAAAAGGCTGACAGAAACATGTTTTCCTTTTAAGCTCAGATAGTCTAATGGGAAATTCAGATTTATAAATGAAGAACTGGGACTTACCATTAGGCATAGCAGGTTTAATAGAGTGGTTTATATTAATCCCCTTGTGTATGTGTGTGCGTGTGTGTCCACATGGGTGTCTGCCTCCTTTTTCTCTTTTTACCCCTCCTCAAAATGGATGTAGGCTGGAATTAAAAGGAAAACAAGGACAGAGAGAATGTGTGAGAACAGGGCAAACAAAAGATGAGGATGGGGTGGGGCACAGTGGCTCATGCCTGTAATCCCAGCACTTTGGGAGGCCAAGGAGAGCAGAACACCTGAGGCCAGGAGTTTAAGAGGAGCCCGACCAACACGGTGAAACTCAGTCTGTACTAAAAACACAAAAATTATCCAGGCTCCTTGGTGTGTGCATGTAGTCTCAGCTACTCAGGCAGCTGATGTAGGAGAATTGCTTGAACCCAGGAAGCAGAGGTAGTAGTGAGCTGAGATCATGCCCCTGCACTCCAGCCTTGGCAACAGAGTGAGGCTTTGTCTCAAACAAACAAACAAACAAACAAAAAAAAAGATGAGGATGACCTTTTGAAGGCTTGGATGCGGATAGATGCTGTGGTCTGAATGTGCGTATCTCCTGAAAATTACTATGTTGAATCTTCGTCCCCAAAGTGATGGTGACAGGAGGTGGTATCTATGGAAGGAGATGAGATCATGCATGTGGAGCCTCATGAAAGGATGAATGCCCTTTTAAAAGAGAAACTAGAGAGCTTCCTCATCGTTTCTACCATGAGAGGACACAGCAAGAAGGTGCTGTCCATGAAACCAGGAAGCAGATCCCCACCAGATACTGAATCTGCCACACCTTGATCAGCCTCCAGAACTGTAAGCAAAAATATTTGTTGTCTATAATCCTCCCAGCCCAAATGGACTAAGAACCTAAGCTATAGTAACTGTCATGGCAGGCAGGAGAAAGAAGGAGGCAATGAACTCACAGCAGTGGACAGGAAAAGCCAATGAAAAGCTACAGAGCTCTTAAAAATTTCAGGAATTGGGGGCAGCATGTGGCTTTCCAGATGCAGACACAGACAGGGCTGGAAGCAGGAGTAGTGCTTGTCAGAAGAATTCTCCTCCCACTCTTAGCAGCCAGATGAATAAACTGCTTGGAAATATAATCAGTGATGAACAAGCAGAGATCTAGATTCATGGAAGCTGGGGAGAGCTGAGAGTAAAGGTGAGATACTGTGCCCAAGGCGAGACATTAAGACAAAGCCTGACCCTCCCAAATATGTACCCCAAAGAAATAAAAACAGACACAAAAAAGTACACACACATCCACCTTCATAGCAGGGACTGAAGTAGCACATTTTAGTGTTCACTATTCCAGAGATGCTCACTCTCTCTATGTATATTTTTTGAGACAGGGTCTCACTCTGTTGCCCAGGCTAAAGTACAGCAACCCAACCACAGATCACTTCAACTTCAATCTCCCAGGTTCAAGCCATCCTCCTATTTCACCCCCCCAACCCTGCCCCCACCGCAAGTATCTGAGACTACAGGTGCACTCCACGACACCAGGCTATTTTTTATATTCTCTTTTTTTAGAGATGAGGTTTCACCATGTTACCCAGACTGGTCTCAAACTCCTGAGCTCAAGCAATCTGCCTGCCTTGGCCTTCTAAAGTGTTGGGATAACAGGTGTGAGCCACTGCATCTGGCCCATGCTCTATATTTTTCTTTCTTTTTTTTTTTTAACATTTTTTCATTTTTATTTTAGATTTGATGGTACATGGGAAGTTTTGTTACATAGGTAAACATGTGTCATGGGAGTTTTTGCACAGATTGTTTCATCACCCAGGTATTACGCCCAGGACCCAATAGCCATCTTTCCTGCTTCTCTCCCTCCCCCGATTCTCCACCCTCAAGTAGGCCCCAGTATCTGTTGTTTCCTTCTTGGTGTTCATAAGTTCCCATCATTTAGCTCACAGCTCTATTTTTTTTTTTTTTCTGAGACAGGGTCTCACTTTTTTACTTTATACATATATATATTTATATATATAAAATATATATACACACAAATACAACACAAATATATGTGGAAAGATAGAGGTGTGTGTATATATACACAAAAAATCTACTTTATATATGTAAAGTACATTTTTTTACATATATATATATATATATGAGAGAGAGAGACAGAATATTAGATTCATTGGGGGTGATGTAGAAATGAATTAACTTCTTGTTACTTTCACTCCATAAAATACATTTAAGAGTCTGGAGATTTTACAAGGAAAGAGTAAGAATTAAGGAAGTCTTTTAAGTTCCACTTGAAAATCATGTTATATTGGATCATGTTATATTGGAAGTATTCCACTCACTTGCTTCAATATTCGAGACTCTCATTTTTTTTCTTTTCTTTTTTTTCTTCCTTCCTCCCAACCTCCCCATCCCCTCCTCTCCCTTCCCTTCCCCTTCACTTCTGTTCCCTTCTTTTATGTTATGATATATTATGTTATGTTATGTTATGTTATGTTATGTTATGTTATGTTATGTTATGTTATTATTTTTGAGATGCATTATCACCCTGTAATGCAGGTTAGAGTGCAATGGCTGGATCATGGCTTGCTGCAGCCTTGACTTCCCCACTTGAGAGATCTTCCAACCTCTGACTCCTCAGTAGCTGGGACTAGCTGGGACTACGGGCCCATGCCACCATGCCCAGCTTATTTTTGTATTCTTTGTAGAGATGGAGTCTCACTATATTGCCCAGGCTAGTCTCAAACTCCTGGGCTCAAGCAATCCTCCCACCTTGTCCTGCTAAATTTCTGGGATTATAGAAGTGGGCCACTGTGTCCAGCTAAGACTCTCATTTCTTACCAAGAACTGATAGTATGTCTTATTTTGGTTATTAGTTGAATTTTAGGATATTTCATTAATACACAAAAATAATTAAAATTGATGGCCAGGTGCAGTGGCTTACATCTGTAATCTCAGCACTTTAGGAGGCTGAAGTGGGTATACTGCTTGAGTCCAGGAGTTCGAGACCAGCCTGGGCAACATAGCAAGAACCCATTACTAAAAAAGTATTTTTAAAATAGCTTGGTGTGGTGGTGCATTCCTGTAGTCCCACTACTCAGAGACTGAGGTGGGAGGACCATCTGAGCACAAGAGATAGTGGTTGCAGTGAGCCATGATGGCACCACTCTACTCCAGCTTGGGTGACAGAGTGAGATCCTATCTCAAAAATAGATAAATAAAATACACATAAAATAAAATATGTAAATACACATAAAATAGTAAGCTGTTTTCATTCTTAAAGAGACAATATGTTTTAAAATAGCTTCACATGACATGAAGTCTAGTGGTTTTCTTGTCTAGAGAAAGATCAAAGTTAACACCTTTAAGAGGTGACCAGTGGTATACAGGATGTGTTGCTTCACAAAACAGTGAGGAGGAAATATAAAAAGAAAAACAAGCTCATTCTCAACCTATTCTACCACTAACATGGTAAAGTCTGTTTTTAAAAAACACACAGGCCAGGAGTGTTGGCTCACGCTTATAATCCCAGCACTTTGGGAAGCTGATCCAAGAGGATTGCTTGAGTTCAGGAGTTCAAGACCAACCTGGGCTACACAATGACACCCTGTCTCAATGAAAATAAAGATAAAAGTAGCCAGGCATGGTAGCAGGAGCCTGTAACCCCAGCTACTCAGGAGACAGAGGTTGCAGTGAGCTGAGATGGCACTGCTGTACTTCAGCCTGGGTGGCAGAGCAAGACTTTGAAAACACACACACATACAAACACACACAAACACACACACACACAGTGACTCAAATGTGAAAAGATGCTCAAAATTACTCATGATGAAAGAAATTTCAAAACAATGCCACTAACGCTATTTTTGAATTTATTTTCTTCATGGATATTTCTGTTCCTGGTCTGTTCCAGTTCTGAAATTCTAATTGACTTCTTGGTACAATCATGTGATATCAAAAATGCTGAAAACGTCCCACCACTACAGTGTAAATAAATCAGCTGTTAGAATTATTTTCTTTTTCTTTCATGCATAGGTGAGTATATCATATTTTCTGTAGATCAAGAATAATAGAATAAACACCATGTACCATGCAATTTAAATCAAAACATGTATCTCATACCTTAAAAGCACCTCGTGTGTCTCTTAACCCTGCATTTATGTTAACCACATATGGTATTCATCAACGTGTTTTATATATAGCTTAGTGATATGTTTCATCTCTACACTGCATATTATGTTCTCTCTCTGTGTTTTTGTTTTGTGTTGTTTTTTAGAGGCAGGGTCTCACTGTGTTGCCCATGCTGGAGTAGAATGGCACAATCAGCCTCCCAAGAAGCTAGGACTACTGGCGGCACAACCATGCTGGGATAATATTTTTATTTACTTCTTAGATATACCTGTAGCAGTTTTAAAAAATTTCATTCATCATGAGTAATGTTGAGCATCTTTTTATATGTTTGAGTCACTGTGTGTTTGTATTTTCAAAGTCTTGCTCTGCCACCCAGGCTGAAGTGCAGCAGTGCCGTCTCAGCTCACTGCAACCTCTGTCTCCTGAGTAGCTGGGATTACAGGCTCCTTCTACAATGCCTGGCTACTTTTATTTTTATTTTCGTTGATACAGGGTGTCATTGTGTAACCCAGGCTGGTCTTGAACTCCTGGACTCAAGCAATCCTCTTGGATCAGCTCCCCAAAGTGCTGGGATTATCAGTGTGAGCCAACACTCCTGGCCTGTGTGTTTTTTAAAAACAGACTTTATGCTTTGGAGCTATTTTATGTTGATAACAAAATTAAGAGGAAGGTACAGAGAGTTCTATGGACCTCTTATCCCCACACATATATAGCTTCCCCTACTATAAACATCTCCCCTGAGAGTGGTGCATCTGTGACACATTATTGACACCAGATTCATTCACATTTGGTTTCACGCTTGGGGGTGGACATTCTGTGGGTTAGGATAAATGTAAAATGGCCTGGATCCACCACTACAGTGTAACACAGAGGAGTTTTATTGCCCTAAAAATCCTCTATACTCCATCTAATCATTCCCAAATCCTGGCAACCAGTGATCTTTGTACTGTTTCATAGTTTTGCCTTTTGCAGAATGTTTTATAGTTAGAATCATATGTAGTCTTTTCATATTACCTTCTTTCACTTAGTAATATGTGTGGCTTATAGCTTATTTCTTCTCTTCTTTTTGTTTGAGACACAGTCTCACTCTGTTACCCTGGCTGGACTGCAGTGGTGCAATCATAGCTCACTGCAGTCACAACCTCTTGGGCTTAGGCAATACTTTAACCTCAGCCTCCTGAATAGTGGAGATTACAGACACGAGCCAATGCACCCAGCTAATTTTCAAATTTTTATAGAGATGAGATCTTACAATGCAGCTCAGGCTGACCTTAAACTCCTGGACTGAAGTGACTCTCCCTTCTTGGCCTCACGAAGTGCTAGTATTATAGGCATGAGCCAAAAAATCTGGCCCTTATTTTTGTATTTATTTATTTATTTATTTATTTTTTCATTCTTGCTTTTCTTTTTTTTTTCTTTTTTTTTTAAGACAGAGTCTCACCTTGTTGCCAGGCTGGAGTGCAGTGACATTATCTTGGCTCACTACAACCTCCACCTGCCGGGTTCAAGCGATTCTCCTGCCTTAGCATCCCAAGTAGCTGGGATTACAGGCCAGCAACACCAAGCTCACCTAATTTTTATTTTTTTATTTTTATTTTATTGTTTTTGAGACAGAGTCTAGCTGTGTCGCTGAGGCTGGACTACAGTGGCACAATCTCGTCTCACTGCAAGCTCTGCCTCCTGGGTTCATGCCATTCTCCTGTCTCCGCCTTTAGAGTAGCTGGGACTACAAGCCCCGCCATCACACCTGGTTAATTTTTTTTGTATTTTTAGTAGAGATGGGATTTCACTGAGTTAGCCAGGATGGTCTTGATCTCCTGACTTCATGATCTTCCCACCTCGGCCTCCCAAAGTGCTGGGACTACAGGTGTGAACCATCACGCCTGGTCCCTCACCCCGCTAATTTTTGGATTTTTAGTAGGGATGAGGTTTCACCATATTGGCCAGGATGGTCTCGATCTCTTGACCTCATGATCTGCCTGCCTCGGCCTCCTAAAGTGGTGGGATTACAGGTGTTAGCCACTGTGCCTGGCCACTGTCAATATTCCATTGTCTAATGCAACATGGTCAGTTTGTCCGTTCACCTATTAAAGGACATCTTGCCTCCAACTTTTCATAATTATAAATAAGCTGTTGTAAATATCCATGTGCAAGTTTTTGTGTAGATGCAAGTTTCAACTCTTTTGGGTAACTATCAAGGAAACTGATTGCTAGATCATATGCCAAAGGTATATTTAGTTTTGCAAGAAACTGCCAAACTGTCTTCCAAAGTGACAGCACCATTTTGCATTCCCACCAGCCATAAATGGGCATTCTTGTTTCTTCATGACCTCACCAGCACTTGGTGGTGTCAGTGTTCTGGCATTTGGTCATTCTCCCTGACTACCAATGAAGCTGGACAGCTTTCATTTGTTTATTTTTAATTTATATTTCCTCTTCTGAATACTTCTCCTTGAATTGTTCTTGTTTTTTTCTTTTTTTCTTTTTGTTTTGTTTTTTGAGACAGGTCTCACTCTATTGCCCAGACTGGAATTCCTTCGTGTGTTCATAGCTCATTGCAGCCTTGACTTCCCGAGCCCAAGTGATCCTCCCACCTCAGCCTTCCAAGTAGCTGGGACTACAGGTACATGCCACCACACCCAGCTAATTTTTGTATTTTTGTAGAGATGGGGCCTCACTCTGTTGCCCAGGCTGGTTTCAAACGCCTGCACTCAGGCAAACCAGCCACCTCAGCCTCCAAAATTTCTGGGATTACAGGAGTGAGCAACCATGTCCCACCTGTTCCTGACTTTAAAGAGACCACTTTTAATATTCCACTCTTTATTATGTCATGCATTTTTCTGCAGAAAGCTTTTATCAGATTAAGGAAGTTTGTATTTATTCCTAGTTTGTTATATCCTGAATGGGTGTTCAATTTTATCACAGCTGCTTTCTGCATCAATTGATATGAGAAATATTTTGTTTTTATTTGCTTTTTTCTCCTTTAATCTGTAAACATTTAAAGTACAATTATAGATTTGTCTATTGTTGAAACTTGCTGACATTTGTACCCCACAAAGGGTACATAGAGAGATTGGTCTATAATTTCTTTTCCCATGCTATATTTTTTGAGTTTGTTGAGTTTGAATATCAAAATATCCTTGGCCTCAAAATACATTGCAGATGTTGCTTCTTTTTCTGTTGTATGAAGGAGTTTAGGTAATACATGAATTTTCTTCTTCCTAATAATACAAGCTAGGTCTAGCATTCTCTTGGTGAGAAGCTTTTTAACCACTCACTCAATGTATTACATTGCTACAATACCATTTTGGTAGTCTATATTTACTTGAGTCAGTTTGGGTAAAACATACTGTTCCATGAATGTGTCCATTGTGTCTAAAGTTTTTAAATACACTGGAATAATTATTCCTACTATCATCTTATTTTCCTTATAAACTCAGCTACATCCAGAGTTATATTCCTTTTTTCTTCTTAATATTATTTATTGGCATATGCTGTTTATTTTTATTTGCAATCTTAGCAGATTTTATTAATTCTATTATTTTTATTGTCATTTATTTTTAATGTTACTACAAATTAAAATTTGATTTAAAGTAAAATGAAGTTTATTAAATGTTAATTAAAATAAAATTAAACTAATTTAAGCTATTGCATTATTTTAATTTGATTTTTATTATATTATTATTACTTATCAATTTTATGTTACAAAAACTTCCACTTACACCAAAATCCAAGGATGTTCAAGGCCCTTATATAAAATCATGCTATGAAATGTTTATGTTATAAAATGTTATCTAATAACATTTACTAATAACTAATAAAATAACAAAAAATTAAAGTGATAAAAATAAATTTTAACTAATTTTATTTAAATTAACAGTTAAAGTAAGCAATTAAGTGTTTAAATGCATTTTTACCCCTTAAAAAACAATTCTACTGAAATTACCTTAGTAAAATTAAATAATTTTTTAACTTTGTCTATTTTGATCTCTCTTTTATTTTCTCCTCTAATTTAGTGAATTCTACTGTTTTTGTTTTATTTTCTTCTACTCTTTCTTGTTATTCTTCATTTCTTTTCTAACTTCTTGAGTGGGATGCTTAGTGTATTTTTCTGTGCTGTTTATTTTCCTTTAGGTAAGAGAATTAAAGTTTGAAAGGCACATCAATGACACATCAGTTGCATTCCATCGCTTCTGAGCTGTGCATCTGAGTTCCAAGGAGTCATGAAAGCAGCTTGAAAATGTTTTCTTCCGGAACCAAAAGTGTCTGTGTCAATACAATGGTAGGTGGGTATAAAAGAGAAAACCTCCACATGGGAAGCCCACTCTGTTCTCCTCCACTCTCTGCAGGTGAATTTGGAAAGAAGAACTGACATTCTGAATACTTTTCAGAAAGTATCCAGGCACTGGAGAGCTGGAAGCAAGAAGAAGATGCCATCGGATCCTAAACAGGGAATCCAGTAATTTGTTGAAAATGAAAACAGTCTGGGGGAAGTGTGTCCCTTCAACTTTGTACTCAAAGTATCTCCAACCACATGGCAAAATTACCTAACTTGGCACAAATAAATCCCATGTGGGAAGAAGACAGTCCCAAGGGGCAGAAGTCATCAGGCCTGCATTTTTGCACATGGTTTAGACTAATCTCTGACAATTCCCCTTGCATCCCAGGCACCTCTGGGCAGAGGATTGGGTGCATGGCTTAAGCAGGCTTGGAAGAACAGGGGACTAGGGCAAAGAGGCCTGGGGAAGGGGCCTGGGTGGAGTGCACTGAGTCAAAGATGGTAACTTGGCCTGTTCTCCCTGAAGGAGAGGAGTGAGGAGGATCTTCTCAGCCTGAGTACACACCTGTTTTGTCTTTTAGGCCAAAGAAAGGACCTCAATAGCCTCAGGGAGTTGGTTCTAGGACTTCCACTAATACCAGAATCCAAGAATGCTCAAGTACCTTATGTAAAATGATGCAACATTTCCATACCACCTAAGCATGTCCTCCCATACACTTTAAACCATCTACCATCACTACTTTACTTAATACAGTGTTACTGTTATAAAAATTGTTGATAAACAGTATCTTTTTTTGTTTGCTTGTTTAGACACAGGTTCTCACTGTCACTGAGGCTGGAGTGCAGTAGCACCATCAAAGAGAGAGGTGAAGCCAGATGGGCTTCCTGGGTCAAGTGGGAATTGAAGACACAAATAAGGGAATAAAAGTTAGCCACCCCAGCCAGCAGTGGCAACCCACTTTGGTCCCCTTCCACGATGTCGAAGCGTTATTCTTTCACTCCTCACAGTAAATTTTGCTGTGGCTCACTCTTTGAGTCTGTGCCATCTTTAAGAACTCTAACACTCACTGCAAAGGTCCGCAGCTCCATTCTTGAAGTCAGCGAGACCATGAACCCACTGGAAGGAACAAACTGTTGACACATCTTGGAGACCAGAAAGGGACTATGACCAAGCGGTGAGTACCATTTGACCCCTTTCAATTGCTATTCTGTCCTATTTTTCCTTAGAATTTGGGGGTTAAAATTCAGGCACTATCAGCCAGTTAAAAGGAATTAGCTTGGCCACCAGACTAAAGACACGGGTGTCAGGCTTTCTGGGAAAAGGCTCTTTTACAACTCCCGAGTCTTCAGAGTTGGGAGTGTTAGTTTGCCTGGAACCAGCTTCCCATTTTCTTGCATTTCCAGGCTGAGCCAAGGGTTGACAGAGAGGAAAGCCATTCAGTTCCAGGGTACTGACAAAAAGTTCGTTGACCCCGTAGCCATGAGCAGATCTCTCAAAGTCATGTCACCCAAGCAAGACTCACCCAACTATCCTATCTATCCTGACTCTTGCCTCCTGGGTCCTAACGCCTGTAAGATACACTTCCTCACACCTCTCTTCTCCGAGGCTAGTCCTACTTCTAAAAACCACTCCCTGTCATTGGTGCTTTTCTAGTTTCTCCTATATGAATGATTTCTGTTATAAATTTCTTTTTTTATTATATTATTATTTTACTTTAAGTTTTAGGGTACATGTGCACAATGTGCAGGTTAGTTACATATGTATACATGTGCCATGCTGGTGTGCTGCACCCATTAGCTCGTCATTTAGCATTAGGTATATCTCCTAAAGCTATCCCTCCCTCCTCCACCCACCCCACAACAGTCCCCAGAGTGTGATGTTCCCCTTCCTGTGTCCATGTGATCTCATTGTTCAATTCCCACCTATGAGTGAGAATATGTGGTGTTTGGATTTTTATTCTTGCGATAGTTTACTGAGAACGATGATTTCCAATTTCATCCATGTCCCTATAAAGGACATGAACTCATCATTTTTTATGGCTGCATAGTATTGCATGGTGTATATGTGCCACATTTTCTTAATCCAGTCTATCACTGTTGGACATTTGGGTTGGTTCCAAGTCTTTGCTATTGTGAATAGTGCCACAATAAACATACATGTGCATGTGTCTTTATAGCAGCATGATTTACAGTCCTTTGGGTATATACCCAGTAATGGGATGGCTGGGTCAAATGGTATTTCTAGTTCTAGATCCCTGAGGAATCACCACACTGACTTCCACAATGGTTGAACTAGTTTACAGTGCCACCAACAGTGTAAAAGTGTTCCTATTTCTCCACATCCTCTCCAGCACCTGTTGTTTCCTGACTTTTTAATGATTGGCATTCTAACTGATGTGAGATGGTATCTCATTGTGGTTTTGATTTGCATTTCCCTGATGGCCAGTGATGCTGAGCAATTTTTCATGTGTTTTTTGACTGCATAAATGTCTTCTTTTGAGAAGTGTCTGTTCATATCCTTCGCTCACTTTTTGATGAGGTTGTTAGTTTTTTTCTTGTAAATTTGTTTGAGTTCACTGTAGATTCTGAATATTAGCCCTTCGTCAGATGATTAGGTTGTGAAAATTTTCTCCCATTTTGTAGGATACCTGTTCACTCTGTTGGTAGTTTCTATTGCTGTGCAGAAGCTCTTGAGTTTAATTAGATCCCATTTGTCAATTTTGGCTTTTGTTGCCATTGCTTTTGGTGTTTTAGACATGAAGTCCTTGCCCATGCCTATGTCCTGAATGGTAATGCCTATGGTTTCTTCTAGGGTTTTTATGGTTTTAGGTCTAACGTTTAAGTCTTTAATCCATCCTGAATTAATTTTTGTATAAGGTGTAAGGAAGGGATCCAGTTTCAGCTTTCTACATATGGCTAGCCAGTTTTCCCAGCACCATTTATTAAATAGGGAATCCTTTCCCCATTGCTTGTTTTTCTCAGGTTTGTCAAAGTTCAGATGGTTGTAGATATGTGGTGTTATTTCTGAGGGCTCTGTTCTGTTCCATTGATCTGTGTCTCAGTTTTGGTACCAGTACCATGCTGTTTTGGTTAATGTAGCCTTGTAGTACAGCTTAAAGTCAGGTAGTGTGATGCCTCCAGCTTTCCTCTTTTGGCTTACAATTGACTTGATGATGTGGGCTCTTTTTGGTTCCATATGAACTTTTAAGTAGTTTTTTCCAGTTCTGTGAAGAAAGTCATTGGTAGCTTGATGGGGATGACATTGAATCTATAAATTACCTTGGGCAGTATGGCCATTTTCATGATATTGATTATTCCTACACATGAGCATGGAATGTTCTTCCATTTGTTTGTATCCTCTTTTATTTCCTTGAGCAGTGGTTTGTAGTTCTCCTTGAAGAGGTCCTTCACGTCTCTTGTAAGTTGGATTCCTAGGTATTTTATTCCCTTTGAAGCAATTGTGAATCGGAGTTCACTCATGATTTGGCTCTCTGTTTGTCTGTTATTGGTGTATAAGAATGCTTGTGATTTTTGCACATTGATTTCGTATGCTGAGACTGCTGAAGTTGCTTATCAGCTTAAGGAGATTTTGGGTTGAGACAATGGGGTGTTCTAGATATACAATCATGTCATCTGCAAACAAGGATAATTTGGCTTCCTCTTTTCCTAATTGAATACCCTTTATTTCCTTCTCCTGCCTAATTGCCCTGGACAGAACTTCCAACACTATGTTGAATAGTAGTGGTGAGAGAGGGCATCCCTGTCTTGTGCCACTTTTCAAAGGGAATGCTTCCAGTTTTTGTCCATTCAGTATGATATTGACTGTGGCTTTGTCATAGATAGCTTTTATTATTTTGAGATATGTCCCATCAATACCGAATTTATTGAGAGTTTTTAGCATGAAGCATTGTTCAATTTTGTCAAAGACCTTTTCTGCATCTATTGAGATAATCATGTGGTTTTTGTCTTTGGTTCTCTTTATATGCTGGATTACATATATTGATTTGCGTATATTGAATGAGACTTGCATCCCAGGGATGAAGCCCACCTGATCATGGTGAATAAGCTTTTTGATGTGCTGCTGGATTTGGTTTGCCAGTATTTTATTGAGGATTTTTGCATCAATGTTCATGAAGGATATTGGTCTGAAATTCTCTTTTTTGGTTGTGTCCCTGCCTGGCTTTGGTATCAGGATGATGCTGGCATCATAAAATGAGTTAGGGAGGATTCCCTCTTTTTCTATTGATTGGAATAGTTTCAGAAGGAATGGTACCAGTTCCTCCTTGTACTTCTGGTAGAATTCGGCTGTGAATCCATATGGTCCTGGACTCGTTTTTGTTGGTAAGCTATTGATTATTGCCACAATTTCAGAGCCTGTCATTGGTCTATTCAGAGATTCACCTTCTGTCTGCTTTAGTCTTGAGAGGGTGTATGTGTCAAGGAATTTATCCGTTTCTTCTAGATTTTCTAGTTTATTTGCATAGAGGTGTTTGTAGTATTCTCTGATGGTAGTTTGTATTTCTGTGGGATCGGTCGTGATATCCCCTTTATCATTTTTTATTGCATATATTTGATTCTTCTCTCTTTTTTCTTTATTTTGCTAGAGTTCTATCAGTGTTGTTGATCCTTTCAAAAAACCAGTTCTTGGATTCATTAATTTTTTGAAGGGTTTTTTTATGTCTCTATTTCCTTCAGTTCTGCTCTGATTTTAGTTATTTCATGTCTTCTGCTAACTTTTGAATGTGTTTGCTCTTGCTTTTCTAGGTCTTTCAATTGTGATATTAGGGTGTCAATTTTGGATCTTTCCTGCTTTGTGTTGTGTGCATTTAGTGCTATAAATTTCCCTCTACACACTGCTTTAAAAGTGTCCCAGAGATTCTGGTATGTTGTGTCTTTTTTCTCATTGGTTTTAAAGAGCATCTTTATTTCTGCCTTCATTTCATTATATACCCAGTAGTCGTTCAGGAGCAGGTTGTTCAGTTTGCATGTAGTTGAGTGGTTTAGAGTGAGTTTCTTAATCCTGAGTTCTAGTTTGATTGCTCTGTTGTCTGAGAGACAGTTTGTTATAATTTCTGATCTTTCACATTTGCTGAGGAGAGCTTTACTTCCAACTATGTGGTCAATTTTGGAATAGGTGTGGTGTGGTGCTGAAAAAAAAATGTATATTCTGTTGATTTGGGGTGGAGAGTTCCGTAGATGTCTATTAGGTCCACCTGGTGCAGAGGTGAGTTCAATTCCTGGGTATCCTTATAAACTTTCCTTCTTGTTGATCTGTCTAATGTTGGCAGAGGGGTGTTAAAGTCCTGCGCTATTATGGTGTGGGAGTCTAAGTCTCTTTGTAGGTCACTCAGGACTTGCTTTATAATCTGGGTGCTCCTGTATTGGGTGCATATATATTTAGGATAGTTAGCTCTTCTCATTGAATTGATTCCTTTACCATTATGTAATGGCCTTCTTTGTCTCTTTTGATCTTTGTTGGTTTAAAGTCTGTTTTATCAGAGACTAGGATTGCAACCCCTACCTTTTTTTATTTTCCATTTGTTTGGTAGATCTTCCTCCATCCTTTTATTTTGAGCCTATATGTGTCTATATATGTGAGATGGGTTTCCTGAATACAACACACTGATGAGTCTTGACTCTTTATCCAATTTGCCAGTCTGTGTCTTTTAATTGGAGCATTTAGTCCATTTACATTTAAAGTTAATATTGTTATGTGGGAATTTGATCCTGTCGTTGTGATGTTAGCTGGTTATTTTGCTCTTTAGTTGATGCAGTTTCTTCCTAGCCTCGATGGTCTTTACAACTTGGCATGATTTTGCAGTGGCTGGTACCACTTGTTCCTTTCCATGTTTAGCGCTTCCTTCAGGAGCTCTTTTAGGGCAGGCCTGGTGGTGACAAAATCTCTCAGCATTTGCTTGTCTGTAAAGTATTTTATTTCTCCTTCACTTATAAAGCTTAGTTTGGCTGGATATGAAATTCTGGATTGAAAATTCTTTTCTTTATAAATGTTGAATATTGGCCCCCACTCTCTTCTGGCTTGTAGAGTTTCTGCCGAGAGATCCTCTGTTAATCTGATGGGCTTCCCTTTGTTGGTAACCCAACCTTCCTCTCTTGCTGCCCTTAACAATTTTTCCTTCATTTCAACTTTGGTGAATCTGACAGTTATGTGTCTTGGAGTTGCTCTTCTCAAGGATTATCTTTGTGATGTTCTTTGTATTTCCTGAATCTGAATGTTGGCCTGCCTTGCTAGATTGGGGAAGTTCTCCTGGATAATATCCTGCAGAGTGTTTTCTAACTTGTTTCCATTCTCTCCATCACTTTCAGGCACACCAATCAGACATAGATTTGGTCTTTTCACATAGCCTCATATTTCTTGGAGGCTTTGTTCATTTCTTTTTATTCTTTTTTCTCTAAGCTTCCCTTCTTGCTTCATTTCATTCATTTCATCTTCCATCATGATACCCTTTCTTCCAGTTGATCACATCAGCTCCTGAGGCTTCTGCATTCTTCACATAGTTCTCGAGCCTTGGCTTTCAGCTCCATCAGCTTAAGCACTTTGTTGTGTTGGTTATTCTAGTTATGCATTCGTCTATATTTTTTTCAAAGTTTTCAACTTCTTTGCCTTTGGTTTGAATTTCCTCCTGTAATTCAGAGTAGTTTGATGGTCTGAAGACTTCTCCTCTCAACTCGTCAAAGTCATTCTCCATCCAGCTTTGTTCCATTGCTGGTGAGGAGCTGTGTTCTTTGGAGGGGGAGAGGCACTCTGCTTTTTAGAGTTTCCAGGTTTTCTGCTCTGTTTTTTCCCCATCTTTGTGGTTTTATCTATTTTTGGTCTTTGATGATGGTGATGTACAGATGGGCTTTTTGTGTGGATGTCCTTTCTGTTTGTTAGTTTTCCTTCTACCACACAGTACCCTCAGCTGCAAGTCTTTTGGAGTTTGCTAGAGGTGCACTCCATCTGTTGATTGGAATAGTTTCAGAAGGAATGGTACCAGTTCCTCCTTGTACTTCTGGTAGAATTTGGCTGTGAATCCATCTGGTCCTGGACTCATTTTGGTTGGTAAGCTATTGATTATTGCCACAATTTCAGAGTCTGTTATTGGTCTATTCAGAGATTCACCTTCTGTCTGGTTTAGTCTTGAGAGGGTGTATGTGTCGAGGAATTTATCTGCCTCCAATAAGTCAAATATCTAGGCCTAATCTTAGCCAGAGGAACCAGGATCTAATTAAACTCAAGAGCTTCTGCACAGCAATAGAAACTACCACCAGATGCCACAGAAATACAAACTACCATCAGAGAATACTACAAACACCTCTATGCAAATAAACTAGAAAATCTAGAAGAAATGGATAAATTCACTATCACCAGAGTGAACAGGCATCCTACAAAATGGGAGAAAATTTTCACACCTCCCAGGGCCCTCAGCAAGGAATGAATACAGCCTATACTGGCTTATCCTAGCCCCAAGACATTAAAACAGTTGCAAGTGTTCCTTCGAATCACGGGCTTTTGCCAACTATGGATCCATAAATACAGTGAGATGGCCAGGCCCCTCTACTCTAACCAAGGAGACTCAGAGGGCAAATACTCATCTAGTAGAATGGGAACCAGAGGCAGAAACAGCCTTCAAAACCTTAAAGCAGTCCCTAGTACAAACTCCAGGCTTAAGACTTCCAACAGGAAAAAACTTCTCTTTATACATCACAGAGAGAGCAGGAATAGCTCTTGCAGTACTTTCTCAGACTTGTGGGACAATCCCACAACCAGTGGCATACCTAAGTAAGGAAATTGATATAGTAGCAAAAACCTGGCCTCACTGTTTATGGGTATTTGTGGCGGTGGCTGTCTTAGTGTCAGAGGCTACCAAAATAATAACAAGGAAAAGATCTCACTGTCTGGACTACTCATGATGTAAATGCCATACTAGGTGCCAAGGTAGTTTATGGCTATCTGACAACCACCTGCTTAGATAACAGGCACTACTCTTTGAGGGACTTGTGCTTCAGATATGCACATGTGTGTCCCTTAACCCTGCCACTTTTCTCCCAGAGGATGGAGAATCAATCGAGTATGACTGCCAACAAATTATAGTCCAGATTTATGCCACCCAAGATCCTCTCTTAGAAGTCCCCTTAGTCAATCCTGACCTTAACCTATATACCAATGGAAGTTCATTTGTGGAGAATGGGATACAAAGGCAGGTTATGCCATAGTAATGTAACAGTACTTGAAAGTAAGCCTCTTCCCCCAGGGATGAACTCCCAGTTAGCAGAACTAGTGGCACTAACCTGAGCCTTATTATTGGGAAAGCAAAAAAGAATAAATGTGTATACAGATAGAGAGCAAGTATGCTTATCTAATCCTACATGCCCATGCTGCAATATGAAAAGAAAGGGCGTTCTTAACCTCTGAGGGAACCCCCATTAAGTACCACAAGGGAATCATGGAGTTATTGCACACAGTACAAAAACCCAAGGAAGTGGCTCTCTTACACTGCTGAAGCCATCAAAAAGGGGAAGGAGAGGGGAGAAGAGCAGCATAAGCAGCTGGCAGAGTCAGGGAAAGACCAGCAGAGAAGAAAGAAAGAGAGAAAGAGAGAGATGGAATTAGTAAGGAAAAAACAGCATACCCAATTTATTTAAAAGCCAGGGTAAATTTAAAACCTATAATTGATAATTGAAGGTCTTCTCTGTAATCCTATAACACTCTAGTGCCACCTTGTTGTCAGTGTAAACAAGGGTGCAGCCCAAAAGCACTGTGGCCATTGACAACCAATAGCTTTCCTATCAAAAATCCTTAACGCAGCATGTTTCCTAACCCAGGCTCTACATATTAATTAATTACCATACAAAGGTCTGACCAGACCTAGGAGGTGCTCCTTTCAGGACAGGAGGATAGATGGTTCCTCCTGGACTATTTAGGGAAAATGACACTATGTATATTGAGTAAGTGATAAGGAAACTCTTTTAGAAGCAGAGTTAGGAAAATTGCCTAATAATTGATCTGCTCAAACGTGAGAGCTGTTTGCACTCAGCCAAACCTTAACATACATACAGAATCAGGGAAGAGACATCTATACCAATTCTAAGTTAATATGGACTGAATGAGGTCTTATTAATAGCAAAGAATAATTGAAATCTCACACTTACAAGGTTTTCAACAAAAGTAAAGTTTGCTAAAAGTTAACAGCGTAACATGTATTATCCTAACATAATCTTATGGAAATCAGACCCTATCAGTGCCCCTCAAAGCTCAAGTCCATCATCACAGAGCCATACAACTAATACCCTTACTTATAGGATTAGGAATGGCCAGTGCTACAGGAAACTGAATAGCAGGTTTATCTACTTCATTATCCTAGTACCACACACTCTCAAAGGATTTCTCAGACAGTTTGCAAGAAATAACAAAATCTATCCTTACTTTATAATCTCAAATAGACTGGCAGCAGTGACTCTCCAAAACCACCAAGGCCTAGACCTCCTCACTGCTGAGAAAGGAGGACTTTGCACTTTCTTTGGGCCTTTGGGCAAGGGTATTGTTTTCACACTAAGCAGCCAGGGACAGTACAAGTTGCCACCTGGCATTTACTGATAAAGGCTTCTGAAATCAGACAATGCCTTTCAAACTCTTATATTGACCTTTAGGGTTGGGCAACAAAGCTTTTCCCCTTTCTAGGTCATGACAGCCATCTTGCTATTACTTGCTTTCCGACCCTGTATTTTTAAACTCCTTATCAGATTTGTTTTCTCTAGGATCAAGGCCATTGAGCTACAGATGGTCTTACAAATGGAATCCAAAATGAGCGCAACTCATAACTTCTACCCATGACCTGTGGTTCAACCCACTGACCCTTTGGCCTAAAAAATTCCCCTCTGGAGGACACTAAAACTGCAGGGCCCCTTCTTTGCCCCTATCCAGCAGGCAGTAGCTACAGCGGTCATCACTCGATTCCCAACAGCAGTTGGGATGTCCTGTTAAGAGGGGGAATTGAGAGGTGAAGCCAGCTGGACTTCTTGGGTCAAATAGGGATTTTGGGAACTTTTCAGTAGCTAGCCAGAGGTGTGTAAAATGCACCAAACAGTGCTCTGTAAAATGGACGAATCGGCACTCTGTAAAATGGATTAATCATCACTTGGTAAAATGGATGAATCAGCCCTCTTTAAAATGGGCCAGTCATCAGGACATGGACAGGGACAAATAAGGGAATAAAAGCTGGCCACCCCAGCCAGCAGTGGAAACCTGCTCGGGTCCCATTCCACGCTGTGGAAACTTTTTTCTTTCACTCCTCACAATAAAATTTGCTGCTTGTCACTCTTTATGTTTGTGCCATCTTTAAGAGCTGTAACACTCACCTCAAAGGTCCGAGGCTCCGTTCTCGAAGTCAGGGTGACCACAAATCCACTCTCAGGAAAAAATTCTGAACACAATAGCTCATTGTAGCCTCCAACTCCTGTACTCAAATGATCCTCCCTGCTCAGCTTCCTGAGTAGCTGGGACTCAGTGGCAGATATCACCACTTCTGGCTAATTTTTTGAATGTAATTTTTGTACAGAGAGGATCTCACTATATTTTCATGCCTCAGCCTCACAAGCATCTGGTAGCACATGCCTGGGATATATATATATTTATTTTATTATATTATATATATTTTTATTATACTTTAAGTTTTAGGGTACATGTGCACACCGTGCAGGTTTGTTACATATGTATACCTATACCATGTTGGTGTGCTGCGCCCATTAATTCATCATTTACATTAGATATATTTATATCTATGTATCTATCTATCTATCTACCTATCTATACAGTATTTCTAGGAATGATGGAGTTTGTCATATTGGCCAGGCTGGCCTCGAATTCATGACTTCAAGTGATCCATCCACTTTGGCCTGCAAAGTCCTGGGACAACAAGTGTGAGCCACTGTGCTTGGCCATATATTCCATCTTTTCATACAGCTGTGAGTGGGGCAAGTTCCTTGTTAATTATTTTTTCCTATCAATATTGCTTTCAACATCACCTGAGCACTAATTATTTGAAGATGTAACCATTTGTGCATTTATCTAATTTCTGCAACAAAGCAGCCTCTTTCTCTGCTTGCACAAAGAGCAGACATAAAGAATGAAATAGCGCAACCTTGGGGGAAATACCTCCTGGAGAGACTCCTGATATTCATTCCTCTCTTTTTCCAATGCATTGCTCCTTGGACACAACACTTGGCTTCTTGGAGTCAGGATACCATGCCCCTCACTTCCTTGCAGCTGGAAGGACTTGGGACCCAGATGTCTGGTGCATAATGAAAAAAAGTATTGCCCTGGGACATCTTCCAGAGGCCTCTTAGGAAGAACTGCTTCACATCTTTTCTATTTGTCTACATTTTATTTTATTTGTAGGGTGGGGGTCTCACTTTGTTGCCCAGGCTGTTGTTGAACTTTGAGATCAAGTGGTCCTCCTGAGTCAGTCTCCTAAATAGCTAGGACTACAGTGTGCACCACCATGCCCAGCTAATTTTATTATTTTGTGTGTATGCATGTGTAGGGATGGGATTTCACTTTGTGCCCAGGCTGGTGTCAAACATCTCAGCTCAAGTGGTCTCCCTTCTCAGCCTCCTGAGTAGCTAGGACTATGAGCTTGCACCACCATGTCTAATGGCTAATTTTACTATTATTGTGTGTGTGTGTAGAGACGGGAATCTGTTATGTTGTCCAGGCTGGTCTTGAAATCTTAAGCTCAAGCAATCCTTCCACCTAAGCCTCCCAAAGTGCTGGTATTATAGATGTGAAACATTGTACCCTGAGTCAACTTTTTCTATTGGCCCACTTCTATCCTCCCATCAGAAAGAGGGACACCACCTTGGGCCAACAGAACCAAGACTAGCCTCCCTCCCCCAGTGGTGGATCACTCAGGAGGCTTTGGTCTGCATGCCTGGGGACTGGCATGGGCAGGAGAAGGGTGAAACACATATATATCTTTTTTGCAACACTGTTCATTTGGATTTCTGTGTTTCACAGATGAACTTTTATTATTATTATTATTATTATTATTATTATATTGTATATATACATACTATATATATAATAATATAATATATTATATATATTATTATAATGCTTTACATTCTGGGTTACATTTGAAGAACATGCAGGTTTGTTACATAGGTATACATGTGTCAAGGTGGTTTGCTGCACCCATCAGCCCATCATCTACCTTAGGTATTTCTCCTAATGCTATCTGTCACCAGCCTCTCCATCCCCTGACAGGCCCCTGTGTATGATGTTCCCCTCTATATATCCATGTGTTCTCATTATTCACCTCCCACTTATGAGTGAGAACATGCAGTGTTTGATTTTCTGTTCTTGTGTTGGTTTGCTGAGAATGATGGTTTCCAGCGTGATCCATGTCCCTGCAAAGGACATGAACTCATCCTTTTTTATGGGTGCATAGTATTTCTTGTGGTATATGTGCCACGTATCCTTTATCCAGTCTGTCATTGATAGGTTGGTTCCAAGTCCTTGCTGTTGTGAACAGTGCCGCAATAAACATACATGTGCCTATGTCTTTATAGTAGAATGATTTATAATTCTTTGGGTATATACCCAGTAATGGGATTACTGGGTCAAATGGTATTTCTAGTTCTAGATCCTTGAGGAATCGTCACACTGTCTTCCACAATGGTTGAACTAATTTACACTCCAGCAACAGTGTAAACACCTTCCTATTTCTCCACATCCTCTCCAGCATCTGTTGTTCTCTAACTTTTTAATGATTGTCATTCTAACCGCTGTGAGATGGTATCACATTGTTTTTTTAATTTGCATTTCTCTAAAGACCCATGATTATGAGCTCTTTTTCATATGCTTACTGACTGCATAAATGTCTTCTTTTGAGAAGTGTCTGTTCATATGCTTCACCAAATTTTTAATGGGGGTGTTTTTTTTCTTTTAAATTTGTTTAAGTTCTTTGCAGATTCTGGCTATTAGCCCTTTGTCAGATGGGTAGATTGCACAAAATTTCTTCCATTCTGTAGGTTACCTGTTCACTCTGATGATAGTTTCTTTGGCTGTGCAGAAGCCCTTTAGTTTAATCAGATGCCATTTGTCAATTTTGGCTTTTTCTTTGCCTTTGCTTTTGGTGTTTTAGTCATGAAGACTTTGACCATGCCTATGTCCTGAATGGTATTGCTTAGGTTTTCTTCTAGGATTGTTATGGTTTTAGGTCTTACATTTAAAGCCCTAATCCATCTTCAGGCATATTATAATTTTTGTATAAGGCGTAAGGAAGGGATCCAGTTTCAGCTTTCTGCTTATGGCTAACAAGATTTCCCAACACCATTTATTATATTGGGAGTCTTTTCTCCATTGCTTGTTCTTGTCATGTTTGTCAAAGGAACTGAATCTTAATGGAGGTGGGACTCCCTATCCATTTTGCAAATGTTTGCAGTAAAATAACATTTTGGTTAATGCACAGGGCATTGCATTTATAACAGTAAGAAGTGTGGTATGAAGGTGCAGTGGTGAAAGACAGGTGAGCATTCACATGTGATAAAATCTTTATCTGAACCAGAGATAAAGTCGAGAATAGTAACAGGTGGATTATGAGTTTCCCTGTTCCTTGATGCTCTCTTCTGTCCACTGGGCTTCTCCTACATGCCACAGAAGCCACCTGAATCCACACTACCTCACCCCATCTCCATCCCACCTCACTGCCTTCTCTCTCTCTTTTTTCCTTGATAAATGGTTCCAACCCATCACCCAGGCTGGATGTGACCATGGCTCACTGCAGCCTCCTCCTTCCAGGCTCAAGCAATTCTCCCACCTCAGCTTCCTGATTAGCTAGGACTACAGGCATGTACTGCAATATCTGGCTTATTATTTATTTATTTATTTTTTTGGATATAGTGTCTCACTCTATCACCCAGGCTGAAGTGCAAGGATATGATTTTGGCTCACTGCTGCCTCAACCTCCCAGGCTCAGGTGATACTCCTACATCAGCCTCCCAAGTAGTTGAGACCACAGAAGGATGCAACCACAGCTGGCAAATTTTGTTTATTTTTCAGTAGGGATAGGGTCTCACCATTTTGTCCAGGCTCCCACTGTGTTTTCATGTGGTCCTTGAGTGGGTATAAGTTTCAGCCTTCATGCATATTTCAACAAATTGCAAATGTTTACATTTTTGTACTGTATGGATGCCACTCCAAAGATTTGCAAAAAACTGATCTGGAAATGCAGACAGGGTTGACCACCTGGAGTAATTGTCATGCCATTTCTTGTTCCCTTCTCCCAATTAAAGCCTACCCAGTCTGGGCCAATAACTGAATCAAAGACCTATACATGTAACAATGTCTTTTTATTTTATCTTCTTTTATTTGTGTTATAAATAGAGACAGGGTCTCACCATGTTGCCCAAGCTGGTCCTGAGCTCCTGGCCTCAGACAATTATCCTTCCTGGTCACCCAAAGTGTTAGGATTACAGGTGTGAGCCACTGCTCATAGCCAATCTCTCTCTCTCTCTCTCTCTCTTTTTTTTTTTTTTAATTTGAGATGGAGTCTTGCTCTTGTTGCCCAGGCTGGAGTGCAATGGTGCGATCTTGGCTCACTGCAACCTCTGCCTCCCAGGTACAAGTGATTCCCCTCCCTCAGCCTCCTGAGTAGATGGGATTACAGACACCCGCCATCACACCTAGCTATTTTTAGTATTTTTAGTAGATATGGGGTTTCACCATGTTGGCTACTCTGGTCTCAAACTCCTGATCTTGTGATCCATCCACCTTGGCATCCCAAAATGCTGGGATTATAGGCATGAGCAACCACACCTGGCACAATATGTCTATTTTTAAAGATGCTCATACATATTTATTTTAAAAGTTTGCAGAATGAGAAATGAAAACATATTTCCATGCAAAAACTTGGACACAAATGTTCTTAGCAGCACTATTCACAATCGTTTTCAAAAGATGGAAACAACATAATTGTCTGTTAATAGATGAACTGGATAAACAAAATACAGTCTATGCAATGGAATAATATTCAGCCATTACAAATGAATAAAGTTCTTATTCATTCTAAAATGTGGATGAACCTTGAAAACAACACGCTTAGTGAGAGAAGCCAGAAACAAATGGTCACATAGCATAGGATTCCATTTATATAAATGTCCATGGCAGGCCGATCCATAGGGACAGAAAGTTGATTGCTGGTTGCTAGAGACTGAGAAGGAGGAATAGAGAGTGAGTGCTTAATGGGTACCAGATCTCTTTTGGGCGTGATGAAAATGTTCCAGAACTAGATAAAAGTGATTTTTGAACAAGTCTGTGAAAAGGCTGATAGTCGTTACACTACACCATTTAACAAAGTGAATTGTATACTATTAACATTACTGGTCTGGTCCCAGTACAGACCCCAAGAGAGGTTTCTTGGACTTCAAGTGAGGAAGAATTCATGAAAACTCCACAGAGTAAAGTGAAAGCAAATTTATTAAGAATGTAAGGGAATTAATGAATGGCTACTCCATAGGCAAAGCAGCAGCATGAGCTGCTCACTGACAATTTTTATGTTACTTATTGATTATATGCTAAACATGGCCTATATTATTCATGAGTTTTCCAGGAAAGGGGTGGGCAATTCCTGGAACTGGAGGTTCCTCCCCAACTTTAGACCATATGGGGTAACTTTCTGACATTGTTATGGCATTTGCAATCTCTCATAGCACTGGTGGGAGTGTCTTATAGCATGCTAATACATTATAATTAGCATATAATGAGCAGTGGGCACTACCAGGGGTCACTCTCATCACCATCTTGGCTTTGGTGGGATTTGGCTGGTTTCTTTGTTGCATTCTGTTTTATCAGCAAGGTCTTTATCAGTGGCAGAAGAAGGTGCAGGTGTTTTGTCCATCGTATGTCCAGGCTCAGGTTGCTGCTTCAGAAGGCATCATTCTCCTAGGGAGTCAGGAATTCAACCTTGGGGTTATTCTTGAAAAGCATCCTTGGCTCTCAGCCATGAAGTTAGTTCAGTGTTGAACTTCACCCCTAGAGTTTCTGACCCAGCAAATCTAGAAGTAACCCAAGAATCTGCATTTTGAAGATATCACCAGGTGCCACTGTTGCTGGTGGTCTTTGAGAATTGCCCAAATCTAAGGTTCTGTGCTACATTTATCACCCAAGGGGAAAGGTTGGTCTTTCAAGTGGAAACCAAACCTGAAGGCATCATGTCATCCAGGTATTCAGGAAGTAGATAAAAGAGAGAGGGCAGAAAGACAGCTAGAGAGTAGCTGTCCAGTAGAGTGGAAAAAATTGACATGCACATTATGAATGAATAAGCTGCTTCTGCAAACATAGCAGAAGAGTCAGAGACAGGCATGTTCACAAGGCCTGTGGTTAGTGATCGTTGGATGTTAAAGATTGTTTTTTTCTCTAATAGAGACACAATCTTGCTCTGTCACTCAGGATGGAGTACAGTCGCACCATCATAGCTCAATGTAGCCTCAAATTCTTGAGCTGAAGAAATCCTCCCACCTCAGTTTCCTGAGTAGCTAAGCGAACAGGTATGCATCACCATGCCTGGCTACTATTTTATTTTATTTATTTATTTATTTTTATTTTGTGTAGAGTCGGGATCTTGTTATTTTGTCCAGGCT
Organism: Homo sapiens; assembly: GCF_000001405.40. Classification (NCBI taxonomy): domain Eukaryota; kingdom Metazoa; phylum Chordata; class Mammalia; order Primates; family Hominidae; genus Homo; species Homo sapiens. Next base: position 19,228,899 of record NC_000024.10, read on the forward strand.
GATCTCAAATTCCTAGCCTCAAGCCATTATTTCATCTTGGCCCTTGGGATTATAGGCATGGACCACCTTGCCTGGCCAAATTCAGGATTTTAAAGAAAATCATCACAAATTTCTATTGCCTGTTGACATAGTCTTATATTCACTTCTCATCCTCAACTTTCCAGTTTTGTGCTCCATGAAGTCAATCCTGGTGGGTACTGGTAATGAAGCCTTTTCCCATCACATGACCAAGAAGATCTAGAATCTAAAATTCCCAAATGCACCCTCAACCATCTGCATGGGACCTTCAGCTTGCCTGAGAGCTAGACTCTAGCAACTCCATGGAGGACATGGGACTCCAGTTCCCACTTAATATTCTGAATCTCTGCTGTATGCTGTGCTATAATCCCAGTACTTTGGAAAGCTGAAGCAGGGTGATGGCTTGAGCACAGATATTCAACACTCCAGCAAGCTGCAATAGCACCACTGTATTCCAGCCTGGGAAACAAAGGAAGTCCCTGTTGAAAACAAATCTGAGTCTAGGCCAGGTGCAGTGGTGGCTCTCAGCCATAATCCCAATACTTTGGGAGTCCAAGCTGAGCAGGTGACCTGAGGTCAGGAGTTTGAGACCAGCTGGCCAACATGTTGAAACCCAGTCTCTACTAAAAATTCAAAAATTAACTGGGTGTAGTGGCACCTGCCTGTAATCCCAGCTACTTGGGAGGCTGAGACAGGAGAATTGCTTGAATCTGGGAAGCAGAAGTTGTAGTGAGCTGAGATTGTGCCATTGCACTCTAGCCTGGATGACAAGAGGGAAACTCTGTCTTAAAAAAAAAAAATCTGAATCTGACTCTCGCGTGGAAAACTAACTCTGATCATTCATTGCCTTTTTTTTTTTTTTATTTGACAGAGTCTTGCTCTGTTGCCCAGGCCAGAGTGCAGTGGCATCATCTCAGCTCACTACAACTTCTGCCTCCTAGGTTCAAGCAATTGTCCTGCCTCAGCCTCCTGAGTAGGTGGGAATACAGGCATCCACCACCATACCTGGATAATCTTTGTATCTTTAGTAGATACAGGGTTTCACCATGTTGGCCAGGCTTGTCTTGAACTCTTGGCTTTTTAACTTCCTCGTGTCTTGTGAGTGGTTTTTCTCTGCAACAATCTTCCTTATTATTTGTTCTTAGCCTCACTCACAAAGACATAAGCAAATGCCCTCTCTACCACCTATACCTCTAACTTTCACAAACGATTCCACCTGGAGGAAGCCCTGGTCGCCAGTTCTAAAAACTATTCACATAATCTCCCTTTGTGCAAATGAGCTGCATGCATTTTCCACAGATGCTTTCATCAAGTACGACAGACTGGGTGACGTCCATAACAGAAAGCTACTGTTTTTACAGTTCTGGAGGCCAGAAGAAGTCTGAGCACAAAATGTCAGTGGGTTTATAGTCCCTTGGGTATATACCCAGTAATGGGATGGCTGGGTCAAATGGTATTTCCAGTTCTGGATCCCTGAGGAGTCACCACACTGATTGACAGTTGGGTGTTAATGTCTCCCATTATTATTGTGTGGGAGTCTAAGTCTCTTTGTAGTTCCGTAAGGCCTTCCTTTATGAATCTGGATCCTCCTGTATTGGGTTCATATGTATTTAAGATAGTTCGATCTTCTTGTTGTATTGATCCCTTACCATTATGTAATGGCCTTCTTTGTCTCTTTTGATCTTTGTTGGTTTAAAGTCTGTTTTATCAGAGACTAGAATTGCAACCCTTGTCTTTTTTTCTTTTCAATTTTCTTGTTAGATCTTCCTCCATTACTTTATGTTGAGCCTATGTGTGTCTCTGCACGTGAGATGGGTCTCCTGAATACAGCACACTGATGGGTCTTGACTCTTTATCTAATTTGACAGTCTGTTTCTTTTAATTGGAATATTTAGTCCATTTATATTTAAGGTTATTATTGTTATATGTGACATTGATCCTATCCTTGTGATGTTAGCTGGTTATTTTGCTCATTAGTTGATGCAGTTTCTTCCTAGCATTGACGGTCTTTACAATTTCTCTTGTTTTTGCAGGGGCTGTTACTGGTTGTTCCTTTCCATGTTTAGTGCTTCCTTCAGGAGCTCTTGTAGGGCAGGCCTGGTGGTGACAAAATCTCTCATTTGCTTGTCTGTATATGGTTTTATTTCTCTTTCACTTATGAAGCTTAGTTTGGCTGGATATGAAATTCCAAGTTGAAAATTCTTTTCTTTAAGAATGTTGAATATTGGCCCCCACTCTTTCCTGGCTGTAGAGTGTCTTTGAGTGATCCACTGTTAGTCTGATGGGTTTCCTTTCATGGGTAATCCGACCTTTCTCTCTGGTTTCCCTTAACATTTTTTCCTTCCTTTCAACTTTGGTGAATCTGACAATTATGTGTCTTGGAGCTGCTTTTCTTGAGAATTATCTTTGTGGCATTCTTTGTATTTCATGAATTTGAATGTTGGCTTGCCTTGCTAGGTTGGGGAAGTTCTCCTGGATAATATCCTGCAGAGTGTTTTCCAACTTGGTTCCATTCTCCCCATCACTTTCAGGTACACCCATCCAACATAGATTTGGTCTTTTTACATAGTCTGATATTTCTTGGAGGCTCTGTTCATTTCTTTTTACTCTTTTTTTCTCTAAAATTCTCTTCTCACTTCATTTCATTTATTTAATCTTCAATCACTGATACCCTTTCTTCCAGTTGATTGAATCAGCTATTGAAGCTTGTGCATTCATCACATAGTTCTCATGCCATGGTTTTCATCTCCATCAGGTCTTTTAAGGACTTCTCTACACTGGTTATTCTAGTCAGCCATTTGTCTGATCTCTTTTCAAGGTTTTAGCTTTTTTGCGTTGGGTTCAAACTTCCTCCTTTAGCTCAGAGAATTTTGATCATATGAGGCCTTCTTCTCTCAATTGGTCAAAGTCATTCTCCATCCAGCTTTGTTCCTTTGCTGTCAAGGAGCTGCATTCCTTTGGAGGGGGAGAGATGTTCTGATATTTAGACTTTTCAGCTTTTCTGCTCTGTTTTTTCCCCATGTTTATGGTTTTATCTACCTTTGGTCTTTGGTGATAGTGAGGTACACATGTGGTTTTGTTGTGCATGTCCTTTCTATTTGTTAGTTTTCCTTCTAACAGTCAGGGCCCTCAGCTGCAGGTCTGTTGGAGCTTGCTGGAGGTCCACTCCAGACCCTCTTTTCCTGGGTATCAGCAGCAGAGGCTGCAGAACAGTGAATATTGCTGAACAGCAAATGTTGCTTCCTGATCATTCCTCTGGAAGCTTCATCTCAGAGGGTTACCCAGCCATGTGAGTTATCAGTCTGCCCCTGCTGGGCAGTGCCTCCCAGTTAGGCTACTCGGGGTTCAGGGACCCACTTGAGGAGGCAGTGTGTCCATTCTCAGATCTCAAACTCCGTGTTGGGAGAACCTCTACTGTATTCAAAGCTGTCAGACAGGGACATTCATGTCTGCAGAGATTTCTGCTGCCTTTTGTTCAGCAGTGCTCTGCCCCGAGGTGGAGCCTACAGAGGCAGGCAGGCCACCTTGAGCTGTGGTGAGCTCCACACAGTTCAGGCTTCCTGGCTGCTTTGTTTACATACTCAAGCCTCAGCAATGACGGGCACCCCTCCCCCAGCCTCACTGCTGCCTTGCAGTTTGATCTCAGACTGCTGTGCTAGCAATGAGTGAGGCTCCGTGGGCATGGGACCCTCCAAGCCAGGTGCTGGATGTAATCTCCTGTATGTCCCATTTGCTAAGACCGTTAGAAAAGCGCAGTTTTAGGGAGGGAGTGACCCAATTTTCCAGGTGCCCTCTGTCACCCCTTCCCTTGGCTAGGAAAGGGAATTCCCTGACCCCTTGCACTTCCTGTTTGAGGTGATGCCTCACCCTGCTTCAGCTCACACTCAGTGGGTTGCACCCACTGTCCTACCCCCACTGTCTGACAAGCCAGTGAGATGAACCTGGTACTGCAGTTGGAAATGCAGAAATCGCTTATCTTCTGTGTCACTCACACTGGGAGCTGTAGACTGGAGCTGTTCCTATTTGGCCATCTTGGAACCGCGCCCCCACACACATTTTCTTTATCAAGCCTATTATTGATGGACATTTGGATTGGTTCCAAATCTTCCCTATTGTGAATAATGCCACAATAAACATACATGTGCATGTGTCTTTATAGTAGCACGATTAATAATCTTTTGAGTATATACCCAGTAATGGGAACTTTTCTGTAGACATGAGGACAGATGGTATGAAGCTCCATGTGTGCACACTTTCTATACCTTGCAAGGCAATCCAGACCTTTGCTGACCATGCAGGTTTGATCTAGCCCTCCTGTTTGCCATTCCAGGGAAGGCTGCAAGGGGAAAGCCCGGGGAATTCAAGATATGAATCACATAGGCACCTCCAGCAGAGGAGCAAGCTCCCTCCAGCCCTGCTTCTCTGGGGGAACCCCAACCTCCCTATACAGCTTCAGCCTCTCACTTGTCCCCTCCTAAAAATCATGGCCCTAAACATGCCCCAATATCACTCTTGCCCCTCCAACTGATGCCTGGTGAATTTTGCCCCAGGAAGGTCCAGGTACCCTTCTCCCTATAGTACTTGAAGCAAATCCGGGGAGGTCTTGGCAAGTTTTCAGATAAGCCTGACAGATATACAGAAGCTTTCAAGAACTCACCCAAATATTTGAACTCTCCTAGAGAGATGTTATAACCCTAATGGACACTTTAAAGCAGGCCACTCTGCAAGCAGCAGAGGGATTTGGGGATGAGCATTGTATCACATGTAGCATCAAGGAAGGGGTCAAAGATTATCTAAGTGGAAGAGAAACAGTACCAGTGAATAACCCTAAGTTGGATCACAATGATGTGATGGGAGACGGGAAAAGGAGACACTTTCAGGAAAACATAATGGAGTGCTCACGTCTGACCCACACCAAGCATCTTAATTATACTAAGTTGTGTATGACTGACCAGGCATTTGATGACAAGTCCACTGCTTCCCTGGAAAAGCTAAGAGAAGCCTTGGTAAAAACTCCTCTCTATATTCTGATTCAGTTGAGGGACAGCTAATCCTAAAGGATAAATATATTACACAGGCAGCCCCTGATGTTAGGATAAAGTTGCAAAAATGGACCCTGGGACCAGATAGTACATTAGAGGACCTCCTGAAAGTGGCCACCTTTGTCTTTTACAATAGAGAAAGGTAGACACAAGAAAGAGACGGAAACTCTAATGGCCACTGTGCAAACCCCCAAGCCCCAGAATTTCCCGGGTATACCTGTTAACTACTAAATAAATGGCAAGAACAGCTACCTCTCTTCTAAGGTTTAACCACTCCTATACTAGGTTTAATTTTTTCACCAGGTGAAACAGCTCAGGGTACAATGTTATTATTTGTATATTTCCCTTCTTATCTTTGCAATCTTTCACACTGAATATTTTTCTTATATAATACACATGTTTAAGACATGAATATTTAACCTTATAAAACTTATTTTTTATCTCTTACTTAAAGGCCATCAAACTTCAAATGGTCAGGCAACTGTAGCTTCAGACAATGGCCCCCTTTGCCAGGATCCCTTGGAAGGAATCTGATTGCCATTTTCCCCAAAACAATGCCCATTGTCAATAGGAAGCAGCTAAGACCTGTTATTAACTATATTCTAATGGCAGTTAGATGTACCTCTTTAGAGAGGGAAAATGATACAGGATTGGGGGAAGGAAGTGCTGGGTAGAAAACAAGAAGTTCCCAGGTGAGGGTCCACCCTTGAGTGTGTACCTATGGACCTAAACGAGAACAGGTATTGCTCCAAAAGTTGCCTATTGGCCCACCATGTCTCCCATCCTGTGCCCATAAAAACCTGAGACCATAGCGGGAACAGACACAGACACAAAAGCAGCTGGACTTTGAGAGGAACAGAAGAAAACACTGGCAGCAACCAGCAGACACAAGAAGACACTGGCAGGCCATCAACAGCAGAAAATGTGAATGCCAATGGGAATATGGCAGGGAACAGTCAGAGGAGAGTTTGGCTGCTGGGTGACTCGACTCCAGGGGAAGACCACCTTCCCATCCCACCTGTCTTTTGGCACCCCACCCATCTCACTGAGAGCTACCTTGACCACTCAGTAAAATTTTGCATTTATCGTCCAAGTCCTCGATCTAATTTTTTTGGTATGCTGGGGGAAAAACTTGAGGTACAGAAAGCCCTCTCTCCTTGTGATGGCAGAGAGTCTAATTGAGCTGGTTAAAAAAAACCCACCTGCAGACAGAAAAGCTGGAAGTGCACAGTGTAACATATGTCCACTGGGGCTCTGAGAGCTGTAAACGTTCAAGCCTAGACATGGGGTCAGAGCCCAAAAATGTTTTCCATGATATGCTTGTCTGCATTCTCCTCCTAGGAATTGAAACAGTGGGACACTGAGGTAGCAAGCCACCCTCCTGTTACAAATTCTCTGAGGGCTATAAAGACACTTTTCCCATTTCACTCAGGAGGCTGAGGAAGGAGCATCACTTGAAACTAGGAGGCAAATGTTTAAGTGAGCCAAGATCAGGCCACTGCATTCCAGTCTGGGTGACAGAGCAAAACTCTATCTCAAAGTAAATAAATGTATGAATCAATAAATAGTTACCTAATTTTTATTTGTGAAAAAATTCAAGTTACACCTACACATATGTGTGTGTAAATGTATATGTACACAGACATACATAAAAAAGTCCTAGTATACTTTATTTTAAAGAAAATAATATAAAAAGATACTTAATAAAAAGGACCTGGGAAAGATGGATTATGCCTTTAATTCTAGCACTATGGTAGGCCTAAGGCCAGATATTTGAGGCCAGTCCGGGCAACATAATGAGATCTTACCTCTATAAAAGATTAATAAATTAGCTAGACATGATGGCATGTGGGTCTGTAGTCCCAGCTGCTCAGGAAACCTAGACAAGGAAATTACTGAGCCAAGGACCTTGAAGCTGCAGAGTGCTATGAATGTACCCATGCACTCCAACTGGTATGACAGAGTTAGACCTTGTGTTAAAAAAAAAGTGAAGAAGTGAAAGTTTAATATGAGCTAAGCAATTTTCTAAACGCCTCAATGACCTAGTGTATTAAAAAAATTAAGAAGTAGGTAGATACATTAAAATATAATATAATTTAATAATTAATTGAGACATACAGAGGTTAATTTATTAATCTCAGTTTACACTAAAAGTATAACATTATTCAGAAAAACAATATTACAGTTTTTTACATTTAGGAAGTCTTAGTGTTCTGATAAAATTACTGAGTAGAATTTTAGTAGAATCACATTGAAACCTCCTTAGAAAAAACAAAACAAAACAGAAATATGTGGAAACATAGAACATCTATTCAGTGTGGTCGTGAGGATTTTTACTGTCATGTATTTCAGACATGATGCAGAAAATTTTAAATAATTAGTTTAACATAGAGTTTATCAAATTATAAATAGTCTTATGTTTCCAAAAATAATGGAAGAGGAGTCAGGTCATTAAGTGCCATATAATCTATAAAGAAAACTTTGGTTCTCACTATAAAAGAAAGATTACTTAAGGAGAAGTAGAGTCCTTGGAGAATTTTAGAATATATTACAGAAGGTGATCATATAAGACAGAAAGAGACAGAGTAACCCTGCCTTCTTAGAAATTATTTTCATTGGAAAATAGCTTTCTCAAACACGTTGCAAGGCCTGGCTGTTTCCTTGATTTTTGAAGCTGTCACTAATTTCATCTGCTTCATTCACTCCTATTTACCCAGATGCTTGGCAGTTTAAAAAAAATTTTTTTTTAATTATACTTTGAGTTCTGGGATACACATGCAGAACGTGCAGATTTGTTACATAGGTATACTTGTGCCATGGTTGTTTGCTGCACCTGTCAACCTGATATCTACATTAGTTATTTCTCCTAATGCTATCCCTCCCCTAGCCCCCCACTAGAATTTAAAAAATAATAATTTCAGATAAGTGATCAGGTCTAGCTTAGAGTAAGCAAGATGTATTTTATTATGAAAATATAATGACTAGAATTCACTAATTACAAACCTAGTACCTCAATCAACAGAGAAGAAAGAATATTATGGAAGACTCTAACAGATTAATTCTAAAATAATCTTTTAACAGAATCTTTATAATATTTTGGAAGTATTTCAAATGTATGGGTTCTTGGCTTTGCTTCCCAGTACTACTGAATCAAACAAAAAATGATGGTTGAAATGGAATTTTAAGGTATGAGTACAGACATTTTATGTTACTAAATTTTAACAAGTACTACAAAAGTAGAATGAAGAATATAGATCAGCTCAAGGAAGGGAAAGATTTATGTCAAAAGAAAACAGCTTGAATATTTCACATAAAGATGTCTTCAATAATTTATTGAAGGCAGTAATCTGAAATCTATGCAAAGTGAATACTCCCAGAAAATATTCACCAAAAATAAATAAATAAGTAAAACCCTTAGTGTTTATCTTAACCCAGGAGTTATCTTAACCCAGGAAGATCAAGTTTTTGTAGTTTAAGGTAGATCAGATCTCCGACATAGGCAGAGGTATTAATTCTACTCCAGATGAAAACTAAAAGAATTGGCTCTGTCTTATATGAGTGACTGGAATCACTCAATAAGATAATTTTTAACACAGAAATATTTTCTAATGTATTCTGTAACACTGAGAAAAGATGGCATGAAATCTACAGAACTAAAGCAAATAATATGCTTTTATAGATTAGACAGCATAAAATTCAATGCATCAACACAGTAATTTTTTTTACTGATTTATTTATTTGCATCATACAGGGTAAGTTGTAAATATTTCTCATAGAGAAGTCATGGCAGGTTAGGAGGTACGTCTCAAATTTTAATGTGTAAAACAATAAACTAGAGAGCTTGTTAAAATGCATGTTTTGACCCAGGAGATTTGAGATAGACCCTGAATTTCTGAATTTCTAATGAGTTATCTAGAGATGTCAGTCCTTCTGCCCCAGGAGAATATTTTGTCAAAGAGTGAAAAATGGCATAATCATGGTTTATGTTAGGTCATTTGACCAGTAAACAAAGACGACAATCTTCATTTTCTAAAGCATGCTATAAGCTAAGAGATTCTGAAAAGGATGTTGAGCTTCCAGGTTAAATGTCATAATTTATTTAAGTCAGCTAGTATATATCCTCAAGTACATTATTAATAATAAAAAAGAAAATTAATGCTATAGAAAAAAATCTACCAGCAATTTATTGAGGTAAATAAAATTAACATACACTATAGTAAAAAATTTGTATCAAGGGTGAATTAATGCATACACAGGGCAGAGCATCACTGCCAGAATTCTACTGGTAAAAAAGCAGTACATTATAATCAAAATCTAATTTTTTTACAAAAATAGTTTTACAAAATGCTGAAGATACAGATGCCTCCCAGATTCTGCTATCCCTAAGAGTGTATTTAAATAGCTTTTCCTTAGCATCCTAGAAATCAATTCACTTCTAATTATTATTCTCATTGAGAACTTTCTGAATAATTTTGGGCAGTTAATGCCGTGCTGGTAACATGTGCATTTTTAAAATCGGTTCTGTATACAGTTAATGGAGCATCCAGATGGATCCTAAACAGCCCTTGTTTTTCTTCTTCACTAATATCTAAAAACTGTACTCATTCTCAATAGAAATCTTGGGTGTCCACACCTCTCCAAGTTAATCTGTCACAAAAAGATCACTTTTCTGAGACAGTGTCACCCAGGTTACAGTGGAGTGGAACAATGATGATACACTGAAACCCCATCCTACTGGGCTAAAGCAATTCACCCACCTCAGCCTTCTAAGTTTCTGAAACTGCAAGCATGTGCCGCCACATTAGCTAAACTTTATCTTATTTAATACTATTTTTTAGAGATGGGTCTTTCTATGATCCTTATACTGATCTCAAGCTCTTGGAAATCAAGGAGATTTCCATCTTGACTGCAAAAGTGCTGGGATTACAGGTGTGAGCAAGCATACCTAGCCAAAAGTCACCGATTTTAAATATTGCATGTTATACATTTATAATGATATTTAATCATTGAATGTAAGAAGTGTGAACAGAGAGAATGAAAGGAAGGTTCTGTTATTAAGATAGGAGGAATTTTACAGAGCTCTTTGGCTAACAGAAGAATTTTTAAAAATCATTTGAAACAATCACATTAGGCAGGAACATCACCAGTTATGGAGTAAAGGTTTGTGAGTTCTAAAAACATAATGTTTTGGGAGGAAAAGTGGACACACTAAACTGGGGCAAATTCATCTGAAAACATGACATTTTATTATTTTTCCTTCTCTGAAATTTCCTCTCAAGTGAGAGCCTCTAAACAAACCACACATTCATTTTGAGAATATATTTTAAAAGTTTCAGCACCACCGCTTCACCAGCTACCACCACACCCCCAGGCAGAAGTACCTAGCGATAAATAAAATATTTAATCTTTTCTGTTGTTTATTGCAGAAATGAGTCAGAAACAATGAACTCCTACATAAAGATCAAAATGTGCTTCTCCTTTCCTGCCTTCAAGTTCCCTCTCCTGTCAAAGACTCCATCAAGTTTTTCTGCTGCTATGGAAGTATTCAGCTCTTTCATCACAGGCCTGAAGACCTAGAAAGGAAAGATGATTTTGTGAGCAAGGAGCAGGGTCCCACTGCTCTGTGAAGCCTCAGGACATGGCACCTTGCATTACAGCCACTCCTCCAGCTGTGGCTAAGAAGGGCCAAGTTACACCTTGGCCCATGGCTTCAGAGGGTGCAGGCCTCAAGCCTTGGAAGCACACATATGGTGTTGGGTCCGTTGGTGCACAGATTGCAAGAATTGAGGTTAGGGAACCTCCACCTAGATTTCAGAGGATATATGAAGAATGCTGAATGTCCAGGCGGAAGACTACTGAAGGGTCAGAATTCTCATTGAGAACCTTTACTAGGGCAGTGAAGAGGAGAAATGTGAGCTTAGAGTCCCCCACAGGATCTCCACTAGGACACTGTTTAGTGGTGCTGTAAGAAGAAGACCACCATCTTCCAGACCCCAGAATGGTAGATCCAATGTTTGCAGAATGGTAGATATGTTTGCCTAAACCATATGCTGGAAAAGCCACAGACACTCAACACCAGCCCTTGAAAACAGTCACAAAATCTTCAGAGCCACATTGATGGAGCTGTCCAAGACCTCAGGAACTCACCCCGTTGTGTAAGTATGCCCTGAATGTAAGACAGGAGTCAAAGGAGATTGTTTAGGAAATTATAAATGTAATTGCTGTCCTGCTGGGTTTTGGACTTTCATGGAGCCTGCAGCTCCTTTGTTTTGGTCACTTTTTTTCTTTCTGGAATGAGAGCATTTATCCAATACTCATACTCCCATTGTATACTCACTTTTTTTTTTTTTTTTTTTTTTTTTTTTTTTTTTACTTTACAGGCTCATAGGTGAAAGGGACTTGCTTTGTCTCAGTGAGCCTTTTGATGTAGACTTTTGAGGTAATACTGAGGTGACTTAAAACTCTGTGAAATGATTGGGAATGTGTTACTGTGTTTTAAAATGTGAAAAGGACATGTGATTTGGGAGAGGCCAGGTGCAGAATGGTATGCTTTGGCTGTTTGTCCCCACCCCAATCCAATGAAAAATTGTAATTCCCAGTGTTGGTGTGGGGGTGCTCATGGGAGGTGATTGAACTGTGGGAGTGGACTTTCCCCTTGCTGTTATTGTGATAGAGTTCTCAGAAGACCATGGGAGGTGACTGAATTGTGGGGGTGGACTTCCCAGTTGCTATAATTATGACAGAGTTCCCAGGAGATCTGTTTGTTTGAAAGTGTAACACTTCCTCTGTCACTTGTGCATGCTCTCTCTCTTTCTCATTGTCTCTTTCTTTTGCTCTTTTTCCTCCTGGCAATGGGAAGATATTTTTGCTTTCCCTTCACCATTGGCCATAATTGTATGTTTCCTGATGCCTTGCCAGACCTACCTTTTATATAGTTTGTGGAACTATGAGTCAATTAAATTTTCACTTCATCAATTACACAGTCTCAAGTAGTTCTGTATAACAACGGGAGAATGAACTAATACAAAATGTCACACTCATCTGCCCCTATCAAAATCAAGTACAGGAAGCCTTGTGTGCCCTCCCTTTGAAAGACAGGCTGAATTCTACTTTCATCACTGTATCTTGGAGTCCTTATTCATGACTAATATGGTCAGGCTTATCTTAAATTGTAATCCCCAGGTGTTGTGAAAGAGACCTGGTGGAAGGTAATTCAATTATGAGAGCAGTTTTTTCCATGCTGTTCTTTTGATGGTGAGTTTTCATGAGATCTGATGGTTTTACAAGGAGCACTTCCCTCTTTTTTACCTTTACTCTCTCTGTCACCTGCCACTATGTAAGACATACCTGCTTTCCCTTCAGCTATGGTTGTAAATTTCCTTAAGATCCCCTGTCCATGAGAAAATTTGAGTAAATTAAACCTTTTTTTCTTGATAAATTACCCAGGCTCAGGCAATTCTTTACAGTAGTGTGGGAACAGACTAATACAGCAACCCAGATCTCACATTAGAATTACAAAGGGCAGGCCAGGTGTGCTGGCCCATGCCTGTAATTTTAGCACTTTGGGAGGCCTAGGAAGGTATATTGCCTGAGTTCAGGAGTTCATGATCAGCCTGGGCAACATTATGAAACCCCATCTCTATGAAAATACAAAAAATTAGCCAGGCTTGGTGACATGCACCTATAATCCCAGCTACTCAGGAGGCTGAGAGAGGAGAAATGCTTGAACCCAGGATGTAGAGGATGCAGTAAACTGAGATTTCACCACTGCACTCCAGCCTGGGTGACAGACTGAGATTGTGTCTCCAAAACAACAACATTAAAAGAATCACAGGAGACATTTAATTAAGCAGCATGGATGCTCCCATCCAGGGTAGAGTACATAGTTGATGGTATTTATTTAAACTGACCGTGTGTTTCTTACAGAGAGACTGGGCTGAAAACCACTTAGCTAAGCACTGTCTCTGAAGCTCTAATGTACATTTGAATTATATGATGTAGGCCCCATTCTAAATACTGTGATCCTACAAGTTTGAAGTGAGTTTATGAGTTAGTTTATGCTGCTCTCCTCACCCCATTATCAGCAGCACTCAGGCAGTGAAAAGAGATACAGTACGCAGTCCATTAACCTAACACTCTTATCACAACTCAGATACTTATGATCAAAACTGAAGACCACCAATCACGAGCCAGAAACATGACATTCTCTGGTAGCCCTATAAAGTTTACAGAGGTTAGAGAAGACAGCAATGTGTGAATAAGTCTGCTTTTGAAAAAGGATATATGCACAGACATTAATGCAATTTTTACTGAGAATGTGCTATGTGCTCAGGAGTATGTTGCAAAGCACTGTGCTTGGAACTGTACATTATATGGACTAATTTTCATAACACCCTGGGAGGTTGTTATTCAGTGTAACATATTTCCCACAAATAAAATAGAAAGCCTCTTCTTTCTGTTTCTTTTTCTATGTCGCTAACTTTATTTTCAAGAAGATAACACATAGAATAAAATATAATACAGACAGGTGTGAGGAATAAAGAAATAATTAAGTGTAGTTCAAAGGAAATTATTATTGTTTTAATTATATTTACATTTTTCTGACTTGTGTGGCAACTAGCAAATCCCTGGGAGTGGAGAGTAGGTTGCTGGGTGCCATGTCTCTAGAAAGACTTGTATTAATAAAGACAAATCAAGAACAAAATACAGTCTTGCTTCCATTTATTTACATTACCTTCAAAAATTAGGAGTAGCAGCTCTGGAGTTGCAGCAGGAGCATCCACCTCACTCTCTAATCTCCTTTAATCAATTCTATGAGTGGAAAATTTCAAGGTGGTACAATACCTTGATAAGGCCTCAGAATAGGCTAGATCTAAGCAAGGAGAGGGCAGGGAGGGAGCCCTAAAGTTATTATGTCTGTGTTGCAGGGTAATTACAGGTCTTTGTTTTCTAAGCCCGACCATCAGATCTCATAAAAACTCACTCACTATCACAAGAAAAACATGGAAAAGACTGCCCACATAATCCAATTACCTTCCACCAGATTTCTCTCACAACACCTAGGGATTACAGTTTAAGTTTGTATAATTGTAATTCATTTTCGTCATTTTCCTGTCCATTTGATAATATACAGCAACAGGCAATTTAACCAAATTATGGTTTTTTAGAACATTTCCATTAGAAGCTAAAAATGTATTCTTAGTAAGGTAAAGACAGTATAAATAATACTAACAATAACAACTTTTCTGCTTCTGATGGTGGCAATGAGAACTCCCAATAATATAAAGAAATTGGCTCAAATAAAGCCTAAGTTTTCTCTAGATTTTTCTTCTCATTCCTGACAACATCATGCCAAATTTAACAATTTATCCACTTGTTCTAGACTGAAAGTTTCTGAATTATAGGAAGCATGACTTCCTTGTATGTTTTCTAATGCTCATATTAAATGGAAGCAATTGATTTATTAATTTACATCTTTATACCTACTTCTTCATTTTCAAGAAGGTCCCAGAAATTCCAACTGGGTATCAACCAATGAGATTCCGTCCAAGAAGGGAAAAACAAACCCTGCATGACTCATTCCTCTTTGTTTAAAATGGAAGCAGAATTAGACCATGTTGTTAGTCTGACAACAATCTGCAATGGATGTCCCAAATAGCTCAAAGACTCCCTTGTACTAGTGCAAAAGTCTCCAGTGAGCCTGGGCTGAAGCCTCCATGGTGATCTAGGAAGAATAGATTCAAGTTAACTCTGCAGGGTTAAAGTAAATAATAAATCTAACTTTGTGGAACTGTAGATTCTGGATTCAGGTGCGGTATTGTTGGTCACTGATCAGCTAACTCTAGTTTAAAAGGAAGAACAAGGCCAGGCTTGGTTGCTCACATCTGTAATCCCAGCACTTTGGGAGTCTGAGGTGGGTGAATCACGAAGTCAGGAGTTCGAGACCAGCCTGGCCAACATGGTGAAAAACCTTCTCTTCTAAAAATGCAAAAAAAAAAAAAAATAAAAAAATAACTGTGTGTCATGTTGGGTGCCTATAATCCCAGCTACCTGGGAGGCTGAAGCAGAATTGCTTGAACCCAGGAGGTGAAATTTTTGGT
Organism: Homo sapiens; assembly: GCF_000001405.40. Taxonomy (NCBI): domain Eukaryota; kingdom Metazoa; phylum Chordata; class Mammalia; order Primates; family Hominidae; genus Homo; species Homo sapiens. Next base: position 19,244,059 of record NC_000024.10, read on the forward strand.
AAGCTGATATTGTGCCATTGCATTCCAGCCTGGGTAACAGGAGTGAATCTCCATCTGAAAGGAAGGAAGGAAGGGAGGAAGGAAGAAGTGAAGGAAGGAAGGAAGGAAAGAAGGAAGGAAGGAAGGAAGGAAGGAAGGAAGGGAAAGAAGGAAAAATATCCCAGCAGCACAGTTTTCAGCTGTTTTTAGCTGTGGTCATGGGGTAGTTTTTGGCTGGGTTTAGCTGTGGTCATGGCTCAGGATATTGTGTGACCATGACTTCTCATAGCTAAGGTGATTGTTTTCACTTACAAATTCCACCCCCAGATTCTGTACACACTAGGAACCTCTCATAGAACTATCTCTAACAGATCACTGAACAAGATCATGGGAGCTTAAAAGAACTTACTCTGATAAAAGATCATTAAGATTTCTGTGTTCACTCAGTCTTTTTCTTTTTAAGCCCCAGTAGGTTTTCTGTATATTCTCAATCTAAAGTCTTGACTTTTCTTGTGATTTTCATGTGAAGGCCAGAAATTGTGTACAAAATTTAGGTGGAATCTACCTGGATCTGCATTCTTTAGGTTATAGCAAGTGGAGTAAAACCAGAGGAAAGAGACCCTAATGGAGGTTACTCTAAAACATTCGAAGGAATACGTCAACCTGTAAAAAATGAGATGAGATGAAAGTAATATGAGTAGAAAGTTTATGTGGGCCAAGCTTAAGAATTATAACATGAGAGCATAGATTTAAATTGTCCTAAATATACCCTTTAGTGATAGTTACAAGTGGATTCTTAAAGGCAAATATGAAGGACAAGTTATGGGTTCACAAAACATTGTTGGTCAAAATTTTTATTGGCCTACAGAAATAACATTTATTAGTAATTGGCTATATATGGTGTAGGCTATGACATCCCCTATGGTATTATGGCATCAGGTAGTTTAAAATGTAGCTCCTCCTGGCAGAAGCTAGCTGTTTCAACAAATGAATACATAGTTCAAAAAAGGAATTAAGACATGATTACAAGAAGGCTGGCAAGATAGCCAAATAGAAACAGATCCGGTCTGCAGCTCCTGGCAAAACAAGCACAGACGGTGGGTGACTTCTGCATTTCCAACTGAGGTATGCAGTTCATCTCACTAGAACTGGTTAGACAGTGAGTGCAGCCCACAGAGGGTGAGCAGAAGCAGGGTGGGGAGTCCCCTAACAGGGGAAATGCAAGGGGCCAGCCCAGATACTACACTTTTCCCATAGTCTTCACAACCCACAGACCAGGAGATTCCCTTGCATGCCTATACCACCAGGGCCCTGGGATTCAGACACAAAACTGGGCAGCTGTTTAGGCAGACATTGAGCTAGCTGCAGTTTTTTTTTTTCCCCATACTCTACTGGCACCTGGAATGCCAGTGAGACAGAACCATTCACTTCTTTGGAAAGGGGGCCGAAGCCTGGGAGCCAAGTGGTCTTGCTCAGTGGATCCCACCCCCACGGAGCCCAGCAAGCTAAGATCCACTGGCTTGAAATTCTCGCTGCCAGCCCAGAAGTCTGAAGATAACCTGTGATGCTCAAGCTTAAATTGGGAGAAGGGTGTCCACCATAAATGAGGCTTGAGTAGGCAGTTTTTCCATCACAGTGTAAATTAAGCCACGAGGAAGTTCAAACTGGACAGGGCCCACCACAGTGTAGCAAAGCTATTGTAGCCTGAAAGCCTCTCTAGATTCCTATTCTCTAAGCAGGGCATCCCTGAAAGAAAGACAGAAGCCCCAGTCAGGGGATTATAGATAAAGCATACATCTCACTGGGATGGAGCACCTGAGGGAAGGGGCAGATCTCCCAACACAAGGGCTTAAGCTCTGCTAAGGGACAGGCTGTCTCCTCAAATGGATCTCTGACCCCTATGCCTCCTGACTGGGAGATAGAGCCCAGTTGGGGTTGACAGACACCTCATACAGGAGAGCTCTGGTTGGCATCTGGCAGGTGCCTCTCTGAGATGAAGCTTCCATAGGAAGGAGCAGGCAGCAATTGTTGCTATTCTGCAGCCTCTGCTGGTGATACCCAGGCCAACAGTGTCTGGAGTGGACCTCTGGCAAACTCCAGCAGACCTGCAGGACAAGGGCCTGTTAGAAGAGAACTAAAAAACAGAAAGCAATAACTTCAACATCAACCAAAAAAATGCCCATGCAAAAGCCCCATTCTAAGGTCACAAACATCAAAGGTAGATAAATCCACAAAGATGAGAAAAAAAGAAGAGCAAAAATGCCAAAAATTCCAAAAACTGGAATGCCTATTGTCCTCCAAAGGATCACAACTCATTGCCAGGAAGGGAACAAAACAGGATAGAGAATGAGTTTGACAAGCTTATAGAAGTAGACTTCAGAAGGTGGATAATAACAAACTCCTCCAAGCTAAAGGATCATGTTCTAACGCAATGCAAGGAAGCAAAGAACCTGGATAGAAGGTTACAGAAAGTGCTAACTAGAATAACCAGTTTAGAGAAGAATATAAATGACCTGATAGAGCTGAAAAACACAGCACGAGAACTTTGTGAAGCATACACAAGTATCAATACCTGAATTGATCAAATAGAAGAAAGAATATCAGAGATTGAAGATCAACTTGGTGAAATAAAGCATGAAGTCAAGATTAGAGAGAAAAAAATAATGAAAGGGAAAAAACAAAGCCTCCAAGAAATATGGGACTATGTGAAAAGGCCAAATCTATGTTTGATTGTTATACCTGAAAGTGATGGGATAATGGAACCAAGTTGGAATACACACTTAAGGATATTATCCAGGAGAAATTTCCCCTTCCAGCAAGGCAGGCTAACATCCAAATTCAATAAATACAGAGAACACCACAAAGATAGTCACTGAGAACACCAACCCCAAGACATATAATCATCAGATTTACCAAGGTTGAAATGAGGGAAAAAATGTTAAGGGCAGCCAGAGAGAAAGGTCAGGTTATTCAGAAAGAGAAGCCCATCATACTAACAGATCAGAGATCTCTCTGCAGAAACCCTACAAGCCAGAAGAGAGTAGGGGCCAATATTCAACATTCTTAAAGGAAAGAATTTTCAACCCAGAATTTCATATCCACCCAAACTAATCACCATAAGTGAAGGAGAAATAAAATCCTCTACAGACAAGCAAATGCTGAGGAATTTCATCACCACTGGACCTGTCTTATAAGAGCTCCTGAAGAAAGCACTAAATATGGAAAGGAAAACAGGTACCAGGCACTGCAACAACATACCAAACTGTAATGACCATTGACACTATGAAGAAACTGCATTAACTAATGTGCAAAATAACCAGCTAACATTGTAATGACAGAACAAAATTTACACATAATAATATTAACTTTAAATATAAATGGGATAAATACCCCAGTTAAGAGACACAAGATGGCAAATTGGATAAAGAGTCAAGAACCATCAGTGTGCTGTATTCAGTAGACCCACCTCATGGACAAAGAAAAATATAGTCTCCAAATAAAGGGATGGAGGAATATTTACCAAGCAAATGGAAAGCCAAAAAAAAAAAAAAAAAAAAAAAAAAAAAAGGTAAGGATTGCAATCCTAGTCTCTGACAAGACAGACTTTAAACCAACAAAGATTTAAAAAACACAAAGAAAGGCATTACATAATGATGAAGGGATCAATGCAAAAAGAAGGGTTAACTATTTTAAATATAAGTGCACCCAATAAAAGAGCACACAGATTCATAAAGCAAGTTCTTAGAGATCTACAAAGAGATGTAGACTCCCACACAATAATACTGAGAGACTGTAATACCCCACCCACCCCACTGTCAGTATTAGACAGAGCAGCAAAACAGAAAATTAACAAATATATTCAGGACTCGAACTCAGCTCTGGACCAAGCAGACCTAATAGACATATACAGAACTCTCCAGCCCAAATCAACAGAATATATATCCTCAGCACCACATAGCATTTTTTCTAAAATTGACCACATAATTGAAAGTAAAACACTCCTCAGAAAATGAAAAAGAATGGAGATCATGTATATTTATATCATATGTTTATATCATCACGTATATTTATTGCAGCACTATTCACAAAAGCAAAGACTTGGAACCAACCCAACTGTCCATCAATGACAGACTGGATAAAGAAAATGTGGCACATATATACCATGGAATACTAAGCGGCCATAAAAAAGAACGAGTTTATATCCTTTGCAGAGACATAGATGAAGCTGGAAACTATCATTCTTAGCAAACTAACACAGTAAGAGAAAAACAACCATACATGTTCTCACTCACAAATGGGAGTTGAACAACGAGAACACATGGACAGAGAGTGAGGGCCAGGGGGAGGGATAGCGTTAGGAGAAATACCTAATGTAGATGATGGGTTGATGGGTACAACATACCACCATTGGACATGTATATCTATGTAACAAACCTGCAAGTTCTGCACATGTATCCCAGAACTTAAAGTATAATGAAAAAAAAAGGACATGATTAGCATCTCATTCAATGTCTCCTTAAGCTTGATAAATAACGTCACTTGCATATCTCAGATAAAAGTTTTTCTTTTGTTTTTCAAATACCAGAAACTTGATACATAATTTGAAGTTGCAGATTTAGGTATTCAAAGTGTGAGAATGCAGAGGTGTTCTCTAAACCTCTATGGACATTATAGCTAAAGGAGGAGAATGTCATTAAAATTTTCAGATCTACTTAATGCACTTGTGTAAACCTGGATGAGTTTAAATGCTCTATGGTCCTTGAAACAGTTATAAGTGTAAAAATGCCAAGGGCATTGAAAGGGGAAAGCTGGTTGACTGCTGCCTCATTATTTATGGAGAAATCTGGTCTAACTGCTCTAGCAGACACAGTAACTCTCAAATAGGAAGAGACACTATTCTACTTGCAGAATTTAGATACAGTTTGCATATTACTGCACAACTGTCAGTTATGACAGAATGCCTTAGAGGTAAACTGTCACTAGAGTAAAGCCTGGTAGGCATCTCATAGGTTTACATACTATCTGGTAATTCTGTACAATGTATAATTAAAATAAAAATTGTCCCCAACTCCCATAAAACCTCTTCCAAATGACAGAACAGAAAGAAAACTTATATTATATAATTAAACCTGCATGTGATTTAAATCATAGGTAATCTTCTAAAATATTGCAAAAACAGAAGGTTTCCCTAATTAGTCCTCAAGTAGAAAACTTGACAGCATCATCTGTCATACACTATTCATCAAAAAAATCATCAAGTGCTTGAGGAAACCATCTGTATTTGCGAATTGGCATATGTGAATAAAAAAGAATGTTGTCGCCATTTCTTTATGACTTGAAGTAGTTTTTCAAATTGCAGCCAGGAGACTGCTGAATTTGGCTTCTATGCTCTTACATAGACTGTGGGATGGGGCTCCAATATCTTTGCTATTTACTTTTCAAAGCAATGTTTCCAAGGTCCTGCAGGAAGATATTTCTGAGTTAAAAAAAAAAGAATTGTATATCTGTTAAAATTATTTACATATATGTCAAACAGACAGAGAATAAATTTACTTATAGAAGTTCTTTTTAAATTAAATGTTTTAAAAAATAAATCAAAATGTTTCTCTTATTTTTCAGTTGGAAATTTTTCTAATTTGTTTTTTATACTTCCAGTTCGTACCTAATGCTTACAACAACTAGGTTCAGCAACTTGGTCTTAAATTCATGGGAATTTGAATTTTAAGAGTCCTGAGTTTAGGCAACTGAGAGGTGGACTCAGCCAGATTGTGGGCACATAAAAGAGCTTGTGAGGCAAAAAAAAAAAAAAAAAAAAAAAAAAAAAAAGAGGCAGATGAGGGAAAGCTGCTATCTAGAACTGATGTGTGAAAAAAATGCAGATTTGGTGGAAAAACTGCTGTGTGGTACAGATAGTGGAACAGATACTGTTATGCTCTGATTTGTTTGTGTCCATAAGAATGAGATTATAGTCAAGTGGTCCAGAAGCCAAAGTGGTAACAAAACCATGATGCTGTCCCTTAATCAGGGTCTGGGGGTAGGAATACACCAGGAGTTTCCTAAGCACCTATGTAGATTTTTGGTGGGAACCTCTGGGAGCAAATACATTGTGGGAGTAATTTCTGAACTTGAACATTTGTCTTGGGAGAAACACAGCCTCATCATTACCTACAGCACATGAGCATACATGGGTGGAAATACCATGGTGGTAGCAGAAAGAAATGAGATGTCTGACCAGAGAAATCATTCTGTGTTCTAATAAAAAAGAAATGGCTCAAAGAAATCTAAGCTACGTGAGGTATATCTTAATGTAATCCTTGAAAAACAATTTTGAAATGACCTTTTTTTTTTTTTTTTTTTTTTTTTTTTTTTTTTTTACAAACCCTCTTGTAACTGTTGCTAATAGGAGTTTATATTCAGGGCAACTTGAGTGTATGTTCTTCTCTGGCTATTCTAAAATTAGGTAGATAAAGACATTCTAATTAAACTAGATTTTAAATTTTTAATTATTTTAGATTGACAATCCTTATTCCCCACTGTCCCTGGAAATTATATAAAATCATAGGACAATTTGCAGTGCGACAGCCTGTTCATGGGAGAACAAAGCCTGAATTTAATGGGATGCTTAGTGTCTTCCCTCAGTCCAGGTTTCTACCTAAATTTCACTGAATAAAATTGACAGGCTCCTCTGAATTCTTAGCTTCCCTAATGTTACTTGGTAAAACCCTTGGGCCAAATCTCAGAAACTTAAACACAGTAAGTATTTTTTTTCAGGTATTTATCAGGGCGTATTTCCAGAGATTATTACTGTATGAGAATAAAGGTATTCTATGGAAGCATACAACAGTAAAGCATGGTTAAATAAGGTGATGGTAATGAATGGAAGCTCTTAACAAAGATTAAATTATCCACATAATAATACATAAAGAAAAGTGTGAGACATGTTAAGTGAGACATTAGTTTGCAGAGGTAATCCTAAAAAGCATCAGATTCTGTTGTTTTTTTTTGCTTTTGTGTGTTTTCTATAAATTGTAAAATATATCACATTTGAGTCGCTATATTACATTATTATTAAAACTCTATTATTAACATAATTTTTTTAAAATTCAAATTTTCAGATATACTTTGAGAGCAATGTGTTGCAACTGTGGCTGAGTGGTAAATAAATTTACCAAGCCAATCACAGGTAAATACAGATTTATTAGAGAAAGTACAAAGATACATTGCAGGGGTGCAATATGCAGCACACAGAGAAAGGCTGTCTGCAATGAGGCAGAGCATGGTGGAAAGTTTTATAGAGCCATGCTGGAGGCACTACAGGGTGAACAAAATCCCAGTGCTAGAACTGTATGCAGAGAGAGGTAGTTGAAGCAGAATGTTATGACAGTAAATTGTTTGTAATTAACTGTTTCTCAGAACAATTTTTCTTCCCCACCGGGGACCACTTACTCATTGTTATTTACTTATCAGCACTTCCCTTTCTCCACCTGACAGAAAAATGAGAAATTTTTGGCATTGGAATGGGGAATCATATTTTTCAACTACTTCCTGCTGACTGTAGGCATAATACTGGCCCTATTGTTCATCTTTCTGGAGATCCTGTAGGTCATTTTTCTGGATTGTGAAACTTAAGGATTGAATTTTGTTATAAGGAGGAAGCATGTTAAGGTAAAATTGGTGTTCAGTAAATTCAGGGGAGATTCAGGAAAGTAGCCGGCATTATTGGGGAGAGACAAATATTTTATTTGCAGTATTACTGGAAAGTAAAACTTCAGAATTCTAGAAAATAAATTTTTAAGCCAATTATTCAAAAGTAAAAAAAAGTTCTTTTGTAGTTTGACTTTCAATTCTTATTAGTAGCCTATTTAGACAATCCAAATGTTCAACTTGATATAAAAATTATTTGAGCTTAATTAGACACAGCATAAAGAATAATTTCAGAGAAACTATTGTGCATTAATTCCATACAATATTTTAAAGTAATTTTTGTTCCACTAATTTTCTCATGACTTACACTGACTATCTACAACATGCTTGGACTTTCTGACTTGTTCTAAATGTTCCCCTTTTAAACAACTGTTCATTTTGCTTTAGAATAAGAACTTACCATATATGATTCTTTCCCATATAATAACTTAAAAATAACTTTTCTTATTAAAAATACAGTTTAAACTTTGTAACTTTTGAATTGGACAAAAGACATCTTTTCTTCTGGAAGATTATGGTTTGTAGTTTGCTGGTATGTGCATCTTACAGAGAAGGGGAGATAAGAAGGTTACTTACAGTGATTAATAACTCTCAAAAGATTACTCAGATTTTTTGTTAGGGCTTGTTTGCATAAGTGTAGGCTATTTAAAATCCCTCAGGTAAGAATATCCAGCTTGAGATTAATGCTAATAATTTAGGTTGCTTATCTAGGAAAAACAGGGCTATTAAAGGAAAAGATGAATCAGAATCTGGGAGAATATTAAATAGGCACTCATCATGGAAAGTATATTATTGTCCCAAATGGGTGTAGAATATTTTAGTATTACCAGGGACTGGTAGGAAAATGATAATTTTTTCCTTACATAATATTGAAGGGTGTTAATTTTTTTTTTGGATATGAAGTTTTGCTCCTGTTGCCCAGGCTGGAGTGTGATGGCATGATCTCAACTCCCTGAAATCTCCGACTCTTGGGTTCAAGCAATTCTTCTGCCTCAGCCTCTGAAATATATGGGATTACAGGCATGTACCACTACTTCCAGCTAAATTTTGTATTTTTGGTAGAAATGGGATTTCCTCATGTTGGCCAGGCTTCTGTCAAACTCCTGACCTCAGGTGATCCACCCACCTTGGCCTCCCAAAGTGTTGGGATTACAGGCATAAGCCCAGCTGTGAGTGACTTTTTATTACTAGTGGCAGGAACCTGAATTACTCGAGTTACTGGCAGCATACCTAGATTAGTTTATAGCAATTTCAATTCCACCCTCCTCATACCAAAGAATTTGACTGAGGGGGCAAGGCAGAAAGACACCAAGGCAACTTTCAGAGCTAAAGTTTATTTTTAAATACTTTAGAATGGAAAAGAAAAAAAAAATGATTTGCTTGGGAAAGATTCAAGTGGTCATGTGAAGGTTAAAGAGATTCTTTAACCTTTATGCTAGTGCTTTATAGGGTCTCCTCTTTCCCATGTTTTCTCCCTTAGGGTGGGCTTTCCAAATGTGCACTGCCCCTCTTACCCCTTGGAATTTAGCACACACAGTGTGCTTAGGAAGTTGTACAGTTGCCCAACTGAGGCTTTCTATCCTTTTTCTCATGGAGTATACACAGAATGTCATATTTTGCCATTTTATCTCAGTGTGCATGCCCAGGAATTTTCTTCTGTCTGACGTCTGCATTCAATTAACACGTTCATGATATTAGCTGCAGACCATGACAAAATGTCCTCTTCCTGGTTCCTTGGGTAAGTTGCCAAATTATCATCATTTAGAAAGACAGTATGATAATTGTCAAACCACCACCTGACATTCTGAGTGGTTGTGCTGGGGAGAGCTCTCTCTTGCCCTGTTCATGCCTATCTACCTGTAACATTTCACTCTCAAGAGTCAAGACCTCAAATCTTTGGGGAAAAAAGGTGAAGGTCAATCGTCCATAACTGCTTTCTTCTGACAGAGGGATGGTGGTAGTTTTGTGTGTCTTTGTCTCGTTACCTATCAGGGCAGGAGGATGACTCCATGTGTTGGAAAAAGCAGAATCTTGTGGGGTCCAAGGGAGATGAGAGCAAGATTTCACCTCCTTTCTGTCCTGGTCATGGGCAGTTTAGAGGTCCTGTGTCAAAGGGTACCTCTTGAATAATGAGTACAGTATCTCTCACTGAGGATCATCTAGAGCTTGAGGGCCTGAAGGTGAGACAAGATAACTGGGTTATTAGATTCAGAAGTTATGGACCAAAACAAAGTAAGAAGGTAAGTACAGCTCCAAAAATACTGAGGCTGCCAACATGCCCAGGTAACTGATGGCTATAGTTATGCATGCTAAGACTTGGGTACATGTGATTTGGCATTGGTTAACTCCCTGGTTGTTATTTTGAAAAAAAAAAGATAACTTGAGTATGGTCCAAACAAAGCCATTCTGCTGTAGTGCTGAGATTAGCTACTGGCAAATGTTGGTTATAATCAGCAGGCTGAAATCTGGAACTTTTGAGTACTGAATGAGATTTGGTGTCCTAGGCAAAGCCAGTGGACTTATCTACCAGTTTCCTAGGGGAAGGTAATGCTTGGAAAATTGTGGAATCTTGGTTGATGATAGAAATGATTGTAAGGATATAATTGATAAGTCTGTAGGTTAGTGAAAATAACATTACAACCTACATTTATTTCATTTTTCTTTTTAGCTGTAACACAAATAGGGGCTATTACCATTAAATCAATATTGGAGGGGTGGAGCCAAGATGGCTGAATAGGAACAGCTCCACTCTACAGCTCCCAGCATGAGTGACACAGAAGATGGGTGATTTCTGCATTTCCAACTGAGGTACTGGATTCATCTCACTGGGGAGTACTGAACAGTAGGTGCAGGATGGTGGGTGCAGCACACTGAGCATGAGCCAAAGCAAGCCAAGGCATCACCTCACCCAAACAGTTCAAGGGGTGAGGGAATTCCCTTTCCTAGTCAAAGAAAGGGTGACAAACAGCACCAGGAAAATCAGGTCACTCCCACCCTAATACTACACTTTTTTAATGGTCTTAGCAAATGGCACACCAGGAGATCATATCCTGCACCTGGCTTGTAGGGTCCTATGCTCACTCATTGCTAGCACAGCAGTCTGAGATCAAACTGCAAGGCAGCGGTGAGGCTGGGGGGATGGTGACCACCATTGCTGAGGCTTGAGTAGGTAAACAAAGAGGCCAGGAAGCTCAAACTGGGTGAAGCCCACTGCAGCTCAAGGAGGCCTGCTTGCCTCTGTAGACTTCACATCTGGGGGCAGGGCATAACCAAACAAAAGACAGTAGAAAACTCTGCAGACTTAAATGTCCCTGTCTGACAGCTTTGAAGAGAGTAGCGGTTCTCCCAGCACACAGCTGGAGATCTGAGAACAGACAGACTGCCTCCTCAAGTGGGCCCCTGACCCCTGAGTAGCCTAACTGGGAAGCACCCCTCCACAGAGGCAGACTGACACCTCACATGGCTGGGTACTCCTCTGAGAAAAAACTTCCAGAAGAATGATTTGGCAGCAACATTTGCTGTTCACCAGTATCCGCTGTTCTGCAGCCTCTGCTGCTGATACCCAGGCAAACAGGGTCTGGAGTGGACCTCCAGCAAATTCCAACAGAACTGAAGCTGAGGGTCCTCACTGTTAGAAGGAAAACTAACAAACAGAAAGCACATCCACACCAAAACCCCATCTGTACGTCACCATCATCAAAGACCAAAGGTAGATAAAACCACCAAGATGGGGGAAAAAACAGAGCAGAAAAACTGGAAACTCTAAAAATCAGAGTGCCCTTCCTCCTCCAAAGGAATGCAGCTCCTCACCAGGAATGGAACAAAGCTGGATGGAGAATGACTTTAACGAGTTGAGAGAAGAAGGCTTCGGATGATCAAACTACTCTGAGCTAAAGGAGGAAGTCCAAACCCATGACAAAGAAGTTAAAAACCTTGAACAAAAATTAGATGAATGGCTAACTATAACCAATGCAGAGAAGTCCTTAAAGGACATGATGGAGCTGAAAACCACGGCACGAGAACTGTGAGATGAATGCACAAGCTTCAGTAGCCAATTTGATCAACTGGAAGAAAGGGTATCAGTGATTGAAGATCAAATGAATGAAATGAAGCAAGAAGTTTAGAGAAAAAATAATAAAAAGAAATGAACAAAGCCTCCAAGAAATATGGGACTATGTGAAAAGACCAAATCTACACCTGATTGGTGTATCTGAAAGTGACAGGGAGAATGGAACCAAGTTGGAAAACACTCTGCAGGTTATTATCCAGGAGAACTTCCCCAATCTAGCAAGGCAGGCCAATATTCAAATACAGAGAATGCCACAAAGGTACTCCTCGAGAAGAGCAACTCCAAGATACATAATTGTCAGATTCACCAAAGTTGAAATGAAGGAAAAAATGTTAAGGGCAACCAGAGAAAAAGGTCGGTTACTCACAAAGGGAAGCCCATCAGACTATCAGCTGATCTGTTGGTAGAAACTCTACAAGCCAGAAGACAGTGGGGGCCAATATTCAACATTCTTAAAGAAAAGAATTTTCAAATCAGAATTTCATGTCCAGCCAAACTAAGCTTCATAAGCAAAGGAGAAATAAAATCCTGGACAGACAAGCAAATGCTGAGAGATTTTGTCACCACCAGGCCTGCCCTAAAAGAGCTCCTTAAGGAAGTACTAAACATGGAAAGGAACAACCGGTAGCAGCCACTGCAAAAACATGCCAAATTGTAAAGACCATCCAGGCTAGGAAGAAACTGTGTCAACTAATGAGCAAAATAACCAGCTAACATCATAATGACAGGATCAAATTCACACATAACAATATTAACCATAAATGTTAATGGGCTAAATGCTCCAATTAAAAGACACAGATTGGCAAATTGGATAAAGAGTCAAGACCCATCAATGTGCTGTATTCAGAAAACCCATCTCACATGCAGAGACACACATAGGCTTAAAACAAAGGGATGGAGGAAGATCTTCCAAGCAAATTAAAAACAAAAAAAAAGGCAGGGGTTGCAATCCTAGTCTCTGATAAAAAAAAGGCTTTAAACCAACAAAGATCAAAAGAGACAAAGAAGGCCATTACATAATTGTAAATGGATCAATTCAAAGAGAAGAACTAACTATCCTAAATATATATGCATCCAATACAGGAGCACCCAGATTCATAAAGCAAATCCTCAGAGAACTATAACGAGACTTATACTCCCACACAATAATGATGGGAGACTTTAACAGCCCACTGTCAACATTAGACAGATCAACGAGACAGAAAGTTAAAAAGGATATCCAGGAACTGAACTCAGCTCTGCACCAAGCAGACCTAATAGACATCTACAGAGCTCTTCACCTGAAATCAACAGAATATACGTTCTTTCCAGCACCACACCACACCTATTCCAAAATTGACCACATAGTTGGAAGTAAAGCACTCCTCAGCAAACGTAAAATAACAGAAATTATAACAAACTGTCTCTCAGACCACAGTGCAATGAAACTAGAACTCAGGATTAAGAAACTCACTCAAAACTTCTCAACTAAATGGAAGCTCCTGAATGACTACTGAGTACATAACAAAATGAAGGCAGAAATAAAGATGTTCTTTGAAACCAACAAGAACAAAGACACAACATAACAGAATCTCTGGGGCACATTTAAAGCAGTGTGTAGAGGGAAATTTATAGCACTATTTGCCCACAAGAGAAAGCAATAAATATTGAAACTTGATATCCTAACATCACAATGAAAATAATTAGAGAAGCAAGAGCAAACACATTCAAAAGCTCACAGAAAGCAAGAAATAACTAAGATCAGAGCAGAACTGAAGGAAATAGAGACACAAAAACCCTTCAAAAAATCATTGAGTCCAGGAGCTGGTTTTTTGAAAAGATCAACAAAATTGACAGACTGCTAGCAAGACTAATAAAGAATAAAAGAGAGAAGAATCAAATAGACAAAACAAAAAATGATAAAGAGGATATCACCACTGATCCCACAGAAATACAAACTACCAACAGAGAATACTGTAAACACCTCTATGCAAAAAACTAGAAAATCTAGAAAAAATGGATAAATTCCTTGACACAAATGCCCTCCCAAGACTAAACCAGGAAGAAGTTGAATCTCTGAATAGACCAATGACAGACTATGAAATTGAGGCAATAATTAATAGCCTACCAACCAAAAAAAGTCCAGGACAAGATGAATTCACAGCCGAATTCTACCAGAGGTGTGAGGAGGAGTTGGTACCTTACCTTCTGAAACTCCTCCAATCAATAGAAAAAGAGGGAATCCTCCCTAACTCACTGTATGAGGACAGCATCATCCTGAAACCAAAGCCTGGCAGAGACACAACAAAAAAAGAGAATTTTAGACCAATATCCCTGATGAACATCAATGCAAAAATCCTTAATAAAATATCAGCAAACCAAATCCAGTAGCACATCAGAAAGCTTATCCACCATGATCAAATAGGCTTCATCCCTGGGATGCAAGGCTGGTTCAATATACGCAAATCAATAAATGTAATCCAGCATGTAAACAGAGCCAAAGGCAAAAACCACATGATTATCTCAATAGAGGCAGAAAAGGCCTTTGACAAAATTCAACAACCCTTCATACTAAAAACTCTCAATAAATTAGGTATTGATGGGACTTATTTCAAAATAATAAGAGCTATCTATGACAAACCCACAGCCAATATCATACTGAATGGGCAAATAACTGGAAGTATTCCCTTTGAAAACTAGCACAAGACAGGGATGCCCTCTCTCACCACTCCTATTCAACATATTGTTGGAAGTTCTGGCCAGGGCAATTAGGCAGGAGAAGGAAATAAAGTGTATTTACTTAGGAAAAGAAGAAGTCAAATTGTCCCTGTTTGCAGATGATATGATTGTATATCTAGGAAACCCCATCATCTCAGCCCAAAGTCTCCTTAAGCTGATAGGCAACTTCAGCAAAGTCTCAGGATACAATATCAATGTGCAAAAATCACAAGCATTCTTATACACCAATAACAGACAAACAGAGAGCCAAATCATGAGTGAACGTCCATTCACAATTGCTTCAAAGAGAATAAAATAACTAGGAATCCAACTTACAAGGGATGTGAAGGACCTCTTCAAGGAGAACTACAAACCAGCTCAATGAAATAAAAGAGGATACAAACAAATGGAAGAAAATTCCATGCTCATGGGTAGGAAGAATCAATATCATGAAAATGGCCATACTGCCCAAGGTAATTTATAGATTCAATGCCATCCCCATCAAGCTACCAATGACTTTCTTCACAGAATTGGAAAAACTACTTTAAAGTTCATATGGAACCAAAAAAGATCCCACAACGCCAAGTCAATCCTAAGCCAAAAGAACAAAGCTGGAGACATCACGCTACTTGACTTCAAACTATAATGCAAGGCTATAGTAACCAAAACAGCATGGTACTGCTACCAAAACAGAGATATAGACCAATGGAACAGAACAGAGCCCTCATAAATAATGCCACATATCTACAACTATCTAATCTTTGACAAATCTGACAAAAACAAGAAATGGGAAAAGGAATACCTATTTAATAAATGGTGCTGGGAACTACTGGATCCCTTCCTTACACCTTATACAAAAATTAATTTGAGATGGATTAAAGACTTACATGTTAGACCTAAAACCATAAAAACCCTAGAAAAAATCCTAGGCAATACCATTCAGGACTTAGGCGTCGGCAAGGACTTCATTTCTAAAACACCAAAAGCAATGGCAACAAAAGCCAAAATTGACAAATGGGATCTCATTAAACTAAAGAGCCTCTGAGCAGGAAAAGAAACTACCATCAGAGTGAACAGGCAACCTACGGAATGGGAGAAAATTTTTGCAATCTACTCATCTGACAAAGGGCTAATATTCAGAATCTACAATGAACTCAAACAAATTTACAAGAAAAAAAAAACAACCCCATCAAAAAGTAGGTGAAGGATATGAACAGACACTTCTCAAAATCAGACATTTATGCAACCAAAAGATACATGAAAAAGTGCTCATCAGCACTGGCCATCAGAGAAATGCAAATCAAAACCACAATGAGATACCGTCTCACACCAGTTAGAATGGTGATCATTAAAAAGTCAGGAAACAACAGGTGCTAGAGAGGATGTGGAGAAATAGGAACACTTTTACACTGTTGGTGGGACTGTAAACTAGTTCAACGTTGTGGAATTCAGTGTGGTAATTCCTCAGGGATCTAGAACTAGAAATACCATTTGACCCAGCCATCCCATTAGTGTGTATATACCCAAAGGATTATAAATCTTGCTGCTATAAAGGCATATGCACACGTATGTTTATTGTGGCACTATTCACAGTAGCAAAGACTTGGAAACAACCCAAAAGTCCAACAATGATAGACTGGATTAAGAAAATGTGGCACATATACAACATGGAATACTATGAAGCCATAAAAAATGATGAGTTCATGTGCTTTGTAGGCACATGGATGAAGCTGGAAACCATCATTCTCAGCAAACTATTGCGAGGACCAAAAAAACCAACACTGCATATTCTCACTCATAGGTGGGAATTGAACAATGAGAACACATGGATACAGGAAGGGGAACATCAAACACCAGACCTTGTTGTGGGGTGGGGGGAGGGGGGAGGGATAGCATTAAGAGATATACCTAATGTTAAATGATGAGTTAATGGGTGCAGCACACCAACATGCCTCATGTATATATATGTAACAAACCTGCACGTTGTGCACATGTACACTAAAAGTTAAAGTATAATTTAAAAAAAATTAGAAAAAATATGTCCAAAAATTAAAGGTTTCCTGTAGTTGTCAGACAAATCTCCCTTTACTCTTTCAAGGAGGCTATTCCCAGCCTTGAACATTCCTCTTAGATTAGGTTCCCATTGTTAGGCAGTTTGTAATTCTGCATCTGTGATTGTGCAGTCTCTCGGTTAAGGTGGTTAAGCAATTTCTGTCCTTGTAGTGGAAGAGCTAGTACATAGCCACCAATTGTTGAGGTAAAGGGATCCTGTGCTATGGAGCATTTGCTAAACTTTTTCCAATAATGGGAAATCAGGATGATTTTATACTACCAGTAAGGGAGTGAGTATAAAAACCAGCAGCAGCAGGACTATGGCGACCCATAGTAATTTTGAGTGAGAGATTGCTCATAAAGGGAAATGCCACTGGAACTCCTGGTGGTATACAAATAAGAGTTAAAACAGTGAAAGCAATCAGAGGAACATTTCTAACATTAAATTTCCTTACTTTAAGGTGAAAAAACATTACTTATATTTCTGCTTAAAGAGGAACCTTTGATCTTCCAGCAATTCACACATGTATTCTGGAGGTGAGAGCATTGCTTCCAGGTCTGTTGTCTCAGGCCTGAGTGGAGTCATCTGCCAGTCCTCCCCAGGGTATGTACTTCTCCTTCAAATTGGATATATCAATGAAGGGGACTTCCCTCTGTGGGAATTATTTTATGTCAGACAGGGCACAGGCTTGACAAGACAGTAGGATAGTTTTGTTTAATCCTTTCCACAGCTTCACTCAGGTGTGATGTGTTTAGCAGGCACCATTTTCTGGTATTTTAATGGCTGTGGGAATAGATAATAAAACACTGAGGAGACTCTCTGAGACAGGATTTAGCTGGAAATTTGAGGATTCACCTTCCAAAGCTTTAATAAGAACCAATGAGCTTGAAGAATACAGAGGTGGGGATCTTTCTCCCTTCAATTTAGGGTTTGTTTGTAACCTATATTCCCTGAAGACCTGTTGGAAGCCTGATAAGGAAGAGATGTGGGTGATTGTGGCAGTTTTTTCATCCAGTAATAGGTCTTAACATAAAAATGGCCTATCTTATATAACCTAAAAGGGGCTTAATTGTAGAAGAGGCTCAGAAGTAATGCGGATTCAAAGGAGAACCAAAGGTAAGAGGCCCACCCATAGTTACACTGTTTCCTGAAGGAGCTTATTGAGGATGCATTTGAGGGTTTTCATTTGTTCTTTCAACTTTTCTTAAATATTGTGTTCCTCAGGCAGAATGAAGGTACCACCTTATGCCTAAGGCACTAATGGCCTGTAAAGTTATTTGGGAAATAGAAGATGGATTATTTTCAATTTAAAATGACCTGGGGAACCTAAACCAGAAAGTAAGTTCCTTTAAGAGGAAATTTGTTACTTTCTATCCCTTCTCCACTTTGTGGGGGTAGTCTTCTACCCATTCTAAAAGGTGTCTACACAGACCAGGAGCTACTTATAACTGAAGCTGCAGGGCTCTGAGTGGAGTAATCTGCCAGTCCTCCACAGGATATGTACTTCTCCTTTAAATTGGATATATCAATGAAGGGGTGTTCCCTCTATGGGAATTATTTTATGTCACACAGGGCACAGGCTTGACAAGACAGTAGGATAGTTTCATTTAATCCTTTCTCACTGAATATTAATTTACAAATCTGTGCTAGACTATCCTTTCTAAGGTAGCAAGAGTCATGTAAGCCCTTGATAACTTTCCATTAAGAAGCTTTAGATAGATGAAGTTCTCTTAGCCTATACCATGCACTATTTTTTATACTCATGTTGAGTTCCCCAGCCTATTTGTTTATTAGAGTATTGGAGAGGGGGCAGTTCACTGGGGAGAGAAAGAAATGAAGCCCTCATTAAGGTATGTTTTTGAGATGGCTGCCTCTTTAGCTTGTTATTTAGCTAGCCTATATTCCCTTTCAGTTTTATCAGAGTCTTTTTAGTGTCCTTTACAGTGCACTACTGCCACTTCGTGGGGCAGGTGAACAGGCTCCAGTAGTTCTAAGATTTGAATTATATGTTTAATAGGCATATCTCGAGCTGTTAGATATGCACTTTACTTCCAGATAGCTGTGTGGTATGAACCATCATAAGGGCATATTTGGAATCTGCAGAAATTGTTCTTTTCCTTCTTTAACCAAGTTTTGGGGCTCTTGTCAGTGCAGTGAGTTGAGCTAGTTGCACTGAGGTCCCCAGGGTACCCTGCAGGGTACCTTGAATATTTAGTTTCATTTCTGACAGAGCTATTGCTATCTGAAAACCAAATTGCATCCAGATTATTTAGGGGCTGATATTTGAAGTCATCTTTGCTTGCATATAATTGGTTAAGCCGCTCACAACATGAATATGTTGAGGCATTCACTCCTTTTACTAAGCCCTTTTCTTCTCTTCCTGGTCCCTAGTTACAAAAGACCAAGGATGTTATTTTAATTATGTCAGAAATAGAAGTGTTAGGGCCCAGTGTCAGCTTTTCCAATATGTTCTAAGAACTAGAATATAGATCCAGTACTTACATTTCCTACCTTTTTCTTTCTCCTGACCTGAAGACACAGATTGGTGGTTCATTCACAGGAATAAGCAGGGCTAGTCTAAAATGAAGACAAATCTCATAAATAATTGCTGAATCTAGAATCTACTAGTAGAGTCTACTAGTAGGTATATTTAACTTTGGAAACAAACTTTTTTGTTTAATTCTCATTTTTGTTAGAACGAAAGAAATAATAATGTTACTGGTTTGTTTGCAAAATAAGCTTTAGTCTTATTATGCTTAATGTAATTAATTGCATAAAGTGCAGCAAGAAAACCATTTTCACATTTATCCCTAAATACCTATGAGTTGGGTAGATTTCTCTTCTCCTGTGGTCCCAGGAAATCTTGGGGCCACTGAATCTGTTAGAAACTGACTTTTTTTTTTTTTTTTTTTTTTTTAGCTCACTGCAGGTTAGGATCCCTGTACAAGGACTGTGTAGACAAAATATGAGGCCAGTTTTTCCGACCATCTATTATTGGCTATATAAGTCAAGCTTGATTCCTTAAAGAAAAGCATGGTATTCCAGTCAAAGCCTTGGTAAAACAACCAGTTTCCCCAGCTGTGTTTTGTTGTAAAAAAAAAATTATTGCACTTATGCAAAATGACTATATTGCCATATGAATACTCACAAATAGTTTCCAAATCCTGAAGAAATGAGGTAGAAAGAGAAAAAAATGTGTTCAAAATTTTTTTCAAGGGAGCAAACTTCACATAATTGTTAAAAGCTGTAAATGGCTCAAAAGTTTTTTTGACTCTCTGAAAAAAAACCATCAGCAACATTTAGTTAACGCTTGTTCTTGATATTTCTGAACATTTCAGCTCTAATATAGGTATAGCTTAGTTATCCACTTTTAATTAAGCTAGTCCTTTCTTTTTTACCAGATTTTAGCCAAGTCAAATGGCCAATACTTTTGTATTTTAAACTTTATAAAAAGTAATCTCGCAGGCAAAACCAATAAGCCTTTACTGAGGTTATGACTTAACCACAAGTATATAAGGTATTTTTGGAGGCAATAAGCAGTTTTTTTAAGATTTAGAATTTACAAATGTAGCTCAAAAAAAAAAAAGAAAGTTCAAGATAGCAAGTAAAACACTGTTCATGGAGTGAATACAGTATTTGTACTACCAGTTTACATATAGAGGAAAGCCATGAATCTTACTAGTAAGAATTTCTATCCTTTTGCCAGCTAGCCAGGCTTCTGGTTTCTCTTTCTCAGAGCTCTAGCAGCCCTGAAGTCTTGTGAATGGCAGCAAATAAAGAGGTTATGTACATACTGTTAGAACTTATCCCTCCTCAAGAGATTGCTCAGTTAGATTTTTGCTAAGTATTGTCTGAATAAGTGTGTGCTATTTCTAGAGACTAGAGGTAGGACTGCCTAGGTTGAAGATACTGGTTAAAATTGTAGGTTGCTTCCCCAGGAGAACTAGGACAAATAGAAAGAAAGATGAACTCAGAGGTCCAGTAAATATTAAATAAGCCCCAATCTTAGAGAGTATATTTTTGCCCCTGAAACAAATGGGCTATTTAGACATTACCAGGGACTAGTAGAAGTATGATAATTGATCCCTTAAGTAACATAAAGGGATGTGAGTTCTTTCTTTTGGAAGGTGAGGATCTCATTTGCTTTACCCAACAGGCTTAACCCTGTCCTCCTCATTCTACTCTCAGTTATCAGAGATTAAAGAGGCTAATCTGAAGACTTCCTACACTGAGGCACTGAGTTCCAGGCTGGCTTTTGTAATTTCCTCCCATGACATTTGTAAGTCCAGCAGTGTGACAAAGAAAAACTAGTTTTTATAAGGTTCAGGAAAACTAAATTTTCCTAGCTTTAGGTGATGCATTCAAGGGGAGTGTCTTGAGGTCCAGAGATGTGTTTACTCATCTTCAAAGACAGAATAGAGTAGACAAAAAAGAAAAGGAAAAATAAAAAAGAAGACGCTTTCCTGCTGCTGATAAAGATATACCTGAGAGTGGGAAATTTACAAAAAAAATCACAACACATTTTTTTGTAAATTTACAATTTACAAAAAAAAAAAAGGTTTAATTGCATTTACAGTTCTATGTGTCTGGGGAAGCCTCATAATAATGACAGAAGGCAAAGAGGGGCAAGTCACATCTTAAATGGATGGTAGCAGGCAAAAAATAACTTATTTAAGGAAACTCCCATTTTTTAAAAACCATCAGATCTTGTGAGACCCATTCACTATCATGAGAATAGCATGGGAAGACCCACTCCAATTATTCAACTATCTCCCACCAGGTCCTTCCCACAACACATGGGAATTATGAGAGCTACAATACGAGATTTGGGTGGGAACACAGAGCCAATCAATATAATTCCACCACTGGCCCATCACAAATCTTATATCTTCACAATTCAAAACTAATTCTGGCTTCCCAAGAGTCCTCCAAGGTCTTAACTCATTTGAGCATTAACTCAAAAGTCCACAGTCCAAAGTCTCATTCAGTACAAGGCAAGTGCTTTCCACCTATGAGCTCTATGAGCTTGTAAAATCAAAAGCAAGTGAGTCACTTCCTGAATGCAATAGGCATACAGGCATTAATAAACACAGCCATTCCAAATGGGATAAATTGGCCAGAATAAATGGTCTACAGGCCCCGTGCTTGTCCAAAATCCAATGAGGAAGTCAAATCTTAAAGCTCCAAAATAATTCCCCTTTGACTCCATGTCTCACATCCGGGTCACACTGATGCAAGAGGTGGGTTCCCATGGTCTTAGAGAGCTTTGTGCCTGTGGCATTGTAGGGTACAGCCTCCTTCTCAGCAGCTTTGATGGGCTGGCATTGAGTGTATACAGCTTTTCCAGGTGCACAGTGCCAACTGTCAGTGGATCTACCATTCTAGGTTCTGGAGGATGGTGGCCATCTTCTTACAGCTCCACTAGGTGGTGCCCCAGTAGGGACTCTGTGTGGAGACTCCAACCCCAACATTTCCCTTTTGAACTGCCCTAGCAGATGTTCTTCATGAGGGCCCTGTCCCTGCAGCAAACATCCTCCTGGACATCCAGGCATTTCCATACATCCTCTGAGGATGGAGGCTTCCATACCCCAAACCTTGACTTCTGTTTACTCAGGCTCAGCGTCACATGAAAGGTGCCAAGGCTCAGAGCTTGCACCCTCTGAAGCCATGGTCTGAGCTCTACCCTGGCTCCTTTCTGCCATGACTTGAGTGGCTGAAATGCAGAACACCAAGTCCCTAGGCTGCACACAGCACAGGAACCCTGGATCGGGCCCATGAAATCATTTTTCACTCCTGGGCATTGAGGCCTGTGATGGGACGGGCTTCTGTGAAAATCTCTGATGTGCCCTAGAGACATTCTTTCCACTGTCTTGCAGATTAATATTTGACTTATTGTTACTCATGGAAATTTTTGCATCTAGCTTGAATTTCTTCTCAGAAAATGGGACTGACTTTTCTATTGCATTGTCAGGTTACAAATTCTTCAAACTTTTATGCTGTTCTTACCTTATAAAACTGAATGCTTTTACTAGCACCCAAGTCACATGCCACAAGCTTCACTACTTAGAAATTTCTTTTGCCAGGTACCCTAAATCTTCTTTCTCAAGTTCAAAATACCACAAATCTATATAGCAGGGGCAAAATGTTGCTAGTCTCTTTGCTCATACATAACAAGGATCACCTTCGCTCTGGTTCCCAACAAGTTTCTCATTTCCATCTCAGATCACCTCAGCTTGGACCTTACTGTCCCTATTGTTATCAGCATTTTGGGCAAAGCCATTCAACAAGTCTCTGGAAAGTCCCAAACTTTCCCATATTTTCCTGTCTTCTTCTGAGCCCTCCAAACTCTTGCAGTGTTTGCTTGTTACCCAGTTCCAAAACTGCTTTTACATTTTCAGATTTAATTGGACTTACAGTTCTCTGTGGCAGAGGAAGCCTCAAAATTATGCAAGGAGGAGCAAATTATGGCTGACTCAGATAGCAGGAGGCAAAAAGAGCTTGTACAGGGAAAGTCCTGTTTTTAAAAAAACCATCAGATCTCATGAGACCCATTAACTGTCATGAGAACAGCATTGAAAAGACCCACTCCCATGACTTAATCTTCTCCCACTGGGAACCTTTCACAGCGCATGGGAATTATGGGAGCTATAAGATGAGATCTGGGTGGGCACACAAAGTCGAACCATATTAGAAGGCATTTCTTTTTTTCACCATCATTCTGTACGAGACATTTCCCATTGTCCTGGGTTCAAGACTTAACCAATCTTTACCATGTACCCTTCTTGGTGGGTTCTAAATGAGTTTTTCCTATATACCCTTTGTCCTGGGTTCCAGACTTAAGAAGTCTTTATGTTTGTTCCAATCTCATTGCAATTACCCATCTTGGGAACACAGGAGATACTTTAGTCAACAGAAGGGCCCTTGTCCATCCTTGAAGCTCTGGACATAACTGGCCTCATCTAACCATAATTACCTATTTGAGAACAGAGTAGATATTTGGGTGGACAGTGGAAATCTTGTTCATCTTTGGGATTCTGTCCTTAGCTGATCTTTACTGTGTACTCCCAAACCTTTCATCTGTATTTCAATGGGAGTGTGTTAGCCGGGGAACAGCCCCTATCTCTGTCTCATTGGTCACTTTCCTCTGCAGCCTTGGGAAAGCATATATTCTTCTCTTCAAGACCTTATAGTGATTCTCACTTAAGGTATTTCTGTAATAAAATGATAATCTCTTTTTCTTAGAAGTTTATTTTTCAGTTAACTGCCAGAAGGGCTGAAATTCCCATTTTTAGACTATGACTTAAAAGGACTTGATGTATGTTAAGAGGAACATGAACATAATTAGAAAAATGAAGTCTATAGTAGAAAGTGGAAGGAAATAAAAGATTCCTCATGGCTCATGGAAAGCCTTCATATGCTCAAAAAACCAGCAGCCCTTGGATTCAAGAGGGCTGGATATAAAGTAACTGCTAGAGGACTAGGGTATTGGGGTAAGAATTTCTCCTCCTTTCAAAGCAATGCTAGCTTAAAAAGCAAATTTGGTGGAGTCCTTAAAAAACCAGAGTAAAGACCTATGCAAGAGGACAAGCTACCTTTAAAAGCCATTGAAAAACTTATCCTTGAGGCATACAGGAATGAAAAGAACATGATGAGTTATGAGAAGCTGGCAAAGCTGGAGTCCCAATCAGTGTCTGTCTTGGAAAAGAGCCAATTTTAGTAAAAAGCAATAGCAGGGGAAGGACTAAAAGTCACCCAAGCTAGCAGAACCAAATATAAACCTCGAGGGATATTCACAAGGAACCCCATGCCTTTACTGTCACACAAACACAGAGAGCTCCAAGTGTATGAAGGGAGTGTGTGTTTAAGAAGTTGCATCATGTGCAAAGTAAAAAAAAAAGAGACAGGCTTGCCCTCAAGGCAGAAGTTCTGACATCTGCACAAAGCCATTTCAGACCATATATAGAAAAAACAGATGGAGCAGGAGATATCATCCATGGGGGTTGGATGCCTCCAGCCAAAGAAAATAAGGTATGAAGATACCTTACCACTAGGAAGTTGTCTGATTAATGCTCACAAAGTAAGTTACTTGTGGCAGGAATCCAAGTTACCTGAGTTACTGTTGACATACTTAGATTGGTCTGCAGGAACTTCAGTCCCGCCCTCTTCATAAGAAAGTATTTGGCTGAGGGGAATAAAACAGAAATATGTCAAGGCAAGTTTCAGAACAGGAGTGGAAGTTTATTTTAAAAGGCTTTAGAACAAAAAATTTAAAAAGCTTGGAAGATATTCAACCAGGCATGTGAACATTAAAAGATTAGCTTAGATCCTAGAGCTTTATAGGCTTTGTAGGCTTACCTCTTTCCCATGATTCTTCCCTTAGTGTGGGCTTCCCACATGTGCAGTCCCCCTCTTACCTGTGGAATTAAAGCACATGCAGTGTGTTTAGAAAGTTTTACAGTTCCTCAACTGTGGCTTTGTTTCCTTTTTCTGTTGGAGTGTACCTGGAAGGTCATATTTTGTCTTTTATTGTCCATGCCCAGGAAGTTTCTTCCCTCTGACATCTGAATTCAATTAACACTTTAATGTTAACACCTGTTAATCATCGGAAATGGCATCTTCCTGGCACTGTAGATGGGCTGCAAAACTATCATTTTTAGAGAGGCAGTGTGATAATTGGCAAACCATTACTTGACATTCCTAGTTGGTGAGGGGTGGGAAGAGCCCTCTCCTGTCCCACTCTTGCCTATCTAATATATGTAACAATTTCCTTTCAAATGGAGGGCAATATGGTTTTGCTGTGTTTCCACCCAACTCTCATCTTGAAGTTTAGCACCCATAATCCTCACATATCACTGGAGAAACCCAGTGGGAGGTAATTGAATCATGGGGGTGAGTTATTTTTTTTCATGCTGTTCTCAACATAATACATCTCATGAGATCTGATGATTTCAATAAGGCAGTTTCCTGCACATGCTGTCTTGCTTCCCATGTAAGATTTGCCTTTGCTCCTTCTTCATCTTCTACCATGATTGTGAAGCCTCTTCAGCCATATGGAACTGTGAGTCTATTAAACCTCTTTTTCTTTATAAATTACTGAATCTCAGGTTTTTATCCAGAGAAGTATGAGAATAAGCTAATACAAAGGGCATGCCATTTGCCTCCATTACCTAAGAGGAATTGGAGGAGGGTTGCTCAGGGATTAGCACAGATTAGGCAGCTTTTTAAACTCGGAAAATAAAATTTAATTTAATTCTATTTAATGTCTCAGATTTGCTCTTGACTTTATCTTGTTAATGACTATGTCTGAATTGAAAGCCAGCCAGAGCAAAGAGCTCCTGCAGCTTAAGGTCATCAGGGTTGGGGACTCTCTCCCAGGGACCCCTTTGCTTTCAAGGCAGTTTTGTTTTTTCATGGCTGAGTTTTTGGCAGAGTGGACAAATCGTGAGAGGCTTTTTCCCATTTATATCATTGGTGGCAGTTCGCCTTACAGTGTCCTGGCCTTCTGTACTGGTTACAGTTACAAGAAAAGTGTCCTTAGGACAAACTGGAAGGGTTTTAACCTTTTAAAGCAGCAAAAATCATCCTAGTTCTTGTTTTTGCATTTTTTTTTTTCTTCTTAGCACTGTCTTCTTATTCTGCTGTCAGTTAAAAGACTAACAAGGCTAATATAAGAATTTATTTCATAGGGACCATCATGTATTGCACTAAAAAGTTAAATTATTTTTGGAGTCTGAGGGTTAAATTTATTCCAGTGTTTTAAAATGTAGCCCAGGCATGAAGCTAAAAAAATGGAGGGGCTTTGTCTCACAATAGGAACAGAAAGAATATCCACTGGAGACACAAATCACAATTTATCTTGGGCTTGCAGCCATTGAAAAGGGGTTTCATTTACAACTGTTGAGGGATTTTGAGATTCACTTTCCAAAGGGTCATCCACTTATTGGCAAAAAAAATTTCGGTGCTAGGGCTTCATGCTGGTACGAACACTTGGTGAGTGTCCCCAAATAAGTGCAGGTACCCATTACTGGGTGGAAAGCCCTTGTATGTGTTACACTGGGTGCTCAATCTGTAATAATAAGTAGTCATGCAAACATGACAGGCCAGGAGAGGACCCCCTCACAACTGGCAATGTTAAGTAACCGTTAGGTAATACTCAGGTGTTTTTAAACTGTCTCCCTAATGTAATAATTGGTCACAGCCAATTGCAGGGAAAGGCAGTCTCCCAATAAACAAAAACACATGAAACTGGTAATCAGCAGCTTATTAATACAATTTTAGGGTTTGGGTAAGTGGGCTTAAGCATGCACATGAAGAAGCAAAATGATAGAATTTAACTACGTATATGACCTTCTAGGGACATTTGCCTGGTAACAAAAGAATACCTTAAGGGAGTGTGTATACGACTTGAATAAATATACTGATGGGGTCATCTTGCAAGTGCTGGCAGACCTCTGTACCTGTGGATAGCCCACCCCAAGTGAAGAGTAAGAGGGAAAGGAACACAACTCCAAAAGTATGCCAAAGTATATTAAATCAAAGATCAAATTATGCACTTAATCTCTTAACTCACCCACTTGGGCCTCTTCCAACTGTACTGTCCTTCCTTTCTCTTCTGGTGTAAATTCTTAATAAAATTTCACTTCTGCTTGAAAACTTGCCTTACTCTTTCATTCTTCAGTAAACCTCTCAGTCAAATTATTTTTTTTCTGAGGAGGAAAGAATTCAGGTTACTTCAGACCCATACTAATTAACTGCCTGTAACATATTTTGATGTTATGTTACTCAAATCCATTTTCTAGTGTTAAGAAAACTGCAGTCTTTTTTTCTTTGGTAGATGTATTCAACCCCTGTATATGGTTTTCTTCTCTCTTTCTCTCTCCTGGTTAATAACATATCCCTAGAATAATTCCCAGTGCCTCTGCTTCCACTGGCTGATCTCTCAGGTCAGCCTGAT
Source organism: Homo sapiens (assembly GCF_000001405.40). Taxonomy (NCBI): domain Eukaryota; kingdom Metazoa; phylum Chordata; class Mammalia; order Primates; family Hominidae; genus Homo; species Homo sapiens. The sequence continues at coordinate 19,271,515 of NC_000024.10, forward strand.
GAGTGACTCTTGGTGGGGATGGAAATGAACCACTAATGGCCCTCCTGGACAGGAGGCTCATGAGAGTGGGAGGGTTAAACCCTAAAACTGTGCAATGTCTGTGGTTTACCCTGATTTTTCAACTAACCATGGCTTTTCCCCAATAACGCACACTGCTTTTTCTTCTGTTTTCTCTATATGTGTTCTGAAATGGCCTTGCACACACCCATACTATCAACCTTAAGAGACAAACCTACCTCTTTGCTTTCACATTGCATGCCATGTGAATTTTTAAGCACATACTGCCTGTTATTTTTGCACCCCTAGCTCTCACTTTATTAGTGTGGCAGCAAAGACATGGACTCCCTTGCAGATATCCCCTGAGATTTATACTTGTTCTTACCCGATCAGCTTAGATGACTTCCAGCCCTTCCTCTGTCTGCTGGCACATGGTTAGGACAGACACTAGATGGAACTCTGGCTTTGCCAGAACCCGTATAATACCATATGCTTTTTATTTCTGTTACACCACAGTAGTAAATTTTCTAGTGGCTTTAGAGGCAATTTGTCCACAGCATGTGGCCTCACTCTGGTTCTTTATGGAATCCACCTACTTGCCTTTCTTGTTAGTACCCCTTTAAGTGGAGAAAAATTTCTCCCTTTGACATTTTGGAGTTTTTACCTCAAACCCAAGTCCTCTGAAGATTATTACTTTATGTCAAGAGAGCATATAAATCATTGCCCTTTGGGATCCAAGGGCTGCTGGTTTGGCAAGCGTATGAAGGCTTTCCCAAAGTATTCCTCCCACTTTCTCCATAGCCCCCATTTTTTTGTTCACTTCCATACCCTTCTCAATATGCATCAAGACCTTTAGGGTCATATTCAAAGAAAGCAAAGTCCAGCCCTGCAGTGGCAGTTAGCTTAAAAACAGGCTTCTTGACTACTTATATGACATGAGAAATCAAATCTGAAAAAAAATAGATAATCGTTTTGTTGCTAGAATGCCCTGAGTGAGAATGAGTAAATGGTCATGGAGACAAGGGATTTTTCTAATGTCTCATGAGAATTTCCATATATAGTTAAGAATGGATAAATGTAATAAACTTAAGTAAAACTTTGGAGATAAGTATATAATAATAATGTTTAATAGTATGCTTATTAGAAATGTTTTTGTATTAGTCTATTTTCAAACTACTGATAAAGACATACTCAACTTTGCATAATTTATAAAGTAATAGGATTAATGAACTCATAGTTCCACAGAGGTGGTAAGGCCTCACGATCATGGTGGAAGGTGAAAGGTACGTCCTATATGATGGTAGGAACTCCCTTTCATAAAAAATCAGATCTCATGATACTTAATTTACTATCATGAGGACAGCAAGGGAAAGACCTGCCCCCATGATTCAATTACCTTTCACTGGGTCCCTCCCATGACAATGTGGAAATTATAGGATCTATAATTCCAGATTTGGATGGGGATACAGACCATATCATTTTGCCCCAGGCCCCTCCCAAATCTCATGTCTTCACATTTTAAAACTAACCATGCCTTCCCAACAGTATCCACCGTCTTAACTCATTTCAGCATTAACTCAAGAGTCCAAATTTCAAAGTTTCGTCTGAGACAAGGTAAGTCACTTCCACTATGAGCCTGTAAAATCAAAAAAGCAACTTAATTACTTCCTAGATAGGATGGAGATATAAGCATTGGGTAAATATACCTCTTCCAAATGAAAAAAAAAAAAAAGGCTAAAATAAAGACACTACAGAACCCACACAAGTCCAAAATCCAGCAGGGCAGCCAAATCTTTTTTTTTTTTTTTGAGATGGAGTCTCACTCTTTCGCCCAGGCCAGAGTGCAGTGGCGCAATCTCGGCTCACTGCAACTCCGCCCCCCAGGTTCACGCCATTCTCCTGTCTCAGCCTCCCAAGTAACTGGGACTACAGGCGGCCGCCACGACGCCTGGCTAATTTTTTGTATTTTTAATAGAAACGGGGGTTTCACCGTGTTAACCAGGATGGTCTCAGTCTCCTGTCCTTGTGATCCGCCTGCCTCGGCCTCCCTAAGTGCTGGGATTACAGGCATGAGCCACTGCGCCCGGCCACAGCCAAATCTTAAAGCTCTCAACTAGTCTCCTTGGATTTCATGTCTCACAACCAGGACATGCTGATGCAAGAGGTGGGTTCCATGGTTATAGACACCTTCAGCACTGTGGTTTTGCAGGATATAGCCTCTCTTTTAGCTTCTTTATGGGCTAGTATTGAGTGTCTGCAAGCTTTGTGGACCTACCATTCTCAGTTCTAGAGAACAATGAATTTCTTCTCAGAACTCCAGTAGGCAGTGCCTCAGTGAGGATGCTGTGCGGAGGCTTCAACGCCACATTTTCCTTTTATACTGCCCTAGCAGAAATTTCCCATTAGGGCCCTGCCCCTGTAGCAAACTCCTGCCTGGACTTCCACCTGTTTAGATAAATCTTCTGAAATGTAGATAGAGGTTTCTAAACCTCAATTTATGACTTCCATGAGCCCACAGGCTCAACACTACATGGAAGATGCCAACTCTTCTTGGAGCTTGCACTCTCTGAAACCATGGTCTCAAACTGTACCTTGGCTCCTTGTAGCCATGGCTAGAGCAGCTGGAATGCAGAAAAAGAAGTCCCTAGGCTGCACACAGCAAAGGTCCCTGGACCTAGACCACAAAACCATTTTTATCTTCTAGGCCTCTGTGTCTGTTATGGGAAAAACTGTCATGAAGCTCTCTGACATTGCCTGAAGACATTTTTCCCATTGTGACTAACAGATTTTCTAATTTGTGACTAACACAGGGCTCCTTACTACTTATGCAAATTTCTGCTGCAGGCATGAATTTCTCCCCCAAAATGGCTTTTCTTTTTCCATTGCATTATCAGCCTGCAAATTTTCCACACGTTCATACTTTTGTTTCTCTTGAACTCTTTGCTGCTTAGAAATTTCTTCCACCCAATACCCGAAATCATCTCTCTCATGTTCAAAGTCTCACAGATGTCCAGGGAAGAGACAAAATGCCTTCAGTAGCAAAACTGACCTTTACTTCAGTTTCCAAAAAGCTTCTCATTTTTATCTGAGACCATCTCAACCTGGCTTTACTGTTCATATCACTATCAGTATGTTGGTCAAAGCCATTCAACAAATCTCTAGGCAAAGTTCCAAACTTTTTCATGTTTTTCTATTTTCTTCTGAGGCTTACAAACTGTTCCAGCCTCTGCTGGTTACTGGATTCTAAAGCTGCTTCCACATTTTCAGGTATCATTAGAGGCGCAACCTACTACCTAATACCAATTTACTGTATTAGTCCATATTTATGCTGCTGATAAATACATACCCAAGACTGGGTGATTTATAAAGAGAAAGAGGTTTAATTGACTCACAATTCCACACTGCTGGGGAGGCTTTATAATTATGGCAGTAGGTGAAAGGCACATCTTGTATGGTAGTAGGCAAAAAAGAAATCATGTGTGAGGAACCTCTTCTTTTTAAAACTAACAGAATCCAAAAGACTTATTCACTATCACTTATAACAGCAGCACAGAAAAGACCTGCCCACATGATTCTTCAACTACCTCCCCCCATGTCTTTCCCCTGACAAGTGGGAATTAAGGGAGCTACAATTCAAAATTTGGGTGGGGACAGAGCCAGACTGTATCAGCTTCCATATGCTTAGAATTTTGTAAAGCCAAATTAAATAATAAATATTTATTAGTTATGTGCATCAATTCTAAATATGATATAATAACTGACATTAATTACTAATTATAAGTTGAATCTTATGTAATATTGACATCTGATTTCAGATAAAAGATATCTAGATGTTAGTAAACATGTTCTTTTTCAATCTGAAAAACTGTTAATTAAAACTACATGTTAAAAAATTATAAAATGTGTACTCCTAAATTCTTGTTATGTGAATGAGTAAAAATTGTTTGCTTCTTAGGTTTTTACTATAAATTATTGTTACTAGAATTTAACATTTTTTCTAACATACAGTAACTAAAACTAGAAATAAGATAAATTATGCTATGCATGGCACATATAAAGAAAATAAGATGGACTTTTTAGTAAAAAAAATCTAATAAGAGATACAGGATGCAATATAAAAATAATTTTGCCTAATTTAGAGGTTGTTTATTAAATTGAAGAAATTTAACAAATGAGATAGATGAATAGAATACATATATAAAATTGAAGAAAAATTAATTTGAAAATTGTAAGAAGTTGTAAAAGGTTTATAGATCTCACCATGGTGGCTTAAATTTTTAATTCGAGTATTTTGGGGATCTGAATTGGAAAGATCATTTGAGCTCAGGAGTTCAAGGTCAGCCTGGGTGACATAGAAAACCCTGTTTTATTCAAAGCAATCAAAGTATTAGCTCTGCATGCTGGCATATGCCTTATGTCCCACCTACTGAGGAAACTGAGGGAGGAAAATTGCTTGGACCTGAGAGGTTGAGGCTTCAGTGACCCATGACCATGCCTCTACCCTCCAGTCTTAGTGACAGAGTGAGACCTGTCTGAACAAAACAAACTAATGAATAAATAAAAGTTTTATAAAAATTGTACCTGTGGAACTGATTGAGATTACACAACCTCTTTATTAAAATTAGCTTTGATTTAATAATGCAATAAAACAGAAAATTTAATATTCTTTTTTAAACAAGATTTTTGGCCAGGTTCAGTGGCTCACGCCTATAATCCCAGCACTTTGGGAGGCTGAGGTGGGCAGATCGTGAGGTCAGGAGTTTGAGACCAGCCTGGCCAACATGGTGAAACCCTGTCTCTACTAAAAATACAAAAATTCACTGGACAACATGGTGGGCACCTGTAATCCCAGCTACTTAGGAAGCTGAGGCAGGAGAATAGCTTGAACCTGGGACACAGAAGTTGTAGTGAGCCAGGATCATTCCATTGCACTCCAGTATGGGTGACAGAGCAAGATTCCAACTCAAAACAAAACAAAACAAAACAAAAAATACAAAAATTAGCTGGACATGGTGGCACACATGTAATCTCAGCTACTCGAAAGCTAAGACAGGAAAATCACTTGAACCTGGGAGGCAGAGGTTCTAGTGAGCCACAATAGTGCCACTGCACTCTAGCCTGGGTGGCAGAACAAGACTCCATCTTAGAAAAAAAAAAGATTTATATAAAGTATTCATAAGCAATAATAAAGGACTTTGATTCATCTTTTGAGTGAAATGTGGAAAATAAAAATGACCAAATATCTTTGTTAATTGAATTTTTAATCATGACCATTTTAAATCTTGATCAATTTTTTGTGGGGTACATCTTTCTGAGCTTCTGAGCTTCACAGAGACAAACACATTTTACTGGGCAAATAGTTTATTCTAGTTTTACATATGGGTTTTTAAAAAAAAAAAAAAAAAAAAAAAAAAAAAAACACTTTCATCCTGCGTACCTCTCTCTGTTTTCTAGATTGGCAAAATGCACAAATGGATTAATTTAAAAAATTGAAAATTTGCAGAAATTTTAAGCTTCCTGGCCTAAGGCTCTTTTATTGGTATTATACAACCTATGTTGTGTCTAATTTGGAAAATACTAGGTTTCCCCCTTTAGAATAATAATAGCAAGTTCTATGCACCTGGATAAAGTAGCCTACAAAGCAGCTCTCCTTAAAGGTAATTTTTTTTTTGCAAGACCTTATAAAGTGCCTTACTATAAATTTTAAATTGATTCAAGATTTTTTAAAAGCAATATTCCAGGAAAATAAACATAAAAAATAATAGCCTTTACCTGAAAATTCTGTTTATTGCAAATACCATCAAATAAAAAATCCTCTCTACTTCTGCTGGAGGAATCCAGATAAGCTGTTTGTGGCCAATCCTCATGCTGTTAAATTGAAGAGCCGTGTCTTTTAGGTTATTTCTCTAACTCTCTGTCTATACACAGCTCTGAAGTAACCCAACACTGGAATAGTTCTTTCAAAATTTTCCCTAGGCTTAACCACCGACAATTTCAGATAGAAATTCTCCTCGAAGAAAACTTCCTAATTATCTCTCTGGTCATCAAGTTAGTTAGTTTCTTCCACATTATTGGGAGAATGCTTTTATTTTTAAGTGATGTAACTTTCCATGATTGGAAATAATTTAATAGCCTTAGGAAAAATTGCTGATAAAGCTGAGATCTACATTACAGTTTACAAAAAAAGTTATGGTTCACTGCCTGAGATAGCAGTAGACAATGACATTGCTTTATATTATGTGTTAGCTAAGCACAGAGGTGTATGTATGGTGACAAAAACTTCTTGTGTATACGTTAATACTTCTCATTATGTAAAAATTTATCCAGGAAAAATGAGAGAAGAAGCCACTTAGCTACCACAATTCTCTGAATATAAACCTGTCTTTAATCATGTTTGTAATGTTCTTAATTACCTTCTTAATGGATTAGGTTTTGGGTCTTATTGTTGTTCTGGTATAGAAATTACTTCTTCATAGTCTGAATGTGCATTGCATTTCTACTATTAATATTATTGATAATATGTATCTCTCATTGTTATACTTCTTCTGAAAGAAGTAAAATTATACTATTCCAAAGATGAGATAATAAAACAAGCAATAGAAACTATGTAAATAAATGACTTGACTGAAGTCTTATTTTTGCCACACTGTTATGACATCCCTATTTAGGTATTCAGGCACTCTTAAAATTTGTTGCTGAGACATCTCTTTCTTCCCATCTGACATGAGATAAACTTGTCAGAGAATGAGCCTTTTTGGACAGGAGAGATGCCTTGACACTTAGACTTAATTAATTATTTTTTCAAAAGTAAATTTTTGATCAAAAAAGGGGACACAAGAAAAAATAAACTGTGTTATTTGAAGAGTGCAAAACTTTTCTAAATTACAGGTTCAGAGAGGGAAAAGAATAATAAAACTGTGATGTACCATTTTCTATGTAGACCAATGGGTTGAGTAACTATTTTTTGAACTGGCTTGCTATGTTGGCTCTAGACTGACACAGCTATAATTAATCTAATAAATACACTTGCTGGCTACCATAAGTTATTACCGTAGAGTATAGCAATGTATAGCCAATCACTAATCAATGTTATTTCTGTGTAGTAATGAGAAGTCATGACACAAAACTTCTACTGGTTTAACCCTGTTTTTGTTTTTGCCTTTGAAAGCCTGCTTATAACAAAATTCAAACAGAGCTTACATCCAAGGATACATACGTCTGAAACCTACAGGTACCTACCTTCACCTTATCTAGAGTAAACTCTGTAATATTTCATTTTGTGTCTCAGTTTTTTTCTTAGATAAACAAATTTGTAAAAAAAAGACAAAAACAATGTCAGTAATAATATTGTAAACAAAAAATTAAAAAAACACAAAAATTTAAACAACTCAAGTTCCAAAAAAGTAAAATTGGTGAGTAAATTGTATGACTCTCGGCCTCAAACCTCAGTATGTGTACAACAAACTGAGGCAAACAAACAATAAAATACAATTTCAGTGTAATAGTAATAAAGTATTTAAGACAATATAAGTTAATCAAAACTCAAATAGGAAAACCAAGCAAAACTCTTCTTCATGATAGTTAAGTTGCAAAAAATAATAAAAGTAATTAGGACTGTGGTCAACCCTGGGTACGAAAAGTAGATGAGATCAAAGAAACACTGTAACTGCTCAAGCCCTATTTATTTACCTGCTGAGTACATGGAAAGTTATATTCTTGTTATTTAAACTAAGAACAAGTTGATTTATGTTGAAATTATCTTTGTTTCCTCAAATTATATTACAAATTTACTCTTACTTTCAACCTAGAAAAAATAATTTTACAAAGTTATGAAATCAAATTATTGAATTGTTGAAATAAGCTGTACTTACATAGCAGTAAGATTTTATAGAGTAAAGAAAATGAAAGCAACTACGGGAAGTAGCTTATTTTATTGGAAGTTCGTAAGAATCCACATACTCAGCAGGTTAAACAGATTCCTAAGCTTGGTGGAGAAGTTGCTCAGTGTAATTTGCTCCTAAACAGTAAGTAAAAAACCCTGAGAAGCTGACAAATGTAATTCTGAGAGTCCCACACATTTCACTGTCTATTTCTGACATGATGAAAACACTTTCTTTGTCAGGGTCTTACTTCTCACTAGTGTCCAAATTCACTTGGAATCAGTTTAAGGTTATCACCTGTGATGTCTTTTATTTTTCTTTTCCTAAAAATATGTCTGACACAAAATGTCTGAAGTTAGCTGTACATCAACTAATTCTTTAACACCAATTGACTGTCCAACAATTCAATTATGTTACATTCTAGATTAGCACAGAAACACAAGTTCAGGACTCAGTCCTACAAACTGCCCCTAGAATAGTTGCCAGTCACAGGCTCTGGGAGCCCATCATAATTCTGAGCAATTTTCTGTGAATTACAGGATCCCATAACCCATCAAGTCTAATAATTTGATAGAATTACTGACAGTAATAAAATAAATATTTGATTTATGTTCACCAGCTTATAACAAGTAATTCAACTCAGAAACAGCCAGGTAACAGACATGTATAAGACAAGAAAAAGTGGTGGAATAAGATGGAAAAATTTGATAAATACTGGTTAAATAGCTCTGGTTTTTAAAATCTCTTAATTCTCAGTGTTCTGAAAGAGCAACTTACTGCAAAGAAACACCCTTCCATTATAACTTAAATAATAATCTCTTATTCATCTCTCACAACACTAGACAAAGAAACTGCAAATTCTCATTTATTTATTATAAACCATTAGCTTTTGTTTTCCATAGTCAGATCAAAACACTTGTTAACCAAATTTTACTTAAATTTATCTATTTTCTTCAGGCCCATGTACTCCGATCCATGCTCACAAAAACCAGCATTCAACCCTCTCATTCAACCTTTTAAGAGCAGGCTGACTTCTGGATGAAACAATCTCTAATCTTAAATGTGATCTTGACACCCTCCATTCTTGTTTGCTTCCCATCCCAGACTCTGATAAACATGCTTTTATTCTCTATGCCCATCCATTTAATTGTATTGATTTCAAGTTTAATTGCTCTCAAAAAGTATTTACAAAAAATATTTGTTTCTCTGTGCCTGGTTTATTTTCCTTAACATAATAATCTTCAGTTTTGTTCATGTTGTTGCAAATGACTGAGTCTTATTGTTTTTTATGGCTGACTCTATTGTTTACATGTACCACATTTTCTTTGTCAGTTCATCTGCTGATGACCACAGGTTGCTCTCAAATTTTAGCTATTATTGCATATCATGCTGCAATAAACACAGAAGTGCAGACCTCTATTTTATATACTTTTTTTTCTTTTGGATATATACTTAGAAGTGGGATTTCTGGGTCATATGATAGCTTATTTTTAGTTTTAGGAGCAATCTTCAAACAGTTCTCCATAGTGGTTGTACAAATTTACATTTTCTCCAACAGTGTACAAAGGTTTCCTTTTCTCCACATCGTAGGCAGCAATTGTTATTGTTTGTCTTTTGGATGTTTTTAACTGGGGTTAGATAATACCTAATTGTAGTTTTGATTTGCATTCCTCTAACAGTCAATGATGTTGAGCACTTTTTTTATGCCATTAGCCATTTGCATATCTTTTTGAAAAAGGTATATTCAATTTTTTCTCATTTAATTTTCTGTGGGTTGTTCGAACTTATTATGTATTCTGGTTACTAATGTTTTGTGAGGTATACACTTTTTAAATGTCTTTAAAGAGATTAAAAATAAAATGGATAGATTTCAAAGAGATTAAAAATAAAATGAAGAGATTCTTTGAGAATCTCTTCATTTTATTTATTGTATGGTTTTGTTTGCCAGAGCCTTTTAACTTGATGGTATTCTATGTGTTTATTTTTGGTTTAGTTTGCTGTGCTTGTGGGATATTCTTCAAAAAAATCTTTGCCCCGGTAAATATTGTACAGCTTTTTTCCAATGCTTTATTATAGTAGTCTTATAGATTTTTATCTTAGATTTAATTTTTAACTAATTTTGATTTCTTTTTTGTATGTGGTGAGAGAAGGGATTTAGTTTTATTCTTCTGCATATGGATATCTGGTCATTTGAGCATCATTAATTGAACAGACTGTCTTTTCTCCAGTGTATGTTTTTGGCATTGTTGTCAAAATGAGCTTACTGTAGGTATGTTGGTTTGTTTCTAGGTTCTCTATTATTTTTCATTGGTCTATGTGTCTGTTTTTATTTTAGTACCATGCATTTTGTGTTACTGTAGATCTGTAGTGTAGTTAAAAGTAAAGTAATGTAATTTTTTTGGTTTGTTCTCTTTGCTTAGGGCAGCTGTAGCAATTCTAGATTATTGGTAGCTACATGTTAATTGTAGGATTGTTTTTTCTACTTATGTAAAGATGTCATTGATATTTTGATAGAGCTTGCATTAAGTCTGTAGATTTGGTGATATAGACATATTAACAATATTAATTCCTTCAATCCATGATTAGGGAATATTTTCCAATTTTTTCTGTCCCCTTAAACTTTCTTTGTTATTGTTTTATAGTTTTTATTATAGAGCTCTTTCATTTTTTATCAGTTAATTTCTAAGTATTTATTTCTATATGTGGCTATTTTGAATATAATTAGTTTTTTAATTTCTTCTCAACACTGTTTACTGTTGGCATATACAAATGCTACTAATTTTTTTCTGTTGATTTTGTACATCAACTTAGTGAATTAATTAATATTTTCATATTTTTCTCACAAAATATTTACAATGTTTCCAAAGTCAAAATTATACGATCTAAAAACAAAGACAATTTTACTTTTCTCATTCTGATTTGAATGCTCTTGATATTATTCTTTGGTATGAATGATCTATCCAGGACTTCTACTTCTATGTTGAATGACAAATTATGTCAGTGGACATCCTTGCCATATTCCTGATCTTAGAAAAAAAAGCCTTCAGTTTTTTTCATTCAGTATGGTACTAGTTGTTGGTCTGTCATATACAGTTTTTATTATGTTGATATATGTTCTTTTCATTGCAGTAGGATAATTTAGGAATCTGAGAGACCGAGGGGTTGAGGAGGATACTTATTATTTATTAGTTAGGTGCACTGGCCCAGTCAGATTAACATCTAAAGGACTGAGCCCCCAAAAAAGAGTCAAGCTACTTTTTAAGCATTTCATGGGGTTGGGGAAGATCTGCGTAGGGGAAAGCATATTACAGAAGAGAGAAACAAAGACAGTTATTCAATTGAGATATGCATTACATCAGTTCTTACTTTTCAAGGAACAACATGTTTTACGACTTGAGATTATCTGCCTAGTGACTTTGCAGCTGCACAGCTAGAGAAACAGGGTCTTCACAATACCTGGGAAAGGGAGAGATAAGGCTCACTAGCCACAGAAAAACAGGCAGTTAATTTTTAAAGGACTTCAGCTCTTCCTCTTCCTCAGGGGGAATTGGGTTTTCTTACATACAACTGAGATTTTGCTTACACATTCTTTAATTTTTTTTAATTCCTGTTTCATTATTAAGAGATTTTTGAAGATTTTTGGCATAAATAAATGTTGAATTTTATCAAATGTTATATTCACATATGTTTACATGATTTGTACAGTTCCTATTCTTTATTCTGTTGATATTTGATAAAGACAGCTTCCAGAGAAACTTTTGGCAGAAAATGTGGGCCTCTGGCAAAGCCCCACCCTCAAGTTTCAAAGCTTAAGACCACAGCTCCAAGTGAGAAATTATGTCCTCTTTTGTTTTGTTTTGTTTTTCCTCAAATTTTACCTTTTTCTAAACCATCCATTGCCCTTCCCCTCTCAATTCTGGTTCTATGGAGGCTGTGGCTTAATATTAGAGATGAGCAGATAGACTTCAGAGGGACTCCTCTCAAAAAACAAACAAACAACAACAACAACAACAAAACAACAGAAACCCTCAGTAAGATTTTCCTTTTAATGAAAGTAGCACACAAACTATTATTTTTCTAAGAAACAGCAGCCTGTAAAATTAAGCTGCAGACACAAATAAGCAAGTTGGAAGCTTGCAGAAGTGAATGCCAGCAGCTGTGTCAAAAGAAAAAGGTTACTTGGGGTCCAGACATTTTTAACATGGTGACTCCATATTCAATTTTTTTTTTTTTCATTTTTGTCAACCATGTGTACAGTAAGAAACAGACCACAGGGTGCAGGCCAGGTAGAAACCCCATCTGAGTAATAAAACATTAGGGTGAGATGGCCAGTTACTTTGCATGCTATGCAAATATCACACCTGGTTTGACAAATCTACTGGTTCCTATATAAATCACACACCACCTCTTCAAGCTCATCTATAAAACCCTGTGCATTTCACCATGAAATCAGAAGAGTTGTTCCGGTGACCCTCTCTCTCTCTGAGATGGAGAACTATTCTCTTTTCTTATTCTTTTGCCGATTAAACCTTCACTCTTAAACTCATGTTTTGTGTATTTGTGTCTTTGACTTCCTTGGCATGAGAAAACAAAACTCAGGTGTTTACCCCAGATAATAATGACACCTGAAGTCCAACCGAGGAAGTTTCTCCTAAGAAGAAGATGACATCACTGGCATAGACATCTTTCTTATAAGATGATAAACCGTGACTTCTCTGCTACTATTAGATTTTAGCTTTTAGATTTTCCCTTGCTTATGGCTCTATAAACAACAGAAATAAAAACAAGTCTTGTGTACTCATGGGGTGTATTTTTTATGTAGAGGATTCTGCAGCCAACCATGCATTGATAGATGAAAAATGAAGAGTCAACATGAGTGAGAAATTTTAATGGGATATGTGTTGTTTTATAATGTCAGAAACACAACACTGGGCCACCTCTTTTTTTTTTTTTTTTTTTTTTTGAGTTGAAGCCTTGCTCTGTCACCCAGGCTGGAGTGCAGTGGTGTAATCTTAGCTTACTGCAAGTTCCACCTCCCAGGTTCATGCCATTCTCCTGCCTCAGACTCCCGAGTAGCTGGGATCACAGGTGCCTGCCACAATGCCCGACTAATTTTTGTATTTTTAGTTGAGATGGGGTTTCACCATGTTAGCCAGGATGGTCTCAATCTCCTGACCTCCTGATCCACCTGCATTGGCCTCCCAAACTGCTGGGATTACAGGTGTGAACCACTGCGTCTGGCCTGAGCCAGTTCTCTTAATCTACTGCATAGGTTAAGGAGAACATTGCAGGCATAGGTTAAAGAGCATTTCCAGGATGTCTTCACTCTTCTTAATGGATATAAATTATTATGTGTTTGTTTTCATGCTTTACAGTAAATCAAAAAGTTATTCATCATAATAGGTTCTATAAAAGATTCTACTGTAAAGGCTATGGTTACACAATAGACTTTAATTTTTTTTGCAAAAGTTTTACCAAATAATATAATTTGTCTAGATTACTTACTGAATAAGCAGAGAAGTATCTGTGCAGTTGCTTACAGCTGCAGTTACACATAAAGGAATACATTGGGTATTATGGACATTTAGTTGCAGGGAATTAATGAACGGGCTGCTTAGATGAAATGAGTGGACACATTGCCTATCTTATTCTTTAGACTAGGTTCCAAAAGATCAATCCATTCCAAAATTGAGTCAATTATGCTAAATACAGTGTAATCAAAATGAAAGTTTAAGGACATAAAAACAAAAACAAACCATGTATTTCTTATTTTCTATAAAAATTAGATTTCAACACAAGGAGGTCACTCTATTTAATTGTTTTAAAGAATACTAAGGTGAAGTTTGTCCTCAATTTACAAAACCCACAGTTCTGCAATTTTACAGTGTGATTTGAGATCAAGTAAGCATAAATACTATGGAGACAGAGTAATATCAATGACTGAAGTTTGGGTCTACCTATCAAAATTGAGATGACCAAGGGAAATAAATTTTTTAATTATGCTGTACCTAAATCTGCCTCCTAACATGTTTAATTTTAGAAAATTGTTTTTGTGCACAGTAAACTATAACTGAACGTGTTGTCCATTGAATAAAATGGTGGGACCAGTAATAATCATGTTGGGAGATTTATTTGCCAAAGGACATGTCCAGAAGACAACTCTATGACATTCCCCAAGGACAATTTTGAGTACTCCAAATTTGAAGGGAAAAATGCAGGATATTGAGAAACACACAGCTTTCACTAAGATGAAAAAGGGCAGAGAAAAATATGAGGAATCTACATTTTACATAAGATGACACAGACAAAATGGGGTAGGGAAACAATCAGTTACACATTTGTGTCTGGCGCCCCAGGGTGACTGCACATGTAAAGAAAAGCTATCAATTTGCATTGCCATGGTAAAGTTTTAAGAGCTCATCAGAAATTTTCTTGTGGGAAAACTATGTCATCTGCAAACAGGGACAATTTGACTTCCTCTTTTCCTAATTGAATGCCCTTTATTTCCTTCTCCTGCCTGATTGCCCTGGCCAGAACTTCCAACTCTATGTTGAATAGAAGTGGGATGAGATGGCATCCCTGTCTTGTGCCAGTTTTCAAAGGGAATGCTTCCAGTTTTGTCCATTCGGTATGATATTGGCTGTGGGTTTGTCATAGATAGCTCTTATTATTTTGAGATACCTCCCATGAATACATAATTTATTGAGAGTTTTTAGCATGAAGCGTTGTTGAATTTTGTCAAAGGACTTTTCTGCATCTACTGAGATAATCCTGTGGTTTTTGTCTTTGGTTCTGTTTATATACTGGATTACGTTTATTGATTTCCGTATGTTGAACCAGCCTTGAATCCCAGGGATGAAGCCCACTTGATCATGGTGGATAAGCTTTTTGATGTATTGCTGGATTCAGTTTGCTAGTATTTTACTGAGGATTTTTGCATCAATGTTCATCAAGGATATTGGTCTAAAATTCTCTTTTTTTGTTGTGTCTCTGCCTGGCTTTGGTATCAGAATGATGCTGGCCTCATAAAATGAGTTAGGGAGGTTTCCCTCTTTTCTATTGATTGGAATAGTTTCAGAAGGAATGGTACCAGCTGCTCCTTTTACCTCTGGTAGAATTCGGCTGTGAATCCATCTTGTCCTGGACTTTTTTTTGGTTGGTAAGCTATCAATTATTGCCTCAATTTCAGAAGGTGTTATTGGTCTATTCAGAGATTCAACTTCTCCCTGGTTTAGTCTTGGGAGAGTGTATGTGTAGAGGAATTTACCCATTTCTTCTAGATTTTCTACTTTATTTGCATAGAGTTGTTTATAGTATTCTCTCATGGTAGTTTGTATTTCTGTGGGATCGGTGGTGATATCCTCTTTATCAGTTTTTATTGCATCTATTTGATTCTTCTCTCTTTTCTTCTTTATTAGTCTTGCTAGCGGTCTATCAATTTTGTTGATATTTTCAAAAAACCAGCTTCTGGATTCATTGATTTTTTGAAGGTTTTTTGGTGCCTCTGTCTCCTTCAATTCCGCTCTGATCTTAGTTATTTCTTGCCTTCTGCTAGCTTTTGAATGTCTGCCTTTGCTTCTCTAGTTCTTTTAATCGTGATGTTAGGGTGTCAATTTTAGATCTTTTCTGCTTTCTGTTGTCAGCATTTAGTGCTATAAATTTCCCTCTTCACACTCTCCTTAAGCAGATAAGCAACTTTAGCAAAGTCTCAGGATAGAAAACCAATGTGCAAAAATCACAAGCATTCTTATATGCCAATAACAGACAAATAGAGAGCTAAATCATGAGTGAACTCCCATTCACAATTGCTTCAAATATAATAAAATACCTAGGAATCTGACTTACAAGGGATGTGAAGGACTTCTTCAAGGAGAACTGCAAACCAATACTCAATGAAATAAAAGAGGATACAAACAAATGGAAGAACTTTCCATTTTCATGGGTAGGGAGAATCAATATCGTGAAAATGGCCATACTGCCCAAGGTAATTTATAGATTCAATGCCATCCCCATCAAGCTAACAATGACTTTCTTCACAGAATTGGAAAAACTACTTTAAAGTTCATATGGAACCAAAAAAAAGCCCGCATTGCCAAGTCAATCCTAAGCCAAAAGAACAAACCTGGAGGCATCAGGCTACCTGACTTCAAATTATACTACAAGGCTACAGTAAACAAAACAGCATCCTACTGGTACCAAAACAGATATATAGACCAATGGAACAGAGCAGAGTCCTCAGAAATAAGGCCGCTTATCTACAGCTATCTAACCTTTGACAAACCTGACAAAAACAAGAAATGGGGAAAGGATTCCCTATTTAATAAATGGCACTGGGAAAACTGGCTAGCCATATGTAGAAAGCTGAAATTGGATCCCTTCCTTACATCTTATACAAAAATTAATTCACGATGGATTAAAGACTTACATATTAGACCTAAAACCATAAAAACCCTAGGAGAAAACATAGGCAATACTATTCAGGCCATAGGCATGGGCAAGAACTTCATGTCCAAAACATCAAAAGCAATGGCAACAAAAGCCAAAACTGACAAATGGAATCTAATTAAACTAAAGAGCTTCTGCACAGTGAAAGAAACCACCATCAGAGTGAACAGGCAACCTAAAGAATGGGAGAAAATTTTTGCAATCTACTAATCTGACAAAGGGCTAATATCCAGAATCTACAATGAACTCAAACAAATTTACAAGAAAAAACAAACAACCCCATGAAAAAGTGGGTGAAGGATATGAATAGACACTTCTCAAAAGAAGACAGTTATGCACCAAAAAACACATGAAAAATGCTCATCATCACTGGCCATCAGAGAAATGCAAATCAAAACCACAATGAGATACCATCTCACACCAGTTAGAATGGCAATCATTAAAAAGTCAGGAAACAACAGGTGCTGGAGAGGATGTGGAGAAATAGGAACACTTTTACACTGTTGATGGGACTGTAAACTAGTTCAACCATTGTGGAAGTCAGTGTGGTGATTCCTCAGTGATCTAGAACTAGAAATACCATTTGACCCAGCCATCCCATTACTGGGTATATATCCAAAGAATTATAAATCATGCTCCTATAAAGACACATGCACACATGTGTTTATTGCGGCACTATTCACAATAGCAAAGACTTGGAACCAACCCAAATGTCCAACAATGATAGACTGGATTAAGAAAATGTGGCACATTTACACCATGGAATATTATGCAGCCATAAAAAATGATGAGTTCTTGTCCTTTATAAGGACGTGGATGAAGCTGGAAATTATCATTCTCAGCAAACTATCGCAAGGACAAAAAACCAAACCCCACATGTTCTTACTCATAGTTGGGAATTGAACAATGAGAACACATGGACACAGGAAGGGAACATCACACACTGGGGACTGTTGTGGGGTGGGGAGAGGGGGGAGGGATAGCATTAGGTGATATACCTAATGCTAAATGATGAGTTAATGGGTGCAGCACACCAACGAGGCACATGTATACATATGTAACAAACCTGCACGTTGTGCACATGTACCCTAAAATTTAAAGTACAATAATAATAAAATAAATAGATAAATAATAAATAAAAATAAAAAATTGAAAAAAGAAAACTATGAAGAAGGTGTGTAGCCTTTCATCGATGTAACCACCTTATTTAGGAACCAAAATGGGGAGACAGATTTGCATGTCCCAGTTTCTAGCTTGACTTTTTGGTTTGGCTTAATGAATATGGGGCCCCAAAATTAAATTTTCATTCACTTTTTTGTTTGTTTGTTTTTAAAAATCCTTTGGGTAAAAGCATTTTATAAAGAAATACGTGTTTCTGGCCTCAGGTTGATTTTTTCTCCCTTTTTATTTTCCTGCTGCTTTCTCATTGCAAGGAGGGTTTATTCCTGTAAGTTTAGGGCCTACATCCCTAGGAATGCTCATTCCTAGGAGGTCATATTTCACTATCCTATGAGGGTTCATTATTAGGAAGTCTTTCACAAGTCACTAGAAAGACTCATTCCAAGGAAGTCATGTTCTATGAAGATAAAAATGGGGGAAGAAAGTAGAGAAAAAGAGAAAATATTGTGTGTGTGTATATATATGTATGTGTATATTTATATACACATATATACACACATATACATGTATATGTATATGTGTGTATGTGTATATTTATAGGTATATATATATATATATGGACTTAGGCAAGATTTACAGCAATAAAAGGAAAGAAAAACTGGGAGCTAAATCAGGCTATATTACTATATGCTCAATTAGAGCAATTCTCTGGGCAATTATTACCTTAGCCTTTTCCTTACTTACAACATGTACCATAAAAATATTGTAAGAAAAACAGGGCAGAAGACAAATTGTTATCACTACTATGCCTACTATAAGCAATAATTTCTGCTACCAATTTCCACAGGATTCAAACCGACCATACAACCATTAGATTAGTGAGGGTTTTGGCTCTAACAGGGTGGACCTTCACCATTATAAAAACTGGCTGTTATGTGTATATTCCAGGTGAATTGAAGAACATAACCAGACTTATGACTGATGTTGAAATTCAGAAAACATGGTTTGCATGCTTTCAGTTGGGTTAAAGATTTTCCCTGCAGGCAAGCAATAGCCATGGCAGTTAAAAAAATTCATTTTTATTTCATAAGGAGACAGTTGATGTTTTCCAAAAGGGGTGGATTGGAATGTAAGCACCATTAGGGAGAGTGCTTTGAACCAGGGGAGGTGAAACACCTCCATGAACTTAGCCAATTATGTTTTGATTATTCCCTTTGTCCTCACCACTATGCCTGAGGATTGGGTATTGTAGGGACAATGGAAATGTTGAAATATGTCCAAATATTACAAATATTTTGACTAAGCTGGCCAGTAAAGTAAGTTCCCCATCACTGCGAAGTTCACAGGGGACTCCCCATGGTGGGATAATTTTTTCTTGTAGAATTTTTCTAACTGCCATGGCTACTGCTTGCCTGCAGGGAAAAGCTTTAACCCAGTGGAAAACATGCAAATAATTACTAAAACATACTTGTAACCTTAAGATAATAGCAGCTGGATAAAATCAAGCTGTGATACCTCAGAAAGTTTAGCCACAAAAGGAAATTGACCCTGGGACCCTGGAGGAGCTTTCCTGGGCTATATTTGCGATGAATAACACATCAAAATTAAATCTTTCATGTCACTGTAAAGAATGGTTTTCAGTGACATTGTTTACATCAGGATAGGATATCATTTTATTTGGATTCTAATGGGATAATGAACATATTCCATAAAGAGCACCTGACATCCCTGTGGAATGTTTATTATTAGGTACACATTATATTTCAATTTTGAAAGAAAAGTATCCCCTGCCTGTTTCCAAGTAGATTTCTCTTTTTTAGGAGTTATTCTCTGGGTTCCTTTCAACATGTTTATAAGTGTTTTAGGTTTTATGGCCATTTCCCAATTTGGAGCTGGTGGCTTGATTGCTGCTGTTTTAGCTGTAGCATCAGCCAATTGGTTACCCTGACTTTCTGTGTTGTCTGATTATAAGTGACCTGAAATTTTTATAATGCCACACATTTTGGCCTTAGAATACCTTCTAACAGGTCTGATACTTTTCCATTTTTTATGGTTTGCCCTGAAACGGGTAAATATTCTGTCTCTTTTTAAAGCATTCCAAAGCCATCAGCAACCTCAAAGGCACAGCAGCTGTCAGTGTAAATGTTTGCAGTCTTTTCTTATGCCAATTGACAAGCTCAGGTCAGGGCAATCAGTTCAGCCCCTATAGCTGATCTGGCTTAAAGAAAAGGATGGATTTCATTTACCTGTAGAAATGAAACCACAGCATATCCTGCTCTAAAATTTTCATCTTCTTTTCTTAAATAACACCCATCTGTATACCATTCTATCTCAACATTATTCGGTGGTGTCTTTTGTAGGTCTGCCTTGGGGGATGAGAACTCAGTCAGTTATCAGAGCAGAGTTATGGGGCTTTGTCTGATAGGTCCAGCAAGAGAGTGGCCAACTTAAGATTGTAACAGTGGAAAATAGTAATATTAGGAGATGATAGCCAAATTTTATAAGACACTAACCAGTTGATGAAAAGATGTTGACTATGATGAGATTAGAAGAGTCTCAAGAGAATGTGGCACAAAAATGTTAAGCAGGAAACCCATAATTATTTTTTCCACAGGCTTGTACAGAAGGGCTGTGGCTGCTATTACTGTCACACAAGGAGTCAATTCTCAATCGATAGGGTCCATCTGTTGACTATAATAGTGTACTGGTCTCTGAAGATCACCGTGTTTCTGGGTCAGTAACCTGGATGCAGTATCTCCAGTTTCTTGTATAAAAAGGGAGAAAGGTTATTTGTCATTTGGGTGCCCTGAGGCTGGGCCATAATTTGAGTTCTTTTCATTTATTGTACTGCTGATTATCCTTATAGGGTACACATGATGGAATGAAGCTGACCATTTTTAGATATGCATTCAAAAGTTTAACCATGAGGAAGAAATTTGACGTTCAGTTTCTGCAATAGCCTACCAGGCCCCCAAATTCTCTAAGTTGTTTCTTAGTGACAGTCATTAAGAAAGCTAAAATTCCTTTCACTCTGTCAGAGTTTACACTCAGTTCTTTGGCTGAGATAATACATCCCAAATATTTAACTTGCATTAAGCATAGCTGAAGTTTGTCTGTGATACTTTGGTTCTCTTGTTGGCTAACTGAACAAATATAAACTATCTTACTAAGAGAAAGATAATGAGTCTGAATAAAGGAGGAAGTAATCTATGTATTGAGTCCTGGGGAAAAATTCAATCCTTAATATTTGGGAAAAGTAAGTGGGACCTTCTGTATACCCTTGGGGCATTATCATTTATATATATAGCCATTGTTTCCAAATAAAGGAAAACAAAGACTGGATGGATAGATCTACAGGGATACAAAAAAAAAAAAAAAAAAGTCACTGAGGCGATCCACAACTGAGAAATAGTGAATCGCAGTTGTTATAAGTGATAGAAGGGTATGGGTTTGGGGACTATTGGGTGCCTGAGTATTATGGTATTGTTTATTGCCCTCAAGTCCTGCACAAATCTTCATCCTCTTCCACTTGATTTCTTTACTGTGAATATAGGACTGTTGCAGGGACTTGTGCAGTGAAAAATAAGCCCCCTTTTTCAGATTATCTTGTATGGTAGGGGCAGTTCCATCTATGGCTTCATGTTGTAGAGGATATTGTTTAAAGTTGGTAGGGATTTCTTTGGTTTTATCCCTGCCTTTTTTGGTGTGGCTAAGAATATTTTCCCTATATCAGTATTTGACTGACCATAAATGGGAGGGAATATCCTTGAGCAAGTCTTCCATTTCTGGTGTTAATGAGAAAATAGGAAAAGCTAAAAGGAGTTTCATAGTTTCTTGTTCTTGATTGTGATAATTTCCCTTCTCTCCTAATATTTCCTCCTCTATCTTCATTTTATTTTCATAGTCACAAGATGATGTTTTACCATTACTAGTACTAAATTGTGGCACATTGTAAGGACATTTTTTAATTTGGTATCTTTGGACCCCTGGCTCTAATTCTAAAAGAGCTTCACCTTTTGATGAAACAGAGATATGGGCATTATGAATGTTGAGGAGATCATGATCCAAAATATTGGCAGGGGCCACAGGACACATAACAAACATATGGGACTCACTGAGTGTCACACTTAGAGCCTGCAGTTGTGGAACTGGAACCTGATGAAATGATAAGTTATAAGTTTTGACTTAAGACATAAGATCATTTTATTAGACATATCCACCATGTTAATTTCTTTATTGCTCCATTCATCTTTATATATGTCTTCTGGATTTTTGGGTTCTGATTGTTATGGGTCTGTTGGGAACAGGACCCCCAGAATCTCACCACAAACTGGCCCCAAAACTGGCCATAAACAAAATTGCTGCAGCATTGTGACATGTTCATGATAGCCATGATGTCCACACTGAAGGTTGCAGGTTTACTGGAAAGAGGGCAAGGAATTCCTGGCCCACCCAGGGCAGAAAACTGCTTAAAGGCATTCTTAAACCACAAACAATAGCTGTAAGACCCCTGATTTCCCACTCCACACCTCTATATTTCTTTGTGTGTGTGTCTAATTCCTTTAGCTCCTTTGGGTTAGTGTCTCCCCAAGTAAACTGGTCTCAGCAAGCAGTGCCCATACATGGGGGCTCGAATCCAGGCTGAAGGGTCGCTGGAGCGATGGTTGGAGAATGTGGAGCTAAGCTGGAGGACACCAGAATACTCTTAAAGCAATCCCTGTAGTGAGTAAGAAGGGGAGATCGGAAGCATCAGGATGACAATAGGGACAAGTGTGAGCTCTGGTTCATTCCACCTTGGAACATTTTCACACTGATGATGAGGGGGGAAAGAGAGTATAACCAAGTAACAGAAGAGGTTACAGAGCAGTTTTGTTTGACAGCTAAAGCTAAAGTGGCAAAGGAGGGAGAGGTTCATCCCTACCCTTCTGCACCCCCTCATTTTTATTTTGAAGAAAAAGTCTTTTCTGACCCTCCAGATCTTTCTTTTCCAGAGGACACTGGGCGAAAAGTAGTTGCCCCAGTTTCTGTTCAAGCAGCGCCTCTAGCGACCACTCTCAGTTGTATTCAGGCAGGAATTCAGCAAGCTAGATGAGAGGGTGATATAGAGGCTTGGCAGTTCCCTGTTAGAATACACCCCCCAGATCAACAGGGAAATATTATAGCTACATATGAGCCTTTTCCCTTTAAATTACTCAAGGAATTCAAACAAGCTATTAATAAGTATGGAC
This sequence comes from Homo sapiens, assembly GCF_000001405.40. Lineage (NCBI taxonomy): Eukaryota > Metazoa > Chordata > Mammalia > Primates > Hominidae > Homo > Homo sapiens. Next base: position 19,294,184 of record NC_000024.10, read on the forward strand.
CAGGTTCTCCTTTTATAATGGGACTGTTAAAGAATGTTGCTATTTCCAGTCAGATGATTACTACTGACTGGGACACTCTTACTTGAGCTTGTCTAACTCCTGCTCAGTACTTAAAATTTAAAAATTGGTGGGCAGATGAAGCTTTCATTCAGGCTGCTGGCAACACCCAGGCCCAACCTCAAATTAATATAACTGCAGACCAACTTTTGGGGGTCAGTGGCTGGACTGGTTTAGATCTACAGTCATTATGGAGGATGATGCCATAGAACACCTTAGAGGAGTGTGCATTAGGGCTTGGGAACAAAAAATAACTTCAGGTGGAGAATAATAGCCTTCCTTTAGGGCTGTAAAACAGCTGTATAAGTGCTGTAAAAAAGGTGATTGCACATTCAGCTGCTCAGATATAGTGTTGTGGTTATTACCTTTTGACAATACTAATTTTGACAGCCAGGCTGCTCTGCGACTTATTAGAGGGAAAGCACATTTAATTGATTATATCAAGCCACGTAATGGTATTGGAGGTAATCTGCATAAGGCTACTCTGCTTGCCCAGGCAATGGCAGGACTGAGAGTGGATAAAGGAAATACTCCACTTCCTGGAGCTTGTTTTAACTGTAGGAAGCATGGCCATACTAAAAAAGAACATAGAAATAATCAGTGATTCAGGCCGCCAGATAGGTGAAAAAAGAAAACTGCTGAGCCTGAAATATGTCCAAAATGTAAAAAAGGAAATCATTGACCTAATCAGTGTCACTCTAAGTTTAATAAAGTTGGGAACCGATTTTGGGAAATGCCATCAGGGGCCCATCCCAGACCCCATTCCAAACCGGGGCATTTCCAGCTCTGGCCATTCCCTCACCTTTGTAAAATGTCTGTCTGATCCCACAGCTGATAGTGCTGCAGTAGATTTATGCTGCACAAAAGCTGTGAGCCTTCTACCTAGGGAACCCCTGCAAAAGTTCCCAACAGGAGTCTGTGGATCCTTGCCAATGGGGATGATAGGATTACTTCTAGGACGGTCTAGTTTAAATTTTAAATGGGGTACAAATACATACAGGAGTCATTGATTCAGATTATAATGAGATACTCAAAATGTTATACCTGCTTCTGTTCCCTGGAACGCTGAGCCAGGAAAGCATATAGCACAGCTCCTGATTGTGCCATATGTGGAAATGGAGAAAAGTGAATTAAACAAATGGGAGGATTTGGAAGCACAAATAAACAAAGCAAAGCAGCTTATTGGGTAAATCAAATTACTGATGAACATCCTACCCATGAAATAACTATTCAGGAAAGAAATTTAAATATTTGGTAGATACCAGAGTGGACATTAAAATCATTTCTCTACAGCACTGGCCGTCCACGTTCAACCTGCTCAATTTAACATAGTTGGAGTTGGTAACTCCCCTGAAGTATGTCAAAGTAGTTATATTTTGCATTATGAAGGGACCTGATGGACACCCTGGGACTATGCAACCAATTATAACTTCTGTACCTATAAATTTATGGGGGAGAGATTTATTACAACCATGGGGAGCACAAGTTCTAATTCCAGAACAATTATATAGCCCTCAAATTCAACATATGATGCCTGAAATGGAGTATGTCCCTGGCATGAGACTAGGAAAAAATTTGCAAGGTTTGAAATAACCTCTTCAAGCAGAAAGACAATTTTCCCACCAAGGTTTAGGATATGAGTTTTGATGGTGACTATTGTTAAAACTCCAGAACCTACGCCTTTAAAATGGTTAATAGATAAGCCAATTTGGATAGAACAAAGGCCGCTGAGTAAATAGAAAGGAGAGGCTTTGGAGGACTTAAAATTGACTTTTAATAGTCATAGATTTAAAAGACTGTTTCTTTACTATCCCCTTACCTAAGCAAGACTGTGAAAGGTTTGCATTTACAATTCCTGCAGTAAACAACGTGCAGCATGCTAAGAATTTTCATTTTTTTTGCAGATGGGTCTAGTAATGGTAAAACTTCTTATTCTGGCTCAAAAAGTAAAGTTTTCCAGATGCTCTATACTTCAGCTCAAAAAGCAGAGCTTGTAGCTGTAATTGAGGTATTGAGTGTTTTTGATATGCCTATTAATTGATTTCTGATTCTTCATATGTGGTTCATTCCACACAGCTAATTTAAAATGCTCAGTTACAATTTCATACAGATAAACAACTGATGACAGAAACAAAAATGGGGGAGAAATAGGGACTATGGGATAGCCCATACACAACTGAAACTAACATTATTAACTTTAAATGAGCCTGCCCAAAGGCCAGATGTTATCAGCAGCTGAACAGCATCTACAGAAACCAGCTGCAAAGACAGAATCAGAACAACTGGTTCAATGGAGATATCCAATAACAAAAAGTTGGGAAATAGGTACAATAATAACTTGGGGTAGAGGTTATGCTTGTGTTTCTCCAGGCCAACATCAACAGCTGATCTGGATACCATCAAGACACCTGAAACCTTATCATGACCCAGATACCAAGGAAGAGATTCCAGGAGGATCCTGAGACCCTGTGGTTGCAGCCATGTTGAGGGTGATGCTGAGGAGAACCCCAACTCTCATGAGCAATACCTATCAAACACAGCCACCCACCTGGGGACAGATCAAGAAGCTGTCACAGATGGTGGAAGAAAACCTGAGGAAAGTGGGATAACCAGTCACAAAGAGTAATTTAATGGTAGCTATGATCATGATGATCACCATTGCTGTGAGTATTCCTTCAACAAGAGCTGACACAGAGAACAATTATTAGGCATATTTATTAATCTTGGCTGGTAATAATGCCTGGATGTAATCACTCTATGACACAGTTACATATGCTTTCTGATCTCAGTATTTACCATAATAAATAAATAATAAATACCTAAAAAACCTATTTGTAAACAAAATTGAACCCAGTTAGAAATAATTAACATGCTTGTTTATGATGATTGCATTGCAGAACAAGCAGAGGTGCTGCACAATGATTCCTATGGAATCATTATTGTTTGGTCCCCTAAGGGGATATTTAGCTTGAATTGCTACTCTCAGTCTGTGTGCCATGGCCACACTATGTTTATCTGGTCTGAACAAAAGAGTCAGATGGTAGAAATGATAAGAAATATGGCATGAGTTCCTATTATCTGGAAACATGGCAGTATAGAGTCACCTCAACCTCAAATGATATGGACCATTGTAGGAGCTAAACACAAGAATTTGTGGAAAGTATTAATAGCTCTTAAAAAGACCAAAATTTAGGAAAGAATAAAAAAGCATCTAGAAGGAGACTCTACAAACTTGTCTTTGGATATTGCAAAATTAAAAGAACAAATATTTAAAACATCCCAGGCACACCTGACCTTAATGCCAGGAACTGAAGTGCTTGAAGGAGCTGCAGACAGATTAGCAGCTGGTAACCCATTAAAATGGATCAAAACACTTGGAAGCACTGGACTTCAATGATGATTATGCTTTTAATCTGTGTTGTTTGTCTTTGTATACTCTGCACATGCAGATCCTGAATCCTGCAAGAAGTAGCTCACCGTGACAAAACTGCCTTTGCTTTCATTGCTTTGCAAATCAAAGAAGGGGGACATGTTGGGAATAGGCCCTGCAAAGTCTGGCCAAAAACTGGTCCCAAAACTGTCCATAACAAAATATCTGCAGTTTTTGATGGCCATGATGCCCACACTGAAGTTTGTGTGTTTACTGGAATGACGGCAAGGAACACCTGGCACACCCAGGCAGAAAACCACTTAAAGGCATTCTTAAACCACAAACAATAGCTTGAGCTATCTGTGCCTTAAGAACATGCTGCTGCAGATAACTAGCCAGACCCATCCCTCTATTTTTGCCCATCCATTTACTTCCCATAAGGAATATTTTAGTTAATCTATAACCTGCAGAAACAATGCTTATCACTGGCTTGCTGTCAATAAATATGTGGCTAAAATATGCGGCTAAATATCTGTTTGGGGCTCTCAGCTCTGAAGGCTGTGAGACCTCTGATTTCCCACTCCACACCTCTATATTTCTGTGTGTATGTGTGTCTAGTTCCTCTAGCACCACTGGGTTAGGGTCTCCCCAACCGAGCTTGTCTTGTCAGGGCTCCATTGGGTTTTTATGGCTCAAATATGCTGTAAGGCCTGACTATTGTGCTTTTTTAAGCAATTATTTACCTTTAGCTTCTGAGACTAACATGAGCCATTGACCAGAATTGGTAGACAATTGCCAGTGTTTCCCCACTTGTTGCCAGTTTTTCCTGTAGGTCTTCCGCCTTTTCTATATCTTCCAGATGAGACACCTCCCATGGTGCTGACACAGAATCCTCAGTCATAGGATCCTTGAAGTGATTCCCACCTGCTTTATATTGAGAGAGTGTTAAACATGCAGGAAAAGGGGAGCACAGGTCTGATCTGGGAAGTTCAGAGAGGTCAGGCCACAGTGGAGTTATAGGTGTGGGTGGTGGGGGTGCCAAGGAAGAAGTAAGGGATTCTGAAGATTTCTTTGAGATAAAAGATTAGAGAGCTTTTGATTAACATTTCTAAGTTGCTTTTTCACCTCTTGTAGGGAGATCACATGGTCTTCACCCCTTTTGCTACTCTCCAGGTACCACTGAAAATAACCTTTCCATTCTGGTTGCTTAGTTTCTGTGCCTGCATTTTCCATACTGGTTCAAAGGTACACTAATTTGAGAACCTCAAAATATCCCCATTTAGGCCATTGTAACTTAGAATCTGCTTTTGTTATTGTTGTCCACATAACTAAGTATTTCCATGATGATTCACTGTAAGTATTTTGCATATACCCTTTAGGAGTTTCTAAAAGGGGAATGTTATGTTCTGCATCTGCTGGGATCTTAGAGGCCTTTTTCCCCATAATTTAGGGTTTCTCTTTGGATTTTACCAAGTTGCGTCTTCTGTTGGACCAAAAATGTGTTGGTTGAAGACCTAGGTTTTCAAGGCTCTCCAAACCCCTGTACTGGTTTGGTTCACCCATGTTGCAGCTACCTGGCACAAATATGTCAGGGGATCAAAGTATGAGAGAGATTGGTTTCTTATATGCACGTGCCAGCTGAGATTAGTCCTTGAGTATGTTCTTCTGAGAAAGAAAAGCTATTTAGAACCACTGCATGTCTTAGGGCGCATTTCTCCCAAATGCCCTCACATGATTTTCAGTCACCTGAGAGTTCCCCAAATGGCTAAGGAAAGCAAGGTGTTTTATTTCTCTGGATTGGAAGAGTCCATACTTCTGAGCTGAGCTCAAGTGTTCAGAGTTGGTGAAATCTCATAGGAAACGACTGAAACATACATACACACACACACACACACAACAGAGACAAACAAAAACAATTAGGCAAAACTAACAATGATCACACAAAATATATGATTTCTGACCACTAAGTGTAAGCAGGAAACTAACACCAGCTGGTTGTTAATGCTAATTTTAGTCATTTGAAAGAATCAGCAAGACAGAAGCCCAAACCAGTTTCTTACCTAGTGATGGGACCCAAGTTGGAAACCACTCTCCACAAATGCAGAAGCAGACCAGCTTGACTTCCTTGATGAAAGTAAGTGGAAAAACTCCCACAGAAAAGAAATGTTTTAACAGCAAATAAACTGACCCCCAGCTGAAAAACTTTGGAAGATTCGGGATCCCTGGAGATAAGAGGTCCAGGAATTTAGCAAATTGTCCTGTCAGTTTAGGATAAAAGGTATCCCAGCCAATACCTAGCACTGAGAGGTGAAGTGCCACAGGCTGCAGGCCACAGGCCAGGTAACTTTCACTCAGGATCCCTCTATGGTTAGCAGATATCAGTAAAGAAAAATGACAAGAAAAAAAATCTCAATTATTTTAGGAGGTTTATTCGCTGGAGTTAAGGATGTGCCCAGGAGACAAGTTCTTGCCTTTTTCCAAAGATAACTTTGAGAACTCCCAATTTAAAGAAAAAGATCCTAAGAAGCACACCGTTTTCATATAACCACAAGAGAGTATAAGAAAAATTTGGGGAATCTGAATTATAAGTCAGATAACACAAACAAAATGGGGTAGGGGAACAATCAGACATGAATTTGTTTCTGGTGGGCTGGGGTGACTGTACCTGTCAAGATAAGCTATAATTTTGAATTGCCATGGTGAAATTTTAAGAGCTCACTAGGAATTTCCTCGTGGGAAAAATAAGGGGTAGGAATGTAGCCTTTCACCTATTTAGGGACCAAAAGGAAGGGGCAGGTTTGTGTGGCCTAGTTACCAGCTTGACTTTTCCCTTTGGCTAATGAGTTTGGGGTCCCAAGTGTGTGTGTGTGTGTGTGTGTGTGTGTGTGTATGTGTGTATATATATATGTGTGTATATATATAGGAACACATATATATACACTCACACATAAACACACATATATATACACATATATATGTATACAGATATACACATATATACATACATATATGTATGTTTATATACTTTATATATAATTTTATTTATTTATTTATTTTGAGATGGAGTCTTGCTCTGTCACCTGGGTTAAAGTGCAGTCATACAATCTCAGCTCACTGCAACCTCCACCTCCTGGGTTCAAGCAATTTTCCAGGCTCCCAAGTAGCTGGGATTACAGGTGTACACCACAGCGTTCAGCTAAGTTTTGTATTTTTAGTGAAGACAGGGTTTCACCATGTTGCCCAGGCTGATCTTGAACTCCTGACCTCAGGTGATCCACTTACTTGGCCTCCCAAAGTGCTGGGATTACAGACATGAGCCACCATGCCCAGCCATTCCAAAACTGAATTTCCTTTCACAGTGTAAACAGACTGTAGCCCACTCTTGTGCCAATCAATGAATTTAGTCCAAAAAATAAGTGGTTCTACTGATAAAACTGTGTTTAAATAAAATCACTCTTGAGATGTAAGTGATCTGGATGTATCTGCATCTCATTTCTGTTTTCTGTATGTCATTTTGCTTTATTTCTCCATATATCTTATGTTACTCCACATTAGAAAACTACTACCAAATTTGTGAGTCATTTTTTCCCAATTATGCTTTGTTAAATTTCAGTTTTTAATCATTTTGAACACTTTTTGCATTTCTTTATTGATAAAAAATAATGTTGAGCTTTGATTTCCTAAACTCGTCCCTCAGTCATTTCCTTAAATTGTTGTTTTTCCAAGATGTTTCTGCAATTTGTTAAAGAAATTATTACCATCAGTAAACAATACTATATAGGCAAATATTAAAAAGGAGTCTGGCTTTTATTTCAGAAGTGTAAGTGACCGGGACTTCAAAAATTTAGAAAAGCTACCTAAGTAGTATGCTCTATGGAGGTTTATTATCTTTGAAGTCAGGCAGAGTTAAGCCTGAGTTCTAGTTCAGCCACTTATTAGCTGTGGGTCATAGAGCAAGTTTCTTGACTTGGAAAAGTTTTATAAATCTCACCCCCCCACAAAAAAAAACAAAAAAACAAACAAACAAAAAAACAAACAAACAAACAAAAAACAGCAGAATAATACTGATTACAGAAAAGGCAGGGTTTTTTTTTATTTTTTCTGTACCCATGCCTATTGAAAAGTACTCATACAGTTCTTTCCATTGAGAAGCTGTATCTGTTTTCCAAACCTTGTACCTGGCTATCCTTATTTGCTTAGAGCTATAGGAACACGTGAACAGTGGTGTTTGGTGGCTCACACCTGTGATCCTACATGTTGGCTGGCTGAGATGAGAGAATTACTTGAGCTATAAGTTAAAAACCAGCCTAGAGAACATGGAAAGACCCTCTGTACATAAAAATATTATTGTAAGAAATCATTAGCTAGGCATGGTGGCAAAAATCTGTAGTGCCAGTTCCTTAGGATACCAAAGTGAGAGAATTGCTTAAACTTTGGAAGTTAAGGCTGTCATTAGCCATGATCATGTGACTTCACTGAAGCCTGTATGGTTGAGCAAGACCCATTTTTAAAAAAGAAACAAATAAAGGAAGGAAGAAAAATGAAAGGAATGAAGAAAGGAAGAAAGGGAGAAATGAATGAATAAGAACGAAATAGAAAGAAAAAAGAAAGAAAGACAAGAAGGAGAGAAAGAAAGAAAAAAGAAAACAAGATAGAAAGAGAAAGAAGGACAAGAAAGGACAAGAAAGAAGGAAAGAAAGAAAGAAAGAAAGAAAGAAAGAAAGAAAGAAAGAAAGAAAAGAACAAAGAGAAAGAGGAGTATAAAAATGGCCAGATGCAGTGGCTCACACCTGTAATCCCAACACTTTAAGAGGCTGAGATGGAAGATCACAAATCCAGAAGTTTGAGACCAGCCTGACCAACATGGTGAAACTCATTTACACTAAAAATACAAAAAAATTAGCCTACCATGGTGGCACATGCCTGTAATCCCAGCTACTCAGGAGGCTGAGCCAAGAGAATCACTAGAGGCACAGGTTGCAGTGAGCCAAGATTGTGCCACTGTAATCCAGGCTGCATGACAGAGAAAGACTCTGTCTCAAAAAAAAAAAAAAAAAAAGAAAAGAAAAAAAGATAAAGACAAAAAAGAAAGAGAGAGAAAGAAAGGAAAGAAAGAATGAAAAGAAACAAATCTGTGAACATGAGTGTATGCTAATGCTAGTTTGGGGACTGAATTCAAAAGTTCTTGAATCCTTCTTCACCTTGCTTCTTTTCCTTCTTCTTGTTCTTCTTGTTCTTGTTCTTCTTGTTCTTGTTCTTGTTCTTCTTCTTCTTGTTCTTCTTCTTCTTCTTCTTCTTCTTCTTCTTCTTCTTCTTCTTCTTCTTTCTTCTTCTTTTCTTCTCCTTCTCATTCTTCTTCTTCTTCTTCTCCTTCTTTTCTTCTTGTTTTTTTCTTCTTGTTCTTCTTCTTGTTGTTCTTGTTCTTCTTCTTCTTGTTGTTCTTGTTCTTCTTCTTGTTCTTCTTCTTCTTGTTCTTCTTGTTCTTCTTCTTCTTCTTCCTCCTCCTCCTCTTCCTCCTCTTCTTCTTCCTCCTCCTCCATCTTCTTCTTTTCTTTCTCCCTCTTCTTTTCAGAATACTGCCATTGTTCTGAGAGAAAACTCATTTTACCAGCTGGGGCATGAGATATAATGTGGAAATCCTGCAAGGCACCCATGTTAATAGCCAGGTCACTCTCAGGATTACAGCTGTCTAGTTAATCAGCAGCTGATTATGCATGCCTGAAGGTATTCAGCTCAGACCAAAATGATCCAGCTGAGTCCACCCTATATGTCTGACTAGCTCAACAATGAGCTAATGTAATAAATTTGGGTTGTTCTTTTGTTCTTTTATGGAACAGTAGCTAACTAAAATGTGCACTCAATGCAGATAGAATGCCAGGATTCAGTAATAAGTTAATTGCTGGTTACCTGCAAACAATGGCTGTCTTATAGAAGTTGATTTCCTTTTCCCATTATTTAAAGTTGAATGTCTTATAAGATAATATTGAGTAATACAGAAATGTATGTAGACATGTATACAGATAATTGATGCTTACATTCTTATAATCCCCCATACAACAGCAGGAAACTGACAACCACAGCCTGACAACTAGGGCCAAGGCCACATAGCAAAATAGAATTGTTTCTAGTCTATTTTACTCCATATCTAAGCATTGGAGATCAAAGCTGTTAAGAAATATGAAGATACAGCGTTCCTTTATTTTATGGCCTCATCATTGTTTGTTTACTCTCAGATCTCTGAAAGGAATGTGGACCGCAGGTGGGCAGCAATGTTCTAGCCGTAGATATTTTATTCTTGCAGCCATCTTTTGTCTGTAAGGGTGCTTCCTCTTCCACCATTTTACTTGAGGTAAGATGCTCCTTGAGAGAGGATGTCTCATCACCTCTAGCAGAAATGGAATGTTCAGGCCATTCACCTCTTTGATGTCAGAACTATACTGCAATGTCCTGGCTACTGGCTATGTGTGACTACTGAGTCCTGTTGCTCATCCAACCCAAGGTGTGCTAAAAAAGGGAAAAGACCGAGTTTCAAAACATCAGTAATACACACATACAGAGACACATTTTGTTAAGAATTAAAAGTTAATTACATATTTGAAGAATAGTATTTAGGATATATTCAGTTAAATACATTGTTACAATCAATTTCACCTTTTTTAAAGAAAACTTTAAAAAACTGTGGCTACTAGAAAATTTAAAAGTCATACATTACTCACATTTTACATCAGAGAATTGCCTGTTTTTTGAAATAGCAGGCAGCCCACTCAAAAGACCAGAAGCCAGAAATGTCATAAAATCTGAAATTTAAAATAATTGCCATTATTTATAATTTTCAATGTGTGAATAACATAATATTTATAAATTGATAGGACCTTATAGCCAAGGTCAAATGCAAATATTCTGTGAGCTATGCTCCTGTCAGTGCAACGAGTAAGCCCTATGTAAAAAGACTGTAGCCTAGGCTGTCATTCTTGCCTCATTGAGCCCAGTACCTGATAACAATGACAGAAGTGTCATTCAAGGTCTGAGGGAATGGAGGCTGAAGCCTTATCTAATCAGGACTGAGACCTGGATTATAAGGTTATGGTTCTAGGAAATCTGGCAGGGATATCCACACACCTGAATACAGGGCTCTGTGGGTGGGCTGCCAGGACACACTGGTTGTCAAGAAAGGGCCATGGAGACAGTTACAATCACAGGCAGCATTCAAAGCTGGATTCTTCCAATACATAATTGCTCCTAACAAAATGACATGTCCACCAGCCACCGACACATGCCCTCTGAAATTTCTTTGCCTAGGAACCTCACATTTGTTTACCCTGAATGTTTCACTGTCTGCCTCCAGAGATAAACTTAAATGAGTAACACAATAGACTTCAGACAAAAAGCAAACAACAAAAGTATTATAACAATTTCAGGAAAATAAAAAGGAGATTTTTTCCAAGACTTGTCTTACTTTTTAAAGAGCAATAGAAGAGAATGCTATTAGCTGCTACTGTTTGTTTTCCTCCTAAGACTCTGAGGCAACTACTGTTTGTTTTCCTCCTAAGACTCTGAGGCAACAAAAAACAAAATGAAACAAGCAAAAATCCATTAAGGGTAGAGCTTTCACATACAGATTTAGTTGACAGGCAGAAAATTGAGACATTAAATAGATTATTGAGTGATCTTTAATGCTTACTCAGGCAGCTGTTAATATCAAACCTCAAAGTATTATTTTGCTCTTTTTTTCATTTTTCTATTCAAAATATCGAGTTTAAAATACATAAAGTACAGAGGGAAAAATATCAGGTTTTCCAGAAATATCTTCATTTAGAAATATGACTTATGAAGGGTTGGTGGGATGGTCACTAGGATCCAAAAATATTGAGTTTCATTTCTCAGCCCAACTTTCCATATTTAGAAGTACGTACCAACATTTATGAACAAAGTCAACATCCACCAGAAATAATATTAAATAAAGCTTACAGTTTTGGAACATGACAATAATACACACAGACCTCACTCACCAATTCTTAATCGGCAGAAACAAACACTTGCATTTAAACTCTTCTAAAATGTCAAATTAGCATGTCTTCTTCTTAATGTAAGGTTTAAATAAGCTTGATTCAATCTGCTTTTATTAAAATACCTATGGAAACCTGTATTTAATTGCTGAGAAAAGTTAATTGTGTGCTGTATTCAAAGATAAAATATTTTTACTGTATAGCCAAATACAGTTGTATGTTTTCTTTTAAAAATTAATTTAAGATGGATTAAAGACCTAAATATTAGACCTAGAACCATAAAAACCCTAGAAGAAAACCTAGGCAATACCATTCATGACATAGGCATGGGCGAAGACTTCACGTCTAAAACACCAAAAGCAATGGCAACAAAAGCGAAAATTAACAAATGGGATCTAATTAAACTAAAGAGCTTCTGCACAGCAAAATAAACTACCATCAGAGTGAAGAGGCAACCTACAGAATGGGAGAAAAATTTTTCAATCTACTCATCTGACAAAGGGCTAATATCCAGAATCTACAAATAACTCAAACAAATTCACAAGAAAAAAACAACCCCATGAAAAAGTGGGCAAAGGATATGAACAGACACTTCTCAAAAGAAGACATTTATGCAGCCAACAGACACATGGAAAAATACTCATCATCACTGGACATCAGAGAAATGCAATTAAAAAAGCTTGGCATTAGAGTAGTTAATACATCACAGTTACACTGTTATAATATTCTGTGTTTTTCTGTTTACTTACAATTATCACTGAACTTTGTACCATCAGGTGATTATTTTTTGCTAATTAATTTTTTTTCTAGTTAAAGTACTCCCTTTAGCATTTCTTGTAGGACAGATCTGGTATTGATAAAGTTCCTCAGCTTTTGCTTCCATGAAAAGTCTTTGTCTCTCTTTTATATTTAAATAATATTTTCATCAGATTATTTTATTCTAAAAGTTATTTTCTTTCTCCAAAACTATAAATATGTCATGTCACTTTTTCCTGACCTGTAAAGTTTCTACTAAAAATTCTGCTGCCAAATGTATTGGGTCTTCATTTTACACTCTTTGTTTCTTTGCTCTTGCTACTTTTAGAATTCTTTATTTATCCCATCCTTTTTTTTTTCTTCAACACTTTAAATATATCATGTCACTCTTTCCTGGCCTGAAAGGTTTTCAGTAAAAAGTCTGCTGTGAAATATACAGGGTCTTCATTGCATGCTGTTTGTTCCCTTGTTCTTGTTACTTTTAGAATTTTTTTTTTTTTTTTTTTTTTTTTAATTCTAGCCCTCAATGCCTCAAGATAGCCTTCTTTGGGTTGAAACTGCTTTGTGTTCCACAACTTTCTTATACTTGGGTGTTGATACCTTTCTCTAGGCCTTGGATGTTCTCTGTTATCACTTGGAATAACTCATAACCCCTTTTTCTATATCTTCCTTAATGCCAGTATCTCTTAGAATAGCCTTTTTGAGGTTATTTTTAAAATATATTTTTGGCATGCTTTATTTTTTATTTTATTGACTTATCTGTGTATTTTGAATTAGCCTGTTTTCAAGCTCACTTCCTTTTCCTTCTGTTTGATCAATTAATCTGTAAAAAAACTCGATGCATTTTTAAGATATCAATTGCATTTTTTAGCTTCAGAATTTTGACTTGATTTTTAAAAACATTTTAATGTCTGTTAAATTTATCTGATGAAATTTTGATATTCCTCTCTGTGTTATCATAAATTTCTTTGAGTTTCCTTAACACTTTTTTTTTTTTTAATTTTCTGTCTGAAAAGCCACATGTCTTTGTTTCTCCAGGATTGGTTTCTAGTAGTTTAGTTGGTTAATTTGTTTAGAACATGTTTTCCTAGGTGGTATGGATTCTAGTAGACGTTCTTCAGCTTCTGGATATTGATGAACTAAGTATCTTGTGTAGTCTTTACTCTCTAGATTTACTCATAGCCATTATCCTGTGGACACATCAGATATTTGAAAGACTTTGGGTGTTACTATCCAAACTGAATCTGCTTTATGGGACACCCCAATCTCAGTAACAGTGTTGTTCTTGTAGCCTTATAGAGATACTTTTCTGATGGTCTTCAAAAAGATCTGAAATAATTCTCTGGACTGAAGAGACTCTTATTTCTCTCTTACTTTCTCCCAAATGTAAGAATCTTCCTCTCTGTTATGAGCCACCTATAGCTGGGGGTTGAGTCACACAGTAACCCCTGTGGCCACCATAACTATGACTACACTGTTTCAGACCTTCAATCATCACAATGCTGGATCTCAGCCATGGTCTGCTATAATCTCTTTCTGTCTATTGCCTATATTCACTCAAGGGCTCAGGGCTTTATTAGCATCAGGTGTCAAAGAATCCAGGCCCATTCATTTAGGGTAGCAAGATTTCCCAAGCCCCAGATGGGTTCAGAAGTGCCATCAGCAATTAGGGACTAGTGTCATAAAACGTAGATGTCTACTTTGTTTTTTATTGTATTGTGGCTGAGCCAGCATGCAAACCACATAATGCAGTCTTTCCCTCTCTTTCCTCTTCTTTACAAAGGGAGAGAAACCTCACCCTGTAGTCAGCACCAAACCAGACCAAGACGTGTACTGCCTGACTACTGCTGATGTTATATGAAGGCCCAAGGTTCCTTAAGGCAGTTTGTTACAAATACTACCTGGTCTGGAACTCACCTTTCAGGGAAGCTGGGTTCTGTCTAGCTCAACGCAGGTTCAGCAATATCATTGTTAAGTAAAATCCTGTAACTGGGGACCTTGATTTTCTTCTTGGTGCTCTACACTACTGTGGCTCTGCTGCTACTTAAGTTTCAAGTCAAAGTTTCCCTTACTTTTTTCCTCTGCTTTTCTAAAGCAGGAGTTTTAGCCACATAGACACAACAGCTGGTTACTTGAAGAGGATCACAGAAAGACAAAAATTCTGTTTTATCCAGCTTCTCGATCTTGTAACAGGGCATTGCTGCTGCTTATTCAGAGCCCATGGGGTTGTGGTCCTGTAAATTTCAGGTGGTATAGGTGATTCATGACATTCTTTAAAATCTCTGTATGGCCTTTTTTTCAGTGATATGAAATTACACTAGGCACTTTTGGCGCTCATTTATTTTTGTTTCTTATGAATGGGCAGATAGTTGTCAACCTTGTGTTTTTGCAGTGGAGGGATTATCAATGGACCATTCTATTCTGCCAGCTTAATCTGCCCTTCCCATTTAATTTCTTTTGAGTGTGTAGCAGCCAATGTGATTGCTGAGTTTATTGATAGTTTTGTTTTCAGTTACTTGAGAAATCTTTAGACTACTTTCTTAGTAGCTGCCTTAATTTCCACTTCCACCATCAGTGCCTGTTTTATTATTACTGTCAGAATATTTGTTATCTTCTAATATTTTTCTGATTTTTCGATAGTAGCCATTCTAATTCGTGTGAGGTGGTATCTAATTTTGGTTTTTATATTTCTTATAGACACCACAAAAACCAGATATTCAGGTAGCCAGAGTGGATCCTTCCCTCCAAGTGCCTCCAAGTGAGCACACTACCTCCCCAGAAATGGTAAACTGGTTTAAATTTTCTGAAATGGCACATGTATAATTAACTATCTGAGTGTCAAATAAGCTACTTGAGATTAAGAAAAATTTTAACATTTAATCCAAGAATTTCAAGTCATATGATAAAATAATTCTTAGGCAGAAAGATAAAGATTCCATTTTAAGAAAGATCCAAATTGAGCTCATTGAGACAAAAATGTACAAGCATCACATAATACAATCAGAGTTAATAACAAGATAAAAGACTAAGCTAAGCAAATAATTTCAGAGCAGGTAATTCAAATCAGTAAAATTTGACAAAAATTAAAATGGAAACACATCAGGAAATGAAAACTTCTTATTAATGAGGGATTATGTACAACAATGAAATCCATGACTTACAAACATAGTTGTTCTCAACATAACAATTATGCATTATCTATCAATGACATTAAGTAAAGACTATGTAAAAAAATTTCAAAATCTCCCAGAGCTACTTCTCAATTCTATAGTGAAATAAATTCTTTCTTTATACTCTGATAGATACCACTGTGAGTTTAATAAAGGGTTATCAACAAATAAAAAACCAACAAAGATGTATCATGAAAAAAATACGATGAACAGATATGCTTTCTTTCAGCTACCTGACAGTTTCTGTAAGCAAATATTTGGTAGGTGCCTCACTTCAAAATTATGTTGCCTTAAAAATGTAAGAAGATTTCTTTGTTGTTGTAGCTGGAGACAATTAGGTAACACAAATTGTCACCCTACATAACAGGGAAAATACACCTAAACTTTGTGGGAGATGCGTTCTTGTAAATTCCTCTTAATTTAAAACTTATTGTAGTTTATCTGAAAAATATGTATATTCAAATAATTTCCTATAATTAACTACTGGTAAAATGAATTAATTTTTTTCTTTTTAATCTTAATAATGTGTTGCCAGAGTTGTGTATTCTAATTTGTAACTTATTTAATGATAAAATTATTTTCCTGATACACTATTATTTGAGAGACATTTTTGAATCAGTGGGAGGTTATAACAAAAATTTATCTTACCAATGGTAGCCTAACTTCAGAAATAACTGCTTTCTGCATACAAGTTTTAGTCTGTTCTCACACTGCTTACAAAGACATACCTGAGATTGGGTAATTTATAAAAAAAAAAAAAATTTAATGGACTCACAGTTTTACTTGGTCAGAGAGAACTCACAATTATGGCAGAAGGTGAAAGGCATGTATTACTTGGTGGTGGGCAAGAGAGAATAAGTGCCAAGCAAAAAGAAAAATCCATTATAAAACCATCAGATGTCATGAGACTTATTCACTACCATGAAAACTGTATGGGGAAATCGCCCTCATGATTCAGTTGTCTCCCACCAGGAACCTCCCATAACGCATGGGAATTGTGGGAGCTAAAGCTGAAGCTGAGATTTGGGTGGAGACAAAGCCAAAGCATATTGTTTCAGCCCCGGCTCCTCCCAAATCTCATGTCTTCACTTACAAAACAAATCATGTCTTAACTTATTTCAGGATTAACTCAAAAGTCCACAGTCGACAAATTTTCATATGAGACAAGGACAGTCTCTTCCACTATGCACCTGTAAAATCAAAAGCAAGACAGCTACTTCCTAGACAAACTGGTGGTACAAAAAGTAGATAAATACAACTATTTCAAATGAAAGAAATTGGGAAAAACAAAGGAACTACTGTATACATACAAGTTCAAAATCCAGCAAGGCAGTGAAATCTTATAGTTTCAATATGATTTCCTTTGAGTCCATGTCTCAATTTCAAGGCATTCCAATGCAAGAGGCCAATTTCCATGGTTTGGGGCAACTCTGCCCTCATGGCTTTGCAGGATACAGCCTCCAGCCCAGCTGCTTTCATAGGCTGCCATTAAGTATCTGTGGATTATCTTGGCACATGGTGCAAAATGTTGGTGGGTTTACCATTCCGGAGTAGGGAGAATGGTGACCCTTTTTCCACAGCTCCATTAGGCTGTGTCCCAGTGGGGACTGTGTGTGCTGAGGGCTTCAAGTCCACATTTCCTGTGTGTACTGTCCTAGCAGAGGCTGTCAGTGAGGGCTTTTCCCTGCATCAAACGTCTTCCTGGGCATCCAAGCATTTCTATTTATCGTTTAAAATCTAGGCAGAGTATCCCAAACCTCAATTATTGACTCCTCTGCCCAATACCACATGGAAGATGCCAAGGCTTGGAGGTTGAACCCTCTAAAGCAAGAGTCTGGGCTACATCATAGCCCCTTTTATTGATGGATAGAGTGGCTGAGATGCAGGGAACTGTGTACCTAGGCTACACAGAGCAAGGAAGTACTGCATCTTGCCCACAACCTTATTTCTTCCTCCTAGGCCTCAAGGCCTGTGATGCAAGTAGCTGGCATAAAGACTTCTGCTACGCCATGACCTGGAGACATTTTTTTGAATTGTCTTGGTGATTAATATTTGGATCTTCATTACTTATGCAAATTTCTGCAGCTGGCTTAAACTCCTTCTCAGAAATTTTTTTTCTTTTTTTTATAGTCAAAAATTTTAATGAAGGAATTGGAGCAATTCAGTGGAGAAAGACAAATCTTTTTATTTTATTTTATTATTATACTTTAAGTATCAAGGTACATGTGCACAACATGCAGGTTTTATTCATATGTATACATGTGCCATGTTGGTGTGCTTCACCCATTAACTCATCATTTAGCATTAGGTATATCTCCTAATGCCATCCCTCCCCCCTCCTCCCACTCCACAACAGTTCCTGGTGTGTGATGTTGCCCTTCCTGTGCCCATGTGCTCTCATTGTTCAATTCCCAACTAGGAGTGAGAATATGTGGTGTTTGGGTTTTTGTCCTTGTGATAATTTGCTGAGAATGGTGGTTTCCAGCTTCATCCATGTCCCCACAAAGGACATGAACTCATCATTTTTTATAGCTGCATAGTGTTCCATGGTGTATATGTGCCATATTTTCTTAATCCAGTCTATCATTGGTGGACATTTGGGATGGTTTCAAGTCTTTGTTATTGTGAATAGTGCCGCTATGAACATACATGTGCATGTGTCTTTATAGCAGCATGTTTTATAATCCTTTGAGTATATACCCAGTAATGGGATGGTTGGGTCAAATGGTATTTCTAATTCTAGA
This sequence comes from Homo sapiens, assembly GCF_000001405.40. NCBI lineage: Eukaryota > Metazoa > Chordata > Mammalia > Primates > Hominidae > Homo > Homo sapiens. The sequence continues at coordinate 19,312,287 of NC_000024.10, forward strand.
TCCCTGAGGAATCATTACCACACTGACTTCCACAATGGTTGAACTAGTTTATAGTCCCAACAACAGTGTAAAAGTATTCCTATTTCTCCACATCCTCTCCAGCACCTGTTGTTTCCTGACTTTTTAATGATCACCATTCTAACTGGTGTGAGAGGATATCTCATTGTGGTTTTGATTTGCATTTCTCTGATGGTCAGTGATGATGAGCATTTTTTTCATGTGTTTTTTTGCTGCATAAATGTCTTCTTTTGAGAAGTGTCTGTTCATATCCTTTGCCCACTTTTTCATGGGGTTGTTTGTTTTTTTCCTGTAAATTTGTTTGAGTTCATTGTAGATTCTGGATATTAGCCCTTTGTCTGATGAGCAGATTGCAAAAATTTTCTCCCATTCTTTAGGTTGCCTGTTCACTCTGATGGTGGTTTATTTTGCTGTGCAGAAGCTCATGAGTTTAATTAGATCCCATTTGTCAATTTTGGCTTTTGTTACATTGCTTTTGATGTTTTAGATGTGAAGTCCTTCCCCATGCCTATGTCCTGAATGGTATTGCCTAGGTTTTCTTCTAGGGTTTTTATGGTTTGAGGTCTAACATATAAGTCTTTCATCCATCTTGAATTAATTTTTATAAGGTGTAAGGACGGGATCCAGTTTCAGCTTTCTACATATGGCTAGCAAGTTTTCCCAGCACCATTTATTAAATAGGGAATCCTTTCACCATTTCTTGTTTTTGTCAGGTATGTCAAAGATCAGATAGTTGTAGATATGCGGCCTTATTTCTGAGGGCTCTGTTCTGTTCCATTGATCTATATCTCTGTTTTGGTACAAGTACAATGCTGTTTTGGTTACTATAGCCTTGTAGTATAGTTTGAAGTCATGTAGCATGATGCCTGCAGCTTTGTTCTTTTGACTTAGGATTGACTTGGCAAGGCAGGCTCTTTTTTGGTTCCATTTGAACTTTAAAGTAGTTTTTTTCCAATTCTGTGAAGAAAGTCATTGTTAGCTTGATGGGGATGGCATTGAATCTATAAATTACCTTGGGCAGTATGGCCATTTTCATGATATTGATTCTTCCTACCCATGAGCATGAAAGGTTCTTCCATTTGTTTGTATCCTCTTTCATTTCATTGAGCAGTGGTTTGTATTTCTCCTTGAAGAGGTCCTTCACATTCTTTTTAAGTTGGACTATTAGGTATTTAATTCTCTTTGAAGAAATAGTGAATCAGAGTTCACTCATGATTTGGCTCTCTGTTTGTCTGTTATTGGTGTATAAGAATGCTTGTGATTTTTGCACATTGATTTTGTGCAGAAGATGGCTGATTTCTGCATTTCCAACTGAGGTACCAGGTTCATCTCACTGAGGAGTGCTGGATAGTGGGTGCAGGAGAGTGGATGCAGTGCACCATGCATGAGCCAAAGCAGGGCAAGATATTGCCTCACCCAGGAAGCACAAAGAGTCAGGGAATTCCCTTTTCTAGTCAAAGAAAGGGGTGACAGATGACACCTGGAAAATCAGGTCACTCCCACCCTAATACTGTGTTTTCCAATGGGCTTAACAAATAGCACACACGAGATTATATCCCATGACTGGTTCAGAGGGTCCTACACCCACAGAGTCTCACTCTGATAGCACAACAGTCTGAGATCAAACTACAAGGTGACAGTGAGGTTGGGGGAGGGGCGCCCACAATTGCCAAGGCTTGAGTAGGTAAACAAAGCAGCTGGGAAGCTGGAACTTGCTGGAGCCCACCTCAGCTCAAGGAGGCCTGCCTGCCTTTCTAGACTCCACCTCTGGAGGCAGGCACAGACAAACAAAAGGCAGCAGTAACCTCTGCAGACTTAAGTGTTCCTGTCTGACAGGTTTGAAGAGAGTAGAGGTTCTCCCAGCATGCAGCTTGAGATCTGAGAACAGGCAGAATGTCTCATCAAGTTGGTCCCTGACCCCTGAGTAGCCTAACTGGGAGACACTCCCAAGTAGGAGTGGACTGACACCTCACACGGCCGGGTTCTCCTCTGAGATAAAACTTCCAGATGAACGATCAGGCAGCAGCATTTGCAGTTCACCAATATCCGCTGTTCTGCAGCCACCACTCCTGAAACCCAGGCAAACAGGTCTGGAATGGACCTCCAGCAAACTCCAACAGATCTGCAGCTGAGAGTCCTGATTCCTAGGAGGAAAACTAACAGAAAAGACATCCACACCAAAAACCCATCTGTACGTCACCATCATCAAAGACCAAAGGTAGATAAAACCACAAAGATGGGGAAAAAAACAGCAAAAAAGCTGGAAACTCTAAAAATCGGAGCTTCCCTCCTCCTCCAAAGGAACACAGCTCCTTACCAGCAATGGAAAAAAGCTGGATGGAGAATGACTCTGACGAGTTGAGAATTTTTTTTTCTATTGCATCATCAGGCTGAAAATTTTCCAAATTTGTATGTTCTGTTTTATTTTAAAAGGGAATTTAACAACACCCAAGTCACAGTTTGAATTAACTGCTGCTTAGACATTTTTTTCAGCCAGATATTCTAAATCATCTTTCTCAAGTTCAAAATTCCAAAAATTGCTAGGGCAGAGGCAAAATGCCACCAATCTTTTTGCTAAAATATAACAACAGTCATTTTTACCTGATTTCTCAAAAAGTTCCTCATCACCATCTGAGGCCACCACAGCCTTGATTTTACAGTCCATATCATTATAAATATTTTGGTCAAGCCATAAACAAGTCTCTAGGAATTTCCAAATGTTTGCACATCATGTCTTCTGAGCCCTCAAAGTATTTAGGGAGTTCCAAACTTTTTCACATTTTCTTATCCTTCTCCTCCTCCTCCTTTCCTCCTCATCATCATTCTTCTGCTGCTGCTGCTTCTTCTACTGCTTCTACTTCTGCTTCTTCTGCTTATTCTTCTCCTCCTCCTGCTTCTCCTTCTTATTCCTCTTTTCCTTCCTCTTCCTCCCCTTCTTCTTTTTCTTCTTCCTATTCCTCTCCTTCCTCTTCCTCTCCTCCTCCTCCTCTTTCTTTCTCCTCCTCCTCCTTCTTCTTCTTCTTCTTCTTCTTCTTATTCTTATTCTTATTCTTATTCTTATTCTTATTCTTATTCTTATTCTTCATCATTGTCATCATTGTCATCTTCCCCCAAACTATTGCAACTTTGGACTCTTACCCATTTCCAAAGTCACATTTACTTTTTAGTTACCTTTACAAAGCAGCACTTCAATACTTGTACCAATTTACCATATTAATGTCTGTTCTCAAACTGCTGATACACACTTACCCAGAACAGGGTGATTTATATAAAGAAAGAGGTTTGGCCTGGCATGCTGGGTCACACCTGTAATTCCATCACTTTGGGTGGTCGAGGTGGGCAGGTCATGAGGTCAAGAGATCAAGACCATCCTGGCTAACACGGCAAAACCCGTCTCTACTAAAAATATAAAAAATTAGCCAGGTGTGGTGGTGGGTGCCTGTAGTCCCAGCTACTTGGGAGGCTGAGGCAGGAGAATGGTGTGAACCCAGGAGGCAGAGCTTGCAGTGAGCTGAGATCATGCCATGCACTCCAGCCTTTGGACAGAGCAAGACTCCACCTCAAAAGAAAGTAAGAAAGAAAGAAAGAAAGAGAGAGAGAGAGAAAGAGAGAAAGAGAGAAAAAGAAAGAAAGAAAGAAAGAAAGAAAGAAAGAAAGAAAGAAAGAAAGAAAGAAAGAGAAAGAAGTTTATGGAACTCACAGCTTTCCATGGCTGGGAAGTCCTCACAATCTTGGTAGAAGGAAAAAGGCAGTTCTTACATGGCAGCAGTCAATAGATAAAGGGAACCAAGTGTAAAAGCTTTTTTTCTTATAATACCATCAGATATAGTGAAACTTATTCACTACCACAAGAACAGTATGGGGACAACCACCCCCCTGATTCAATTATCCTTTGTTGGGTCCCTCCAAAATCACAAGGAAATTTAGGAGCTACAATTCAAGATGAGATTTGGGTGGGGACATATCCAAACCATATCAATGAACAAAAGCTTTGGTTGAGGTGAAATCTCCTGTAAGAGATACATTGATCTAGAACTACAAGGTATCAAAAAATAGAAAAATATGACATCAGCTACACTGTATTCCTTGCAATACTAAATGATAGATTTCTCAAATCTATAACATTTGATTGTCACTTTATCTGCAGACAGAAATTTTAACCAGAAAAACTAAGTAAAATGATATTAGATAGACTGATTTCAACCTAATAGTATTGTGTCTTTATGAGTACAAAAGAATAAAACTCAGTGGGAGGGGCTGAGATGACCAAATAGAAATGTCTTCAATCTGCAGCTCCCATTAAGAGAAAGGTAAACAGTGAGTGAATTCTTCATTTTCAGCTGTAGTACATAGATTCTTTCATTGGGACTGACTAGACATTGTGAGAAATCCAGAGAGAGCAAGGAAAAGCTGAGTGGGTGACAGTCCATCCAGAAGCTGCACGGGACAAAAGGACTCCCTCTCTTAAACAAAGGAGGTCATGAGGGATTGTGCTATCCACCCGGGAAACTATGTATTTTCCACAGACTTTGCAATCCATGGATTAGGAGATTCCCTTCTCGGCCCACACCACAAGGGCCTTGGGTCCTCAGCATAAACTTGTGAAGATTCATGGTAGCCACTTAAGTCAGTAGTGACTTGGGGAGCTCCCAAAAGCACAGTGAGACAGGAGATCCATACTTCCTTGGAAAGGGGGATAAAGCCAGAAATCCAAGTGGCCTCAGTCACTGGGTCCCATGGAAACTCACTACCTAAGATCTGCTGGCTTGGAATGCCCACTGGACAGAAGAGCAGCCTGGATTCTGCCTAATATGACCAAGTTTCTGAGGAGAAAGTTGATAGCCATTACTGTGCTCTAGTTGGTGGTTTTTCTCTGCAAGTGCTAGAGAATCTGGATGATTTAAACTGGACCGAATTCACCATTGTGCAGCACAGCAGCTGGGGAAAATCAAGGGCAGACTTTTTCTTTATTTGGAACCCAGATTTATCCTTCTAGAATCAGTTAGTTAACTTGTCTTAGGTAGATAGCAAAAAAGGTCCCCAGAGGGACCCCAGCCTACAAGTTAGTGCCTCATCCCTACATAACACACAAAGCAGCCTGTTAAAAAAAAAAAAAAAATCAACCCACAGGCACCAATAAAGAAACTAGCACATGTGTTGAGCCTCAAGACATGCCCACAGCTGCACAGATGAAAGAACATCTTCCCCCTTTGAGTAAAAACTGGAGAAAACCTCCAGATCACTCAGATAAGAGGACTAGACCTGACATGGAAATGTCTTTGTCCTTTTATAGTCGACAAGCTCCTAGGAAATTGTTTCTCTTCCTTCTGTGGGCATGGGCACAGTGGGCTTTGGTGGGTTCTGGTGGGCACTTTTATTTTCTTTTTTTGAACTGCTAGCATAGCCTCTATGAATCATTATTACAGCCCCAGATTAGTTGCAGATGAAGATTAGTTGTAGACCACAAGCTCTCCAAGACAGCCCACAGGCTGAGCTCATTTCTTCCCCTTTCCAGTCCATAAACCCCTCAGAACTGACTTCATATTTGGTGCCTTTTCTGGGCCTCCCTCTCTGCTGGCAGAGAACTATCTTTTGCTTATTAAACTTTTGCTGCAACCTCATCTTTGTGTCTATATTCCTTAATTATCTTAGAGATAAGACATAGAACTCTGGATATTATCTCAGACAATCAGAGACACATCTTGGTGCACTGGTGAGACTGCATTATATTTTGGTACATTGATGAGGAGGAAAGAAATTCATCCAAAATGTGAATAACAGTGGACCTTTAACTTTGCAACTATTTACTTTCATTTCTGAGCTTCTTGTCTATTCGAATCCAGTTTTCTTTCATGGTGGGCCAACCTGTTGTGCAGGATTGAAAGAAACTCCCAGGGCAACTACAAATTTCTGGCTGAAATTACACCTCAGTGTTATCTGAAGGTCACTGGACTAACTCCAGTCCACAATAACTTATCAGCAAAAGGAGCACTAGTCTTTTTCTATCACTTTTTTTTATTCTCATGGCTATCATGCCTCATGTGCCTTCTTTGTATGCAAAGTTGTGGTTGTTTACGTAACCTAAATATATAATCTTTCTGGGTAGTTAGTCAGTGTCTTAGTAATCAGTAATGGAATTTAAAGAGTTGTTTTTATGATTTTTTGGGAAGAGGGGGAGTTCAAGATTTCAGTCTAAATTTCTACTTAATAAGGATGCTTCTATCCCTTAATAATAGATATTCATGGCACCATATGGAAAGATATTTCACCCCAGGTGATTTGCCTCATCTCTATTTTGGTTTTAATATAGTTGTTCAGCATTGTCCAATGAATTTAAACAGCTCATTTATATGACAAATTAATTTTCTTTTGCTGGGGGCAATGCTATGCAGACAGCCTATCAAACTCCAGATGTTTCATTCTAACTTTTGCTTTAAAAAATTCTGGATCAGAGTTTTACATAACATTTTTAACCCTACGGCTTCATCTAGTGGAATGGGGTTTATTTTCTGAATGGGTATTTTTTCAGTCCTCTTCCCCAAACCTCTAGTTTCTCAATTATTTTTTTCTTCCATATTCACCTACCAGTGAAAAGGCCCAATATTCCATATGTAGACAAAAATCCCTCCACTTTCAAAAGCTGAGAGGAAGCCATTCTGATAAGACAAGTCTTAGCTGAAATACTGTTCCCATCAAAGGAGGGGCAGCCATTTAATTTTTATGCTCTGTGAGCCAGGGGTTCTTCATTCAACTACATTGGGATTTAAACAAAAAAGAAATTATATGTTTCAAAGTTAATTAGTTCAATTCTGTGAAATTTTGATTTTTCACTGGAGCCATAGCAAAGGAAACCAGAGATGATGTTAGAATACTCCCTCTGTTAATTAGTCTTGGCTAAGTTCTACTACTACATAATCTCTCCCACATCTCTGGGAGTATTTTGGAAGGTTGAGGCCGAATAGGTCTAGGAATCCAGCAGAGTGGAGAGTTGAGTCTTCTACAGAAGAGCATGACTAGTCCTGCCTACTAACATCTGTAGATCCATGGGTGAAATCATGCTTGCATACGTGTGGTGGCACTTATGACCGTTGCTAGGATCCAGTGGAAAGGAGAAAGGGAATGCCCTTTCTCTGGTTCCATCTACCCTGAGTCACACTAAAAGGAGGAATGATACTAAGGGACACCTTTTCTTTCCCTCTTTTCTTAATGGTAACAAACAATCTGTAATCCTTTCTCCTCTCCTGGCATGCATTCCAAATAACTATAACACCTTTAACCCTGAGGCTCTGAAAAGAAAATGACTTTTCTATTGCACAAGGGCCTTGTTACCATCTTGGGGATGAAAAAAAATCTGGCTTTCTGAGGAAAGCCTTGATTCCTATACTCTTCAACAACCAGATCTTTTCTATTGGTGGGAGGACAAATAAACTGAGATTCCCTAGATACAATCTTTCTTTGCCCTGTGAAACAACCCAAATCTTGGTAAATGTTGTAAAGTTGACCCTACCCTCTTTGCAGCCAGGTCAGTGAAGCCTACAAAGTATGGTTCCCCAAAATCATAGAAAAAAATTCTGTATTTTACAAAACAGACTGGAAGGAGGACCAGGAGAAGGAGAGAAAATATAAGAAGGTAATGGAGGCTCTAGTGGCTGCATTATAGGCTTATAAAATCATGAACCCTGAAGTGCATTTATCAATTGTACCAATGTGGCAAAGCAAAACACTCTAAAAGGGATTGACCACAGAGCATGGCGAAGCCATCTCAACCCTGTCCAGCATTTAATGGAGGCTGCTGGAAGTCAAACTCTCTCCAAACATGTAGGTAACCAGGTCAAGAGCCAGTTTTTCAGATGGTCCAGCAGGACTGACAGGGCCCTGCGCTCAATTCATCAGCTTCAGTGGCTCAAATTGCCATCACTATCCAGGAGCTTTGGGTATGAGGAAGGAAGATAGGCTTCCTTCTAGAAACCAGAGCTAGCCTCTCTGTTCTCTTCCCCATTCTAGGCCTTCTCTCCTCCTATAACATGACTATGGTAGGCATCTTGAAAAAGTCTTTAACCCAATACATTTTTTACAGCCTTTGTGTTGTACATGGCAGGACTTTCCATCTACTCATGCTTCTTAAATTATGCCTGAAAGTCCCACCTCTTTGCTAGGAATGGATATTCTAGTCTCTATGGGACCCTCCATTCTTATGGCTCAAGGACAGAGTCTCTATCTTCCCTTAGTGAAAATCAACATTAACCCAGAGGTGTGAGCAGGTTAGGAAAAGTTGACCAGGCTACAACTGCTATATCATTCCAGATTCACCCTAAGGATTCCACCTTGTTTGCTAACCAGAAGCAGTATCCCCTAAAGCCAGAAGCTAGGGAAGAACTAGAAACTATCATTAATAATTAAAAAACCCAGAGCCTCTTCACGTCTTGCAACAGCCCTTGCAAAACTGCAATATTAGAGGTACAGAAACTCATGAGGAAGAGGGGCTAGTTCAGGACCTCCATCTCACTGATAAAGCTGTAGTTTCAATTCATAATTTAGTTTCTTTTTCTTTTCTTTCTTTTCTTTTCTTTTCTTTTTTTTTTTTTTTTTTTGAGATGGAATCACACTCTGTTGCCTGGCTGGAGTGCAGTGGCACAATCTCAGTTCACTGCAACCTCCACCTCCCAGGTTCAAGTAGTTCTCCTGCCTCAGTCTCCTGAGTAGCTGGGACTATAGGTGCGTGAAACCATGCCCAGCTAATTTTTGTATTTTTTGGTAGAGAAGAGATTCACCATTTTTGGCAGGATGGTCTCAATCTCCTGACCTTGTGATCCACCCACTTCAACCTTCCAAGGTGCTAGATTATAGATATGAGCCATCACAGGCACCATATTGGTTTCCAATCCTTATGTGTCCATAGTTTGTTCCTTCCATCGTATTCTTTGTCTCACTGAATTCAAGAATGAAGCCGTGGACCTTCTCCTTGATTATTACAGCTTTTAAAGTTGGCATGGACCAAAAGAGTGAGAAGCAGCAAGATTTATTGTAGAAAATGAAAGAACAAAGATTCCACAATGTGGACAGGGACCCAAGTGGGTTGCTGCTGCTGGCTAGTGGGTGGCCAGCTTTTATTCCCTTATTTGTCTTTAGCCACGTCCTACTGATTGGTCCATTTTGCAGAGTGCTGATTGGTACATTTTACAGAGCACTGATTGGTCCATTTTACAGAGTGCTGATTGGTCCATTTTACAAAATTCTAGCTTGCCACAGAGTGCTGATTTGTGCGTTTTTAAGAGCATTGATTGGCATAGTTTACAAACCTCTAGCTAGCCACAGAGTGCTCATTGGTGTGTTTTACAATCCACTTGTAAGACAGAAGAGTTCTCCCAGTCCCCACTCGACCAAGGAAATCCAGCTAGCTTCACCTCTCACTAATACTTTGCTAACTCAAATATCTGAGACAATTAAGTGGTTCACAATTTTAGACTTAAAAATTGACTTTTTTCCTGCATACCACTGCACCCTGACTTTTAATATTCATTTGCCTTGAAAGATTCCTCCAACCAGTCTGACCAGTTTACATGGGCAGTACTGACTCATGGGTTCTAAGAAAACTCCTCCTTGTTTAGGCAAACATCCAACTAACTCTCTCAGTAATCTAATACTCAGGCTAAAGTTTTACCGTATGTAGATATCGTTCTCCTCTGTGCCTCATCTCAGGGGGTTTCCAAAAAGGCACTGGGGCTCTTTTTAATTTTCCAGCAGGCAGAGAATAAAACGTTTCTAACTGTAAATCACAGCTGTGTCAAGCTTCTGCATGGTACCTAGGCCTAGCTTTGTCAGAAGGGACCGAAACATTAGTGTGGAGTCAATTAAGTCTATTTTTCTATTTTTTTCCAAAATCCTTGAACCAGTAACAGAATTTTGGGGAATTACAGGTTTTTCTTAGATTGTGAATAGCTGAGTACATTGAAACAGCTCACCCTTTATATCACCATTCAAAAGAAACTTAAGCCACTAAAACTCACTCACTGACATGGGAAACTGAGGCTTAAAATGTCTTTAATCAGCTAAGGCAAGCTTTACTTAAAGTACCTGCCCTCAGTCTTCTGATAAAGAAGTCGTTTAATCTTTATGTCTCAGAAAAAAATTGATAGCCTTGGGAGTTTTAACTGTTTCCTAAAGTAAGCCCAGCAGCCAGCTGGTTACCTATGCAAGGAGCTCAACTTGGCCGCTAAAGAATTGGCAGCTAGCTGGCAAGCAGTTGCAGTTGTGGATTTGCTGATTCCAGAAGTCACTAATGCCCAATCTTCATTTCTGAAGGGGGAATAAAATTAGTTATATAGCTTGTCTTCAGTAGATAGAAAGCAAAGGATCCCCAGAGACCCTCCAGCCCATAGGTAGGTGCCTCATCTCCACATAAAATAAAAAAAAAAAGATTGGGAAATATCAAGCTACAGGGACCAATAGAAGAACAAGCACAGGCTGTTGTGCCTGGAGACATGCACATGGCTGCACAGATAAACAAATCTGTGGCCCATTTAGATAAAAACTTTCACACAACTCCAGCTCACTTAGATAAGAGAATAAGGCCTGGCATAAAAATGCTTTTTATTTTGTATAGTCAGAAAACGCCCTAGAAAATGCTTCTTCTCCCTTTGTGGGCATGGACACAGTGGGTTCTAGTGGGCACTTTTCTTCTATTTATATGGACTGTGAGTCTAGCCTCTATGAATCATCACTTCAGGCCCTGATTGGTCCTAAGCTGAAGTGCCAGGTCAAGCTATCTGTGACTTGAATGAATGAATCGTGACTTGAGCCCTGATTGGTCCCGGGCCAATGTGAGTGATGGGTTTCTCAAGGCAGCTGGCAGACTAATCACATTTCTTGCTATTTCCAGTCCATAAAAATCCCAGAAGTTAAAACAAAGTTGACAATCTTTCTAAGCCTCCCTCTCTTCTGGCAGAGAGTTTTCTCCCTTTGCTTATTAAACTATTGCTCAAACCTCAGCATTTTGTACGTGCTCCTTAATTTTCTTGCAGGTCGAAAAAAATAACTCTTTTCTTTTCTCAGAAATGGTTAATTTTCTCTGAAACTTAGAGACAGTAACATTTTTGTGCATTGGTAGGACTACAACGTCTTCTCCTTAGGCAGAGCCTCTTTGTAGAAATTTTGGTAACTCCAGGAAGCAGTTTATAGACCTAACTCTAATGTTTTCAAAAAATAACACTTGAGGGGAGGGGTGGCCACAGTCTCTGGTATAGTGGACTTAATATTTTTTACCTGCTAACTCTGAAGTGTCTGGGCCATCAGACAAGATGGATTACCCGCAATGCAGCACATTTGATTTCACTAAGAGCAGCCAGAATTCTTCCTTAAGCAAGTCTCTAATTCCATGCCTCCTGACTGGTTAAGTCATTTGAAAAGGGGTCTCCAGACACATTATACAAGAGAGTTTCAGCTGGAATCAGTTCAGTGTCCTTCTGAAACAAACTTCCAGAGGAACAAGCAACTTCATCAAAGTCTCAGAATACAAAATAGATATGTGGACAAGAAAAGCATTTCTGTACACCAAAAACACACAAGCAAAGAGCCAAATTATGAATAAATTCTCATTTACAATTGCCGTAAAGAAAATAAAATACTTAAAAATACATCTAAAAAGGGAAGTGACAAAATTCTTCAGTGAGAACTACAAACTATGAATAGAAAAAAAGTAAATATCATGAAAATGGCCATACTGCCAAAAGCAAGATGTAGATTTAATGCTATTTCTGTTAAACTACCATTGACATTCTTCAAAGAATTAGAAAGAAATATGGATTAAAAAGCTTTGGGGCTAAGTCATTCGGGTTTTCAAGATATAGGATTATATCATCTGCAGAAAAGAACAGTTTGACTCTCTCTCTTATTAAATACTTATTTTTTTCTCTTGTCTGATTACCCTTTCAAAACTTCGACCTTATGTTGAATGAGGGTGGTGAGAGAGGGTTTTTTGTCTTGTGACAGTTTTCAAGGGTTATGATTCTAGATTTTGCCATTTCTGTATAATATTGGCTGTCAGTTTACCATAAATGGCTTTATCAGTTTGATGTATGTGTCTTTAATTCTTAGTTTATTGAGAGTTTTTAACATGAATGGAAGTTGAATTTTATTTAAGGCCATTTTTATGTTTATTGAGATAATTATGTGATTTTTCTCTTTTTGAGATGAATTACATATCTTGATTTGCATTTATTGAACCAGGCTTGCATCCTTGGGATGTAGTCAACTAGATTATGGTGGACAAGCTTTTTGATGTGCTGGTGGATTCTGTTTGCCAGTATTTTATTGAAAATTTTTGCATCAATATCCATCAGGGATATTGGCCTAAAGTTTACTTTTGTTATTGTATTTCTGCCAGGTTTTGTAACAGGATGACGCTGACCTCATAAAATGATTTATGAAGGAGTCCCTACTTTTCAACTGTTGGAGATAGTTCTGGAAGAAATGATACAGACTCCTCTTTTTATCTGTGCTATATCGTAAATATAAATTGTAAATCCATCTTGTCTTTGGCTTTTTTTAAATTGGTAGAATATTCATTACTCTCTCAATTTCAGAAATTATTGTTGGCCTATTCAGTGATTCAACTTCTTCCTGGTTCTATCTTGGGAGACTGTATATGTCCAGGCATTTATTCATTTATATTAAGTTTTCTAGTTTATTTGCCTAGAGGAGTTTATGATATTCTCCGGTTGATTTTTTGTATTTTTGTGGGGTCAGTGTTGGTTTCTCCATTATCATTTCTGATTGTGCTTATTTGAATCTCCTACTTTCTTATTTGTTAGTTTATTTAGTAATATATCTACTTTATTGATTTTTTTTAAAAAAAAGCTTTTGGATTTGTTGATTGAAGAGGTTTTCATTTCTCTATCTCTTGCAGTTCCACTCTGTTCTTGGTTATCTCTTGCCTTCCACTAGCTCTAGAGTTAGTTTCCTCTTGGTTCTCCAGTTCTTACAGTTGTGATGTTAGGAAGTTGATTTGAGATACTTCTACCTTTTTGATTTGGGCCTGTAGTGCTATAAATTTAGTCCTACAAATAAATAAATTTTGTCCTAGAAATTTGTCTTTTAACAGTGTTTTAGCTGAATTTCAGACACCCTGCTACGTTGCCTCTTTGTTCTCATAAGTTTCAAAGATCTTCTTGATTTCTGCCTTAATTTAATTATTTACCCAGGAGTCATTCAGGAGCAGATTGTTCAATTTTAATGTAGTTGTGTGGTTTTGAGTAAAATTCTTAACATTGAGTTTTAATTGTATTGCACCGTGACCTGAGAGACTGTTTTTATGATGTCAGTTCTTTTGCATTTGCTGAGGAGTGTTTTACTCCAATTATGTAATCAATTTCAAGGTAAGTGTCAGTGGCACCTAAAAACATGTATATTGTTGTTTTGGGTGGAGAGTTCTGTTGCTGTTTCTCAGGGCAACTTGATACAGAGTCTTAAATGTCTTAGTTAATTTGCTGTCTCAATAGTCTATTCAATATTGAACATGTGGCATTGATGTCTCCCTCTGATATTTTGTGGGCATTTAAGTCTTTTTGTAGTCTTTTTTTTTTAAATCTCTGTTGGTTTACATTCTATTTTGTCAGAAACTAGGATGGTGATCTCTGCTTTCTTCTGCTTTCTATTTGTTTGGTAAATTTTTCTTCATCACTTTATTTTGTGCATATACATGTCTTTGCATAATATGTATATCTTTAATACAGTACACTACTGGATCTTGTCTTTTTACCCAGCTTACCATGTGGTGTCTTTTAATTGGGTCATTTAATCCATTTACATTTAAGATTAATATGGTTAATATTGCTCTGCATTAGTTTGATTATGTCATTGTAATGCTGGCTGATTAATTTGCAGATTGGTTAATGTAGTTGTTTCATAGTGTCATTTGTCTGTGTACTTCAGTGTGTTTTATTCAAACAGGAAGAGAGGAAGTAAAATTTTCTCTGTTTGCTGATGACATGATTTGATATTTAGAAAACCCCATTATCTCAGCCTAAGAACACCTTAGACTGATAAGCAATTTTGGCAAAATCTCAGGGAACAAAATTAATGTGCAATAATTACAAACTCTTTTTACATCAATAGTAGACAATCAGAGAGTCAAATTATGAATAAACTCCCATTCACAATCACTACAAAGAGAATAAAATTGCTAGGAATACATTTAACAAAGGATGTGAAGAGGGATTTTTTTTCAAAGAGGACTCCAAACCGGTGCTCAAGACAATGAGAGGACACAAACAAATAAAAAATAATTCCTTCCTCATTAATAGAAATAATCAATATCATGAAAATGGTCTTAATGCCCAAAGTGATTTATAGATTCAATGCTATTCCCATAAAACTACTATTGACATTCCTCACAGAATTAGAAAAATAAATAAATTGATACAGTATCAAAGAAGACCCTGTTTATCCAAGACAATTCTAAGCAAGAAAAAAATAAAAAAAGCTGGAGGCACCATGCTACCTGACTTCAAATTATTCTACAAGGCTGCAGTAACCAAAACAGCATAGTATTGGTACAACAACACATATATAAACCAATGGAACACAACAGAGACCTCAGAAATCACACCTGAAATCTATAATCATCTGATTTTCAACAAACCTGAAAAAAACAAGCAAAGGGGAAAAATCTCCTATTCAGTAAATGATGCTGGGAAAACTGGCTAGCTATACATGGAAAACTGAAACTTGACCCATTTCTTAGACCAAAACCCTAGAATAAAATGTATGCAATACCATTGAGGACATTGGCAAGGGCAAATATTTTATGGCAAAATCACCAAAAGCAACTGCAATGAAAGCAAAAATTGGCAAGTAGAATCTAATTAAACTAAAGAGCTTCTGCACGCAAAAGAAACTACCATCAGAGCAAACAGACAACCTACAGAATGGGAGAAAATTTTTGCTATTTGTCTGACAATGGTCTAATTTCCAGAATCTACAAGAAACATAAAGAAATTTACAATAAAAAAACAACCCCATTAAAAAGTGGACAAAAGACATGAACAGAAACTTATTAAAAGAAAACATATGTGCAGCCAAATAACATATCAAAAAAAGGCTCAACATCACTGATTATTAGAAAAATGCAAATTAAAACCACAATGAGGTACCATCTCAAAATAGTCACATGATTATTAAAGTCAGGAAACAGCAGGCTCTCTGCTCCTCCCGTTTGACACACAGCAGTGTCTTCTTGTGCTTTACCAGTTACATCCCTGAGATGCCATGATGAAGGTAAAGGCAAGAGTCAATGATTAGGCCATATTGGGCACCTTATTGTTAGGGCTGCTTTTAAGTATGGTAAAGTGAATATTGTCACCATCAGTGACCACTTCATTGACATCAACTATGTGGTCTACATATTCCGGTATGATTCTACCCATGGCAAATTCCATGGCACTGTCAAGGCTGAGAAAAGAAAGCCTGTCATCAATAGAAATCCCATCACCACTTCCAGGAGCGAGATCCCTCCCAAATCAAATGGGGCAATGCTGGCACTGAGTATGTTGTGGAATCCACTGGTATCTTCACCACCATGGAGAAGCCAGGGGCTCACTTTCAGGGAGGAGTCAAAGAGTCATCATCTCTGTCTCCTCTGCTGGCACCCCCATGTTTGTGATCAGCCCAAACCCTGAGAAGCACAAAGGTTGTCAACAATGCCTCCTGTGCCACCAACTGCTTAGTGGCCCCATTGGCCAAGGTAATCCATGACAATTTTGGTATCATGGAAGGACCCATATTCACAGTAACTGCCATCACTGCTACCCAGAAGACTGTGGATGACCCCTCTGGGAAGCTGTGGTGTGACACCCATGGGGCTCTCCAAAACATTCTCTCTGTCTCTACAGACACTGCCAATGCTGTGGGCAAGATCATTTCTAAGCTGAATGGGAAATTCACTAGCATGGTTTTCCATGTCCCACCACCTACCTGTTGGTCATGGACCTAACCTGCCATATGTGAAAACCTACCAAATATGATAACATCAACAAGGTGGTGAAGCAGGTGCCAGAGGTCCCCCACAAGGGCATCCTAAGCTACACTGAGCACCAAGTTGCCTCCTTTTAATCCAAAAGTGACACCTTCTCTTCCACCTTTGACGCAGGGACTGGCATTGCTTTCAACAACCACTGTGCCAAGCTCATTTTTTTTTTTTTTTGGTATGACAATGAATTTGGATATACAAACAGCCTGATAGACCTTGTGACCTACATGGCCTCCAAGGAGTAAGATTCCCAGACCACCACCTCCAGTGAGAGAATGAGAGGAAGACAGGCCCTCACTGCTAAGGATTGCTTACCAATCTCAGTTCTCCACCACATGGAGAATCTCCCCTCATAAAAGTTTTCTGAAGACTCCTTGAAGAAGAAGAGGCCTAGTGAGCCCCCCCTTGTTGTGTTCCACCAATAAAATCTCCTGTGTAAAAAAAAAGACATAAACAGTTGCTGGTGAAACTGGAGATATATGAACACTTCTACATTGTTGATGGGAATATAAACCAGTATATCCATTGTTTGTTTAGGACAATGTGATCATTCCTCAAGGATCTAAAACCAGAAATACCATTTGCCCAGCATGATTACTGGTTATACACCAAAAGATATAGATTATTCTATTATGATGATATATACACATATATGTTCATTGCAGAACTATTCACAATATCAAAGACATGGCATCAATGCAAATGCCCATCAGTTATAGACTCGATAAAGAAAATGTAGTACATATCCACATGGTATACTATGCAACCATAAGAAGGAATGAGGTAATGTCCTTTAGAGGGACATAGATGAACCTGGAAGTCATTATTTTCAGCAAACTAATACAAGAACAGAAGACCAAAGACAGCATGTTCTCATCTATAAGTGGGAGCTGAACAATGATGACATATAAACACGGGGAGGGAAACAACACACACTGGGGCCTGTTGGGAGAGGACAATGTGGGGAGGGCATCAGAAAAAATATCTAATGGATGCTGAACTTAATACCTAGGTGATAGTTTGGTAACTGCAGAGAACCACCATTGTACATATGTAACAAATCTGCATATCCTGCACATGTACACTGGAAAATAGAAATAAAATAAAATAAATAAGAATAAGACTTAAACAATAAAAAAGAGTGATCATTTGAAGAAATAGAAAGAATATACACATATCAATTATGAGAGTCACATAACAAAAATCTCAACCAGTCAACTTCATCATCCTGCCATTTTAGCCTCTAGAAGTGAGTTTCTGATGTTTAAGTCATCCAGTAGGAATTCCTTTACTATGAAAATATGAATACACTTATACCATTATTTATAAGTGGTCTTGCTTTTTAAATGTACTATTGCATCTCTCTTTCTTAATAATAGCCACAGAAAAACACAGCTGATAAATAATGTTTAGGTGTATTTTTACAAGTCACACAAACTTCTGATAATTTCTAAGATAATTATTGTCTACCTACCACTGATAGTCTTACAGCACTGATTTGTTTTACAGGGAACATAAATCTATACTCCCAAAACACTATGACTTATTCAAACAGTAAAGAATGGAAAGTGTGAATGATCAACACAGTCTGTTGGAATAAAAAGACAAATGCTGTGATATAAAATAACACTGTTGGTGCCTACAGCAGAAAATGGTCCCAGGTGGTAATGCAACAGGTGGAGATACAGAACATGAGGATAGTAAACTAGAACAAGATAGGATTCAGATATTTTGGATGGTGGCAATTCTAAACTGGCTTCATGTCATGGAGACATATTTTACTATGGAGTAAAGTATTGTCCTACTTTGTACAGGTGGAAAACGCTTCCATTGTACTTAATATTGAGTAAATAGTTCAAGGAGGTAGGCAAAACTAACTTCAGTGTGGCTGCTGAGAAATTCAGAAAATACCATTATTCACAGGAATATATCTGTTTTTCATATTGTTAACATCAGCAGTAGCATTATATCTGAGGCCATAGTTATATGGACTTCATTGTTCATATTACTATTAGCATTTTAGTCACATCATTCAACCGGTTTCTAGAAAGTTCTAACCTTTCTCAAAAACTATTTCAATGTTCTTCTGAGCCCTCCATACTTTCTCAACTTCTGCCCATTATCCAGTTCCAAACTGGCTTTCACATTTTCACCTGTCTTCAGAGCAATACACCCACTTCATTGGTAAAAATTTTCTGTATTAGCCTGTCCTCTCACTGTTGTAAAAAATGACCTGAGCCAAAAAAAGAATATAAATAATTATCTTATTAGTATAATAATGCCTTCCACAGTTATTTCACCTTTAATTTTTAGAATCTGTAAATATGTTACCTTGCAGGGTAAAATATGCCTTGCAGATGTGATTATAGTTATGGCTTTCAGATGCAAAGGTGATTCAGATTTATCAAAGTGAAATCGATATAATCACAGAAATAATTATGTTTTTTTTCTGCTGTCAAAAAATAACAATAACCAAAGCTTAGTGAGATATAACATGAGAGGACATTTATACTTCATTTGTTGTTTAAACATAAAAATAGGCCCCAGTGTGTATTATTTTTCACCTTGTGTCCACATGATCTTATAGTTCAGTGTCCACTTAAGAGTGAGAAGTTGCAGTGTTTGGGTTTCTATTTCTATGTTAGTTTGCCAAGAAGGATGGATTCCAGCTTCATTCATGTACCTGCAAAAAATATGATCTCATTCCTTTTTATAGCTGTGTAGTATTCAATGGTGTATATGTACCACATCTTCCTTATCCAGTCTATCATTGATGAGCATTTGGTTTGGTTTTATGTCTTTGCTATTGGGGATATTGCCGGAATAAACATACGTAGACATGTATCTTTGTAATAGAATGATTTATATTACATTAAGCATATACCAAGTAATGAGCTTTCTTGTTCTAGATCCTTGAGGAATCCTCACATTGTCTTTCACAATCGTTGAACTAATTTACGTTCCCACCAACAGTGTAAAACCTTCCTGTTTTTCTACAGCATTGTCAACATCGTTTTTTCTTACCTTTTTACAACTGCCATTTAGACTGGTATAAAATGGCATCTTACTGGTGACAGAATGGAGAGCATCAGGAAAAATAGCTAATGTGTGCCAGGCTTATTACCTAGCTGATGGGTTGATGGGTGCAGTAAACCACCATGGCACATGTTTACCTATGTAACAAACCTGCACATTCTGCACGTGTGTCTGAAACTTAAAGTAAAATTTAAAAAAATATATTTATTTTTTTAAAAAAGAAAAATGGAAATAAATGAATAAGGGATAAACAGGAGAAAATGTATATAGCAACATAATAATTAAGGGTGTGTTAAATAGGGAGACATTGAAATATAATACATTAAATAAGAAAAAATAATTTGCATTGTTGACATAAAAGCAATCAATTATATAAAATTAACAGACTTTTTGAAGAAAGTATTTTCCTGTCTTCTGTCAAGGGCACATGAATCTTTTTTAAAAGTGACCATATTCTATATCACAAAATAAGTAGAACTCGAAGACATGCATGTATAGTTAAATAATTGCCTGTAAACCAATGTTTTTAAGAACAGACTATATAGTGTTTTAAATTGCTAATTTGTCTTTCTTTTGCAGTTTAGGCATCTTTACTTAATTTTAATTGTATAATTGTTTAATCATGCAATACATAGGAATAAAATAAAACTTCCACAAAAAAGGGCCATAAGCCAAGAAATATAGCATGTCTGCAAGCTGTAAAGAGCAAGAAAACTCATTAACAAAAGAAAAAGCATAAACTGACAATACGATGAAATTTAGCTTAGACTTTTGATCTACAAAACTGTAAGATACAATTTTATGTTGTTTAAGCCACTAAGTTTGTGGCAATTTGTTAGGGCAACAATTAAAAAAAAAATTATACCCGTTACTTTTTGAGTAAAAGGAGTTTCTGCAGTCAAATCTGTCTGCTGCTTCACTTTTTCAAAATGATTTTGGAACATGATTATTTTCTATGTAGAATCCTTATGTGACAGTATTTTTATTACTAGATAAGTAAATGAAAACTTTTTGCCCAATTATATTAAGTATATACACTTAAAGTTTGGCTAGGTCGATTTTGAGATAATAAAAAGTTGTTGTTCTAAATAACAGCCAACAAAGTCTTACAATTATACTGACAGAAGTTTGTTTTCAGCTGTGTTTTAATATAATATTGATTTTGATTTTGATTTTGATTTTCTTATTGCTTTATCCTATTTCTCAAAGCATCTCCCATTTGCTTTGTGGGCTTTTTTTTGTCTTAAACTGATAAGTTTGACTCCGTTTTGCCACCTAAGTCTCATGTCAAATTGTAATCTCCAGTGTTAAAGGAGGGGCCTCCTGGGAGGTGTTCAAATCATGAAGGTGGATTTCCCTTTGGCTCTTCTTATAATAAAATTCTCATGACCCCTGTTTATTTAAAACCTCTTTCTTTACTCTCTCTCTCTCTCTCTGCCGGCCATGTAAAGAAATGCTTGCTTCCCTTTTACCTTGTGCAATGAGGGTAAGTGTCTTGAGGCCTTCTCAGAAAAAGAAGCTAGTACAACATGCAAAACCCTGAGCCAATTAAACCTCTTTTTAAAATAAATTACCCAGTTGCAGTGGTGTCTTTATAACAGTGTGAGAATGGATTAATAATATATACCCATATCAACAAACAGTTTTGTTGACAAACTGAAAATTGAAATGCTTTTTATTTTTATAAATGGATCTTTATTTTTCTCTCTATACAAAAATTCATTGAAAATATATTAAATACTTAAATGTAAAACCTAAAACTGTAACACTTTTACAAAATAACATTAAAAAAAAGCTTCATGATTTAGGAGTGCTAAATGAGGATTTGGAAGTAACCTCAAAGGCATGTGCAATAGAAACAAATAATCACATGAGATTTTGTTAGTTAAAAAAATTCAAAATAAATAAACAAAAGAAATAAATAATAGATTAAGGAGAGAATGCTCAGATTCCAAGAAAATATTTGTGAACCAACTCTAAGGTAAGGGAGAAATATTCAAGATATACAATAACTCAAACTACTCAAAAAGAAGAAATTTTTAAAAATATCAAAAACAGGCAAGAAACTTGAGCTATTTCCAAAAAAAAAAAAACATATAAATAAGCCACAAATGTATTTTTAAACATTCAACATCTATAATTATTACAAATATACAAATGAAATTTATTAAATATTAACTCATACTTGTTGAAATTATTGTTATAAAAAAGTTAAAGATAAGTGTTGGTGAAAATGTGAAGAAAAGGAAGTGTTAATGCACCGTTAGAGTTATTGTAAATTAGTAAATATATTACAAAAATGTAAAATACATAAAATTTGCTCAAAAAACTAAAATACATATTTTATATAATAGAGCAATGCTAACTTTCAGTATATATTCCAAGAAATTGAAATCAGTATGCCAAAGAGATATTTGTACTATCATGTTGATTGAAGCATTATTTACAATAGCTAAGATATAGAGACAATCTAATGTTTAACCACAGGTGAATAAATTTTTAGAAATTTGGTGTATATAAAACCAATAGAATATTTTTTAGCCTCTTAAAAATAGAAACTTCTGTTATTCATGACTACCTAGATAAATCTGGAGAAAATGCTAACTGAAACAAGACAAAAAGAGAGAAAAAGGCTGTAAAATCTCATTTTTTAAAAATTATACTTTAAATTCTGGGCTATATGTACAGAATGGACAGGTTTGTTATATAGGTATACATGTGCCAAGGTGGTTTGCTGCACCCATCAGCCTGTCATCAACATTAGGTATTTCTCCTAATACTATCCCTTCTCTAGTCCCTCACCTCCAAACAGGCCCCAGTGTGTGATGTTCCCCTCCCTGTGTCCATGTATTCTCATTGTTCAACTCCCACTTATGAGTGAGAACATGTGGTGTTTGGTTTTCTCTTCTTGTGTTAGTTTGCTGAGAATGATGGTTTTCAGCTTCATCCATGTCCCTTCAAAGGACATGAATTCATCCTTTTTTATGGGAGCATAGTATTCCATGGTGTATATGTGCCAGATTTTTCCTATCCAGTCTATCACTGATGGATATTTGGGTGGGTTCCAAGTTTTTATTATTGTGAACAGTGCTGCAATAAACATACATATGCATGAATCTTTGTAGTAGAATAATATATAATCCTTTGGGTATATAACCAGTAATGGGATTTATGGGTGAAATGGTATCTGACGTTCTACACCCTTGAGGAGGAATCGCTATACTGTCTTTCACAATGATTGAACTAATTTACACTCCCACTATCAGTGTAAAAGCGTTCCTATTTCTCCACATCCTCTCCAGCACCTGTTGTTTCCTGACATTTTTAATGATCACCATTCTAACTGGCATGAGATGGTATCTCATTGTGGTTTTGATTTGAATTTCTCTAATGACCACTGATGGTGAGCTTTTTTCATCTGTTTGTTGGATGCATAATGTCTTCTTTTGAGAAGTGTCTGTTCATATCCTTTGCCCACTTTTTTATAAGGTTGTTTGTTTTGTTCTTGTAAGTTTGTTTAAGTTCCTTGCAGATTCTGGATATTAGCCCTTTGTCCGAAAGATACATTGCAAAAACTTTATCTCATTCTATAGGTTTCCTGCTCACTCTGATGATAGTTCTTTTTTGTTGTTTTGTTTTTTTGTTGTTGTTTGTTTTTGTTTTTGCTGTGCAGAGCTCTTTACTTTAATTAGATCCCATTTGTCAATTCTGGCTTTGGTTGTCGTTGCTTTTGGTATTTTAGTCGTGAACTCTTTGCCCATGCCTGTGTCCTGAATGGTATTGACTGTTTTCTTCTAGGGTTTTATGGTTTTAGATCTTAAGTTTAAGCCTTTAATTCATCTTGAGTTAATTTTTGTATAAGGTGGAAGGAAGCGGTCCAGTATATTTTTTTCCATGTATGGGAAGCCACTTTATCAATACTATTTATTAAATAGGGAATCCTTTCCCCATTTCTTGTTTTTGTCAGGTTTGACAAAGATCAGATGGTTCTAGATGTGTGGTGTTATTTCTGAGGTTTCTGTTCTGTCCAGTTGGTCTATATATTTGTTTTGGTACCAGTACCATGCTGCATTGGTTACTGTAGCCTTGTAGTATAGTTTGAAGTAAGGTAGCATGATGCCTCAAGCTTTCTGCTTTTTGCTTAGGATTGTCTTGGTAATATGAGGTCTTTTTTAGTTCCATATGAAATTTAAAGTAGCTTTTTCTAATTCTCTGATGAAAGTCAGTAGTAGCCAGTTGGGTTTGGCATTAAATCTATAAATGTATAGCGTTAAATCTATAGTCTATGAACTTCGGGCAATATGGCCTTTTCACAATATTGATACTTCTAATTTATGAGCATAGAATGTTTTTCCATTTGTTTGTGTCCTCTTTTATTTCCTTGAACAGTGGTTTGAAGTTTTCCTTAAAGAGGTCATTCACATCTTTTGTAAGTAGTATTGCTAAGTATTTTATTCTCTTTGTAGTATTTGTAAATGAGTGTACCACTCATGATTTGTCTATCTGTTTGTGTGTTATTGGTGTATAGAAATACTTGTGATTTTTTATTGAGAGTTTTTAGCATGAAGGGTTGTTGAATTTTGTCAAAGGACTTTCTGCATCTATTGAGATAATCATATGGTTTTTGTCATTGGTTCTGTTTGTATGCTGGATTATGTTTATTGATCTGCATATGTTGAACCAGCCTTGCATCTCAGGGATGAAGCCCACTTGATCATGGTGGATAAGCTTCTTGATGTGCTGTTGGATTCGGTTTGCCAGTAATTTATTGAGGACTTTTGCATCAATGTTCATCAGGGATATTGGTCTAAAATTCTCTTTTTTGTTGTTGCTGTGTCTCTGTCAGGCTTTGGTATCAGATGATGCTGGCTTTGTAAAATGAGATAGGGAGGACTCCCTCTTTCTCTATTATTGGAATAGTTTCAGGAGGAACGGTACCGGCTCCTCCTTGTACCTATGGTAGAATTAGGCTGTGAATCCATCTTGTCCTGGACTTTTTTTGGTTGGTAAGCTATTAATTATTGCCTCAATTTCAGAGCCTGTTATTGATCTATTCAGAGATTCAACTTCTTCCTGGTTTAGTCTTGGGAGGGTGTATGCGTTGACAAATTTATTCATTTCTTCTAGATTTTCTAGTTTATTTGTGTAGAGGTGTTTATAGTATTCTCTGATGGTAGTTTGTATTTCTGTGGGATCGGTGGTGATATCCTCTCTATCATTTTTTATAGCATCTATTTGATTTTTCTCTTTTCTTCTTTATCAATCTTGCTAGCAGTCTATCAATTCTGTTGATGGGACATATCTCAAAATAATAAGAGCTATCTATGACAAACCCACAGCCAATATCATACTCAATGGGCAAAAACTGTAAGCATTCCCTTTGAAAACTGGCACAAGACAGGGATGCCCTCTCTCACCACTCCTATTCAACATAGTGTTGGAAGTTCTGGCCAGGGCAATCAGGCAGGAGAAGGAAATAAAGGGTATTCCATTAGGAAAAGAGGAAGTCAAATTGTCCCTCTTTGCTGAGACATGACTGTACATCTAGAAAACCCCATCGTCTCAGCCCAAAGTCTCCTTAAGCTGATAAGCAAATTCAGCAAAGTCTCAGGATACAAAATCAATCTACAAAAATCACAAGCATTCTTATACAGCAACAACAGACAAACAGAGAGCCAAATCATGAGTGAACTCCCATTCACAATTGCTTCAAAGAGAATAAAATACCTAGGAATCCAACTTACAAGAGACATGAAGGACCTCTTCAAGGAGAACTACAAACCACTGCTCAATGAAATAAAAAAAAATACAAACAAATGGAAGTACATCCCATGCTCATGCGTAGGAAGAATCAATATCGTGAAAATGGCCATACTGCCCAAGGTTTGCTTGCTTTTTGACAGACTTTTTTGTTCTTTGTTTGTTGCTTTAAGTTTTTTATAAGCTGTGGATTTGAGATTTTTGCCAAACATATAGTTTATGAACAATTTGTCCTATTTTATAGGTGGTCTATTTATTCTACACTTAAAGAAAACCCCAGTTGTCAAAGTTTGCTTTTGTTGTAATTGCCTTCAGAGTCTTTCTTATTTAATCTTTGCCTATGCAAATGTCAATAATGGTATTTTCTAGGTATTCTGTTGTGATATCTTGAGTCTTTTATTGTAACATACATTTTACTTTTTTTAAATTTTAGTAGTTTTGGGGGAACAGGTGGTGTTTGATCATATGAATAATTTACTTAGTGGTGCTTTCTGAGATTGTAGTGTACCCAAGCAGTGTAACTATGTCCAATATGTAATCTTTTATTTCTTACCTCCCTCTCATACTTCCCCAAAGTCTCAAAAGTCCATTTTATGAATTCTTATTCCTTTGCGTCCTCATAGTTTAGCTCCCATTATAAGTGAGAACATACAATGTTTGGTTTCCATTTCTGAGTTGCTTCACTTAGAATAATGGCCTCCTAAACCACTGAGATTCCTGTGAGTGACATTGTTTCATTTCTTATTATTAATAAGTAATAATTTATGGTATTTATATATACCACATTTTCCTTATCCACTCCTTGATTGATGGTCATTTGGGCTGTTTAATTTTAGTTTTATTTTAATAGTTTTTTTTTGGGGGGGAAACAGGTGGCATTTGCTTACAAGAATAAGTTCTTTAGTAATGAATTATAAGATATATTAGTTCACCCAAGTAGTATACGTTGTACCTAAGGTGTAGTTTTTATATTTCTGTCTCCATCCACTTTTTACTTTCTGTGTCTCTAAATTTCATTATATTACTCTGCAAACCTTATGTACTTATAGGTTAGCTCCCACTTAAAAATGAGAACATACGCTCTTTGATTATTTACTCCTGTCTCATTTCTTTTTTCTTTTTTTTAATTATACTTTAAGTTTTAGGGTATATCTGCACAAAGTGCAGGTTTGTTATATGTGTATACATGTGCCATGTTGCTGTGCTGCCTCCATTAACTTGTTATTTAACATTAGGTATATCTCCTAATGCTATCCCTTTCCCCTCCCCCCACCACACAACAGCCCTCAGTGTGTGATGTTCCTCTTCCTGTGTCCATGTGTTCTCATTGTTCAATTCCCAACTACGAATGAGAACAAGTGGTGTTTGGTTTTTTGTCCTTGGGATAGTGTGCTGAGAATGATCGTTTCCAGATTTGTCCATGTCCCTACAAACGACATGAACTCATTATTTTTATGGCTGCATAGTATTCCATGGTGTATATGTGCCATATTTTCTTAATACAGTCTACCATTGTTGGGCATTTGGGTTGGTTCCAAGTCTTTGCTATTGTGAATAGTGCTGCAATAAACATAGGTATGCATGTGTCTTTATAGCAGCATAATTTATAATCCCTTCGGTATATAAACAGTAATGGGATGGCTGAGTCAAATGGTATTTCTAACTCCAGATCCCTGAGAAATCACCACACTGACTTCCACAATGGTTGAACTAGTTTATAGTCCCAAAAACAGTGTAAAAGTGTTCCTATTTCTCCACATCCTCTCCAGCACCTCTTGTTTCCTGACTTTTTAATGATTGCCATTCTAACTGGTGTGAGATGGTATCTCGTTGTTTTGATTTGCATTCCTCTGATGGCCAGTGATGATGAGCATTTTTTCATGTGTCTGTTGGTTGCATAAATGTTTTCTTTTGAGAAGTGTCTGTTCATATCCTTCTCCCACTTTTTGTTGGGATTGTTTGCTTTTTCTTGTAAATTTGTTTGAGTTCATTGTAGATTCTGGATGATCTTTGGCAGATGAGTAGGTTGTGAAAATTTTCTCCCATTTTGTAGGTTGCTTGTTCACTCTGATGTTATTTTTTTTTTTTTTTTTTTTTTTTTTTTTTTTTTTTTGGCTGTGCAGAAGCTCTTTAGTTTAGAACCCATTTGTCAATTTTGGCTTTTGTTGCCATTGCTTTTTGTGTTTCAGACATGAAGTCCTTGCCCATGCCTATGTCCTGAATGGTATTGCCTAAGTTTTCTTCTAGGGTTTTTATGGTTTTAGGTCTAACATGTAAGTCTTTAATCCATTGTGAATTAATTTTTGTATAAGTTTTAAGGAAGGGATCCAGTTTCAGCTTTCTATATATGGCTAGCCAGTTTTCCCAGCACCATTTATTAAATAGGGAATCATTTCCCCATTTCTTGTTTTTTTCAGGTTTGTCAAAGTTCAGATGGTTGTAGATATATGGCATTATTTCTGAGGGCTCTGTTCTGTTCCATTGGTCTATATCTCTGGTTTGGTACCAGTACCATGTTGTTTTGGTTACTGTAGCCTTGTAGTATAGTTTGAAGTCAGGTAGTATGATGTCTCCAGCTTTGTTGTTTTGGCTTAGGATTGACTTGGCAATGCGGGCTCTTTTTTGGTTCCAAATGAACTTTAAAGTAGTTTTCTCCAATTCTATGAAGAAAGTCATTGGTAGCTTGATGGGGATGGCATTGAATCTATATATTACCTTGGGCAGTATGGCCATTTTCACGATATTGATTCTTCCTACCTATGAACCTGGAACGTTCTTCCATTTGTTTGTATCCTCTTTTATTTCATTGAGAAGTGATTTGTAGTTTTCCTTGAAGAGGTCCTTCACATCCCTTGTAAGTTGGATTCCTAGGTATTTTATTCTCTTTGAAACAATTGTGAATGGGAGTTCACTCATGATTTGGCTCTCTGTTTGTCTGTTATTGGTGTATAAGAATGCATGTGATTTTTGCATATTGACTTTACATCCTGAGACTTTGCTGAAGTTGCTTATCAGCTTAAGGAGATTTTGGGCTGAGACAATGGGGTTTTCTAGATATACGATTATGTCATCAGAAAACAGGGATAATTTGACTTCCTCTTTTCCTAATTGAATACCCTTTATTTCCTTCTCCTGCCTAATTACCCTGGCCAGAACTTCCAATGTCTCATTTTACTTAAAATGATGGCATTCATCTCAATTCAAGTTGCTGCTAAAGGCATTATTTTGTTTCTTTATATGTCTGAGTAGTAATCTTTGGTGTATATGTACCAGATTTTCTTTATCCACTTATTAGTCTATTGATGGTATATAGGTTGATTTCAGATATTTGCAACTGTGAGTGGTGCTGCTATAAACATACATATGCAAGAAACATACATATGCCAGGGTCTTTTTTATATAATGACCTTTTTCTTTGGGTAAATACCCAGTAGTGATATTACTGAATCAAACTGTAGATCTACTGTTAGTTATTTAAGAAATTTCAACACTGTTTTTCATAGTGGTTTTGCTAGTTAAGATACCCACCAGCAGTGTAAAAGTTTTCCCATATCACCACTTCCATGCCAACATCTATTATTTCTTGAGTTTTAAAATTATGAACATTTTCACAGAAATAAGGTTGTATCATATTATTGTTTTAATTTGTTTTTCCTTGACAATTAGTAATGTTGAGCAATTTTTGTATGCTTGTTGACCATTGGTATATATTCTTTTGAAATTTTCTATTCATGTTCTTTGTCAGCTTTTTAATGGGACTATTTGTTTTTTCTTTTTTTTTTTTTTTTGTTTTTTTGTTTCTTTTGAGAGAGAGTCTAACTCTCTATCAGACTGACTGGAGTGCAGTGGTGCGATCTTGGCTCCCTGAAACCTCCACCTCCCTGGTTCATGTCATTCTCCTTCCTCAGCCTCCCAGTTAGCTGAGACTACAGTAGGTGCCAGCCACGCTGCCTGGCTAATTTTTTGTATTCTTAGTAGGGACGAGGTTTCACTGTGTTTGCCAGGATGGTCTCAATCTCCTGACCTCGTGATACACCAGCCTCAGCCTCCCAAAGTGCTGGGATTACAGGCATGAGCCACCATGCCCGGCCTTGTTTTATTCTTGATGACTTATTTGGGTTACTGTTAGATTCTCAATATTAGTTCTTTGTTGAATGCATAGTTTGCAAAAATTTTCTTCCATTCTGTGGATTGTCTGTTCACTTTGCTTATTATTTCTTTACCTGTACAGAAGCTTTTCAGTTTAAGTTTCCTCTGTTATATTTGATTTTATTGCCTTTTCTTTTGGGTTTTTGGTCATGAACTCTTTGCCGAAGCCAATGTCTAGAATAGATTTTACCATGTTATCTTCTAGAATTTTCATGATTTCCAGCCATAGATTTAAGTCTTTGATCCATCTTGAGTCTATTTTTGCATAAAGTGAGAGATGAAGATCCAGATTTACTTTTTTTACATTTGGCTTGCCAATTATTTAAGCACCATTGGTTAAATAAAGTTTCCCTTTTTCCTTTTATGTTTTTGTTTGCTTTGTCAAAAATCAGTTGGTTGTATGTATTTGTCTTGATTTCTGGGTTCTGTGTTTTCTTTCACTGGTTTATATTCCTGTTTTAATAAGAGTACCATGCTGTTTTGGTGTCTATAGTGCTGTAGTATAGTTTGAAATCAGGTAATGTGATTCCTCCCCATATGTTCTTTTTTATTAGTCTTGCTTTATTTATGAAGGCTCATTTTGAATTTTATGAGAGTTTTAGCATTGA
This sequence comes from Homo sapiens, assembly GCF_000001405.40. Taxonomy (NCBI): domain Eukaryota; kingdom Metazoa; phylum Chordata; class Mammalia; order Primates; family Hominidae; genus Homo; species Homo sapiens. Next base: position 19,341,882 of record NC_000024.10, read on the forward strand.
TTTTTGTCTTGTTCTGTGAAGAGTGATGATGGTATTTTGATGGAAATTGCATTGAATTTGTGGAATGCTTTTGGCAATATTATCAGTTTCACAATATTAATTCTACTTAACAATGAGTATGGGTTGTGTTTTCATTTGTTTCATCATTGATGATCTTTCAGGAATACTTTGTTGTTTTCCTTCCAGAGGACTTTCACCTCCTTGGTTAGGTATATTCAGGAATTGTATTTTTTTTTTTTTTTTTTTGGCAGCTATTGTAAAAGGAGTTGAGATTTTGATTTGATTCTCAGCTTTGTTGTTTTTACTGTGTAGCAGTTCTACTGATTTGTGTACTTTGATATTATGTCATGAGACATTACCAAATTTGTATATCAGAAGTAGGAGTTTTTTAGATGAGCCTTTAGTGTTTTCTAGGTATATGATTATATCATCAATGAACAGCAATAGTTTGAGTTTTTCTTTTTTAATTAGGATGCCCTTTATATATATTTTTTCTTTTGGTCTGATTGCTCTGACTAGGACTTCTAGTACTATGCTGAATAGAAGGAATAAAACTGGACATTTCTGCCTTTGTCTTATTCCAGTTGTCAGGGATACAGCTTTAAACTTTTCTTCATTCAGTAAACTGTTGTCAGAGGATTTTTCATAATTTTTTTAAGTTACCTTAGAGTATGTCCCTTGTATGCCAATTTTCCTAATGGTTTTAATAATAAAGCATGCTGGATTCTGTCAAATGATTTTTCTGCATCTATTGAGGCAATAATGTAATTTTTGTTTTAAATTCTGCTTAGGTGGTGTATCACATTTGTTGACTTCTGTGTGTTAAACCATCTCTGCATCCCTGGTATAAAACCATTTTTTCAAGATGTAGTAGCATTTTGATATGCTATAACATTTGGTGAGCAAGTGATTTTGTTGAGAATTTTTGCATCTATTTTTATCAAAGATACTGTCTGTAGCGTTTTTGTTATATTATACCTTTGTTTGGGTATTAGAGTAATAGTGGCTTCATAGAATGATTTAGGAAACATTTCCTTGTTCTTTACCTTTTATATTAGTTTCAGTAGAATTGGTCTTAATTCTTTCTTGAATGGCTGATTGATTTCGCCTGTGAATCCATCTGGTCTTGGACTTATTTTTTTGTTAGCAATTTTTATTTACCATTTTAGTTTCACTTCCTGTTATTGATCTATTTAGAGTTTCTATTTCTTCCTTAGTTAATCTAGCAGGGTAATATATTTATGAGAATTTATACATCTCCTCTAGCTTTTCTAGTTTGTGCACTTAAGTGTTTACAGTAGCCTTGAATGATATGTTGAATTTCTGTGACATCAATTGTATGTCTCTCATTTTGTTTCCAATTGAACTTCTTTGGAATTTCTTTTTTCTTTACAGGGTTAATCTTGTTAATAATTTATTAATTTTGTTTATCTTTAAAAAACAGCCTCGTGTTTTATTTATCCCTTGTATTATATTGTTTTAATTTATTTTGTTTATGCTCTGATCTTTGCTATTATTTACTCTTTTGCTGGATTTAGATTTGATTTCTTTTTATTTCTCTAGTTTCTTAAGGTGTGACTATAGATGGTTTATTTGTGCTTTTTCAAACTTCTTGATGTAGGCACTAAATGCTATATACCTTCCTCTTTGCACTCCCCTTTTTTTTTGTATCCAAGAGATTTTGATCACTTTTATCATAATTATTATTGAGTTTAATGAATTTTTAAATTTATCTCTTGATTTTATTGTTGACACAAAGATTACTCAGAAGCAGATTATTTAATTTCTATATCTTTGCATACCTTTGAGGGTTTTTTTTTTTTTAATGGAGTCTCACTCTATAGCCCAAGCTGTAGTTCAGTGGCATAATATAGGTTCACTGAAACCTCCAGCCCCCAGGCCCAAGTGATTCTTGTGCCTGAACTTCCTAAACAACTGGAACTACAGGCACACACCACCATGCCCGGCAATGTTTTTGAATTTTAGTGGAGACAGGGTTTCACCGTGTTGCCCAGGGTGCTCTCAAACTCCTGAGCTCAGGTGATCCACCCACCTCAGCCTCCCAAAATACTGGAATTATAGGTGTGAGCCGCTGTGCCCAGCTTGAAGATTATTTTTGATATTGATTTTCCATTTCATTTGGCTGTTGTCTGAGAGGGTATTTGATATAATATTGATTTTCTTAAATTTATTGAGACTTGTTTTGTGGCCTATCATACTGTCTGTCCTACAGAATGGTATATGTACTAATATGTATTCTAAACCTTCTGGGTACAATGCTCAGTAAATATCTTTTCAGTCCAATTGTTGATGGGTATAATTTAAATTAATTGTTTCTTTGTTGACTTTCTTTCTTGATGGCTTATCTAGCACTGTCCATGGAGTCTGGAACACTCTCATTGTGTTGCCATCTGTCTCATTTCTTCGGCCTAGTAATTATTTTTTATACATCTGGAAGCTCCAATGTTAGGTGCATATATATTTAGCATTGTGATATTTTCCTGTTGGGCTAGTCTTCTTATCGTTATAAATGTTCCTGTTTATCTTTTTAAACTGTTGTTCCTCTAAAATTTGTTTTGTCTTATATAATAGTGATTCCTGCTGAATTTGGAGTCCATTTGCATGCAATATCATTTTCCACACTTTTACCTCAATTATATGTGAGTCCTTATGTGTTAAGTAAGACTATTGAAGACAGCATATGATGCATGAATTCTTACTTATTCTGTCATTCTGTGTCCTTTAAAGTGTAGCATTTAGTCCATTTACATTAAGTGTTATTATTGAGATGTCAGGTACTATTCTATTCATTGTGTTAGTTATTGCCTGAATACTTCGTTTTATTTTTCCATTGTGGTATTTTTTTAAAGGCTGTGTGCAATTTGCTTTAAGAAGTTTCTATTTTGGTCTCTTGCAAGATTTTCCTTCAAGATTTATAATTCCTTTCAACAGTTTTTGTAGTCCTGGCTGGGTAGTGGCAAATTCTCTCAGCATTTGTTTGTCTAAAGAATACTATATATCTTCTTCATTTATAAAGCTTTTACTGCATGTGAAATTCTTGCTGATAATTATTTTGTTCAGTGACACTAAAGATGGAACCCCAATCCATTCTAGCTGGTAGGTTGTTTTCTGATAAATCTGTTGTTAATCTCACAGGTTTTCCTTGATAAGTTACCTGATGCTATTGCCTGACAGCTTTCAAGATTCTTTTATTTTTCTTGACTTTCTCTAGTGCAGGTATCATGAAAGTAAAGTGGGCTTTCTGAGAGTACTTTGATGTAGTTTCATGTAGTGTGCTGATTTTCTCAAATGCTTGTTAGGCTAGCAATAAAGTTGTCATATGGACAGATCCAGAATTTCTTGTTAGCCAAAAGGTCACAAGTGGTGAAATTAGCTGATATTTTATCTTTCACTGAAGCAGGAATGCTTTGTTATGAGTTGCTGTAATGGCTTCAGTTGGGCTGACCTCTAGCCAGTGGGTGGCAGTTTAAAGACAGCATCCACTGTGGTAGTATAGAAAAAAACTCTCAGATTAACACATGCATGCCCTAAGATCGTCCAGATAAGTATTTGGGTTTCTCAGCTGATGAGTGGGGCATAGAGCTTCCACAAGCCTTTGACTACTAGATTGGGTAGAGAAAGACCATCAGGTTAAATATGTTTGAGCTGACTGTCCTTGTGCAGCTTACCATAGCCAGTGTCAGGTTTGTGGTGTAGTTCTCAGGCCAATAGATTTATGTTCCATGTGGGATTCTTGCATCCTCTGCTGCTTTTTACAGGTCACCAGGAAATGGGGGGAAAACCTGCACTGACTATCTTCATTCAGCTTCCAATTACTCAGAAAGGCCAGTCTCATTTCTACTGTGCTCCTCTAACATCCAAAAGAGCTGAATTTATTTCAAGACCTTTTAGTGTCCAGGGCTGAGATCTTGCCTTAGGCTACAATCCTCTGCACTGAGAAAACAAGCAGCTCTTTCAGGCTTCACTCTCCATGTCTGCTGCAACATCTAAGTTTGTGTCTGCACTTACTCTTCACTCAATCACTCCCCAATACTGCTTAGAAATATCCACAGTCAGTTGATATTATTACAAAATTCAGCTGGAAATCTTCTGTGAGCCTTCCTCAATTTCATGGGCTGACCTCCCACTGGCCTTTGTGAGACAGTCAGAAATGACTTTCCTGTGCTTCTCTGGTGACCAGGAGAGCACACAGAGTTCTTTCCACTGCTTCTTCTACTTTTATATTTCCCTCAGCTCTCTAAAATTATTTCAGCTCTAGGTAAGGTTAAATTACTTTTTCATTATCTTTAAGGTTCTCCAGTGAGTACTTGTGTTCAGAGGTGAGTTTTCCTTTTCACATTTTCAGCACTCACATTTTTTTGGCTGCCTGATGGAATTTAGTGTAGAAAGCCACTTCTTTTAAAGAAAATGTAAATTCTTTCAGTTTTCCTGATATGTTCCTGTGGTGATTCTTGATGCAAAATTCACAATGTGAGTCCCCACATACATTTTTGTCCCTGCAAGCTGATAAAATATCCTCCATCTGCCATTTTTTTATCATGTTTAAGCCTTAAATTAATCTTGCATTAATTTTTATATGGAAATAGGGAAAAGTGTAGTTTCAATATTCTGCATATGGCTAGCTAGTTATTTCAGCACCATTTATTGACAAAAAGTACTTTTTTCATTGCTTGTTATAGTTTTTTTTGTTAAATATCAAATTGTTATAGTTTATTACTATGCTTCCTAACTTGTTTTACTGGTTTACGTGTCAAGTTTTTACCAGTATCTTGCTGTTTTAGTTACTGTAGCTTTGCAATACAGTTTAAAGCCAGGTATTGTGATGCCTCAGATTTTGTGCTTTCTTTATAATTTGTTTGAATTTTAGGCTCTGTTTGATTCTAAATAAATTTTAAAATTGTTTTAAATACTGTGAAATTGCTTCAATTTCTGTAAAAATTATCATTGATGGTTTGATATAAATAACATTACATCTATAAATTGCTTTAGCCATTATAGCAATATTGAATAATTCTATCTAATAAAATAAAATATTTCTCATTTTTTGTGTCTTCTCTAACGTATTTCAGCATTATTTTTTAGTTGACATTGTAGAGATCTTTTAACTCCTTGGTTAGCTGTATTCACAGGGTTTTTTTGTGGCTATTAGGAATGAGATTGTGTTTTGCCTTGGCTCTTAGCTTGGGCACCACACATATATAAAATTCTAATAATTTTTATACTTATATTTTTTATCTTGAAAATTTGCTGAAGTTGTTTACCAGATTGAGCAACTTTTGAGTAAAAATTATAAGGTGTTCTTTTTATTGTGTGATACTGCCTGTGAAGAGAAATTGTTTAATTTTCACTCTTTCTATTTAGATGTCATTTTATTTATTTCTTTAGCCTGAGTGCTCTGGTTAGTTTGTCCGGTACTATGTTACAAAAAAGTGGTGAAAATTGGCATTTTTGCTTAGCTCTAATTACCTAGGAGAATATTTCTAGCTTTTGCCTATTTAGTGTAATGTTGGCCATGAGTTTGTGTAGGTGGTTCTTATCATATTGAGAGGTAACCCTGCAATGCCTAGTTTGCAAAGTGTTTGTAACAGAGAGATAATGAGTTTTACAAATGTATTTTTTCATTTATTAAAATGATAATGTGGTTTTGTTTTTAGGTATTTTTCTGTGGTTAATCATATTTATTGATTTGGATATGTTAAAGAATTCTTGAATTTCAGAAGCAAACCCTTCTTGATCAAGGTGGATTAACTTTCTGTTGTGTCACTAAATTCAGTTTGCTGGTGTTTTCTTTAGAAATTTTGTATTTGTGCTCATCAAAAATATTGGCATAAATTTTTTATTGTTGTAGTTTCTCTTCCAGGCTTTGGTATCAAAACATTAGTGTCCTTATACAATGAGTTAGAAAGGAGTCTCTCTTGATCTGTTTGAAATAACTTAAGTACAAATTAGAGAAGTTTTTTTCATATTAAGCAGAATTCAGATGTAAATCCACCAGTTCCAGATATTTTTTAGTTTATAAATTTTTAACTGATTATTTAACTCTGAAACTTATTATTTATCTGTTCTGGGCTACAGTTTATTTCTGACTATATCTGAAAGTTTGTACGCTTTCAGAAATTCATTTATTTTAGATTTTCTCGCTTGTGTGCATAGAAATGTTCATATGAGTCTCTAAGTTTTTTTAACTTATTTTTTATTTCTACGGGGTTAGTAATAACATTAAGTTTTCGATTTCTGATTGTGCTATTTAAAGATGTTCTCTACTTTGTATTAGTCACACAAGTAGTCAATTTTATTTGTTCTTTAAAAAAGACGTTTAATTTTTTTAATTATTACATTGTTTTTCTCATCTCCATTTTGTTAACTTCAACTCTGATTTGTTTTGTTTTGTTTTCTCTTTTGTTGTCTTACTTTTTTTTTTTTTAGATGTAATATTATAGTGTTCGTTTTAAATCTTCTTAAGTTGGTAATATGGGTGTTTAGTGCTACAAATATTTACCTTAACACCGCTTTAGCTAGGTCACAGAGATTTTTACGTGTTATATATTTATTAGTATTAATTTCAGGGAATTTTTTGACTACTGCCTAACTTTATTGTTTCCTAAATGTTATTTAAAAATGTATTATTTAATTTATATTTCATTATATGATTTTGAGTGATTTTATCATATTAATTTTTATTCATAGTAAGTTTTGGTCTGAGGGTGTGATTGGTAACCAAAAGTATGGACAAAATTGATGAGAATTATGCTAAATGAAATAATCAAACACCAGAAAGACAAATACTGCATGAACTTACTGACATATAGAAATAAGACAATTGATGTATAAAAATAAAAACAATTGAACGCATAAAATTAGGGAATTGAATAATGGTTACCATAGGTTAGGGGTGGGAAAAAAATAGAAGGCCAATTAAGAGATGCAAAACCTCAGTTAGAGAATTAAACACTTCAGATACTTTATTATCATTATTATTATTATTTTGAAATCTGTTTGACCATGTGAAGAATACAGCTGTGAATTTAGTGATATCTTCTTAAATATAGTTAACAAAGTGTATCTTAAATATTTTTATCACAAAATACATCATTTGCAAAAATTTCTTCAGTAATACCCCAGAATCACAGGAAAGCATGTCAAAAAGGGACAAATAAAATTATGTCAAGTAAAAAGAAAACTTCTGCAAAGCAAAATAAACAATTAAGAAAATAAAGAGACCCACAACATGGAATAAAATATTTTCAAACTATCCATCTTACAAAAATTAATAGCTGAAATATATAAGGATCTGAACAATGTAATGAAAAATAATCTAATAATCAAATTAAAATAGCCAATACAGATATATGTACCAATGGAACAGAACAGAGGCCACAGAAATAACACCACACATCTACAACCATCTGATCTTTGACAAACCTGACAAAAACAAGCAATGTGGAAAGGATACCCTATTTAATAAATGGCATTGGGAAAACTGTCTAGCCATATGGAAAAAACTGAAACTGGACCACTTCCTTAAACATTATACAAAAATTAACTCAAGATGGATTAAAGATTTAATGTAAAACCCAAAACCACAAAAATCCTAGGCAATACCATTCAGGACATAGGCATGGGCAAAGACTTCATGACTAAAACACCAAAAGCAATGGCAACGGAAGCCAAAATTGTCAAATGGAACCTAATTGAACTAAAGAGCTTCTGCACAGCAAAAGAAACTATCATCAAAGTGAACAGGCAACCTACAGAATGGGAGAAAATTTTTGCAAACTACCCATCTGACAAAAAGGTCTAATATCTAAAATCTATAAGGAACTTAAAAAAAATTTACAAGAAAAAAAACAACCCTATCAAAAAGTGGATGATGGATATGAAAAGACACTTTTCAAAGAAGATATTTATGCAGCCAACAAACATATGAAAAAAGCTTATTATCACTGGTCATTAGAAAAATGAAAATCAAAACCTCTATCAGATATCATCTCCCACCAGTTAGAATGGTGATCATTAAAAAGTCAGGAAAGAATAGATTCTGGAGAGGATGTGGAGAATGTATTTACACTGTTGGTGGGAGTGTAAATTAGTTCAATCATTGTAGAATACAATGTGGCAATTCCTCAAGGAATGAGAACTAGAAATACCATTTGACCTAGCAATCTCATTACTGGGTATATACCCAAAGGATTATAAATTATTCTACTATAAAGACACATGCACACGTATGTTTGTTGTGGCACTGTTCACAATAGCAAAGACTTGGAACCAACCCAAATGCTTATCAATGATAAACTGAATAAAGAAAATGTGGCACATATGCACCATAGAATACAATGCAGCCATAAAAAAGGATGGGCTCATGTCCTTTGTAAGGACATGGATGAAGCTGGAAACCATCATTCTCAGCAAACTAACACAACAAAAGAAAACCAAGCACCTTATGTTCTCACTCGTAAGTGGGAGTTGAACAATGAAAACACATGCACACAGAGAGGGGAACATCACTCACTGGTGACTCTCAGGGGCTTGTGGGATAGGGGAGGGATAGCATTAGGAGAAATAACCAATGTAGATGATGGGTTGATGGGTGCAGAACACCACCATGTCATTTTTATACCTGTGTAACAAAACTGTATGTTCTGCATGTGTACCACAGAACTTAAAGTTTATATTTTTTAAAACAAGTATGTATTGTTTTAAAAAAAGTATATATTACATAAATTATATATTTTTTTAAAAAATAGAATAAAACTGAGGTTTTATGTAGAAGAAAAAACTCTACCTCAGGTCTGTAATAGAGAAAATCTGCCCTAGTTTCCAGCCTCTCATTATAGATTTTGGATCATATAAGCCAATTTCTTAACCTCTTTTTCTCTCTCTCTCTCATAACACTCATCCATAGGAGCAAGAGAAAGAGATAAATAAGTCCTATCATTTCTTTTTCTCTGGAGAAATGATTGAGGCAGGAGATATGTTATTTTCCTTTGAAGCTTTTTGTTGTTTCATGCCATAAATTAAAAATCAGATTAAATTTTAAAACTAAAAAACTAGGCAATATATCTCAATAGACTTTTTTTGTAAAAAGCTAAGACATACAAAGGGCAAACACTTATGTGAATATGTGCTGTATTCAAACTGCAATGAGATATCTGAGATATCATATTATCCCAGTTAAAATTACTTATATCCAAAGAGAGGAAATAATAATGCTATTAAGGATGTGTAGGAAAGAAAACGTGCATGCTTTTTGCAGATATGTGAATTAACAAAGCCACTATGAAGAACAGTTATGAATGTTTCTCAAAAACAAAAAAATAGACCAGTATATGATACAGCAATCTCACTGCTATGCATATATCAAAAGGAAATAAAATTGATATATTGAAAAACTGTCTAAACTTCTTTGTTTACTAAAGCACTACTCAAAATAACAAGCACTTGAAATCAATCTAAATATCTGTAAATATATGAATGAAGAAAATATGTTACATAGGCACAATACAATATTATTTACCCATACAAGATAATGTGATACTGTTATAGGCAACAATATGGTTAGAACTAAAGGACATTTTAGTGTTTGTGATTTTACTGTGTTTTCCATTTATTTATTTTTATGTTTTAATTTTTAACTTCTAATTCTTTAACTTTTACATTGAGTTAAGGAGTACTTGTGCAGATTTCTTATGCAGGTAAACTGAGTGTTTTGAGGGTGCCATGTATAGATTATTTTATGAACCAGGTAATAAGCCTAGTGAGAGGAGAAGCCAGCTGGACTTCCTGGGTCGAGTGGGGACTTGGAGAACTTTTCTGTCCAGCTAAAGGATTGTAAATGCACCAATCAGTAATCTGTAAAAATGCAACAATCAGCAGAATGTGTCTAGCTAAAGGATTGTAAATGCACCAATTAGCACTCTGCAAAAACACACCAATCAGCACTTTCTGTCTAGCTAAAGGATTGTAAACACACCAATCGGCACTCTATACAATGGACCAATCAGCACTCTGTAAAATGGACCAATAAAAGCTCTCTAAACTGGACCAATCAGTAGGACATAGGCAAGGCCAAATAAGGGAATAAAAGCTGCCCACCCAACCTGAGCCAGCAGTGACAACCTGCTGAGGTACCCTTCCTCTCTGTGGAAGCTTTGCTCTTCACAATAAATCCTGCTGCTGCTCACTCTTTGGGTCCACACTACCTTTATGAGCTGTAACACTCACCACAGGGGTCTGCGGCATCATTCCTGAAGTCAGCAAGACCACGAACCCACTGGGAGGAACAAACAATTCTGGACTAACCTCCTCTAAGGGCCTTAACACCCGCTGTGAAGGTCTGCAGCTTCACTCCTGAAGTCAGTGAGACCACAAACCCACTGGAAGAAAGAAACTCCGGACACATCTGAACATCCAAAGGAACAAACTCCGCATACAGCATCTTTAAGAGCTGTAACACTTACTGTTAGGGTCCATGGATTCATTCTTGAAGTTAGTGAGACCAAGAACCCACTGGAAGGAACCAATTCCGGACACAATAGCACTCTATAAGTACTTTTCCTGGTCCTGTTTCCACACCTGTCTAATAGATCCAGTGTCTGTAGTTTCTTTTTCTTTATGTTCTAGTTGTTTATCTCCTATTTATAGATGAGAATATGTATTTATGTGTTTAGCTCCGATTTACAGGTGAGAACATACGTTCTGGTTGTTCAGCTCTTATTTATAGGTGAGAATATGTAATATCTTGTTTTCTGGGGTTTTTTTGGTCAGTTTGTTTAGAAGAATGGCCTCCAGTACAATTCATGTGGTTGAAAAGAATGTAATCTCATTTTCATATGGCTGTAATTACTCTATGGTGTATATTACCACATTTTCTTTGTTTAGTCCACCATTGATGAATATTTTGGTTAATTCCATGTCTTTGATATTGTAAACATACATGTAGATGTGTATTTATGATAGAATAATTTATATTTCTTTAGATGTGTATTGAACAATGGGATTAGTGAGTTGCACAATTGTTTCAAGTTCTCACAGGACTCACCAAAGTGGTATCCACAAGGGTTGACCTAATTTAAATTTCCACCAACAGTATATAATGTTCTCTTTTGTCCAGTCATCACCAACAAGATATTATTTGACTTTGATAATAGCCATTCTATCTGTTGTGAGATGGTATCTCATTGTGGTTTTGATTTTCATTCTCTAACATTTAGTGTCGTTGATAATTTTCTTATATGCTTGATGGCCACATATACATCTTGTTTAAAAAATATGTATTCATGTTATTTGCCACCTTTTCCTGAAGTTCTTTGTTTTTGACTTGTAATTTTAAATTATATTTATATTCTAAATATTAGACTTTTGTCAAACGCATAGTTTTCAAGTATATTTTCTCATTTTAAAAATTTTTATTTATCCTGTTCATAGTATATTTTACTATACATAAACTTTTTAGTTTAACTAGAATTTATTTGTCAACTTTTAGTTTTGTTGCAGTTGTTTTTGGCATCATTGTTCTAAAATCTCTTCCATGTCCTAATCAGAACACCACCTCCCAGGTTATCTTCCAGATTTTTTAGAGTTTCAGGTTTTACCTTAAGGCTTTCAAATGCTTTAAGCTAATTTTTGTTTGATATAAGAAGGGGATCAGTTTCAATCTTCTGCATATGACTAACCAGTTATCTTAGTGTTATGGTCTCACCAATGCATCAAGATGCAACATTCTATCACTGTCTGAGATAATACCTGGAGCTTTTTGTCACATGTCCAAGGTGATAAAGAAGCACGAACACGGCCGGGCGCGGTGGCTCACGCCTGTAATCCCAGCACTTTGGGAGGCCGAGGCGGGCGGATCACGAGGTCAGGAGATCGAGGCCATCCCGGCTAAAACGGTGAAACCCCGTCTCTACTAAAAATACAAAAAAATTAGCCGGGCGTAGTGGCGGGCGCCTGTAGTCCCAGCTACTTGGGAGGCTGAGGCAGGAGAATGACGTGAACCCGGGAGGCGGAGCTTGCAGTGAGCCGAGATCCCGCCACTGCACTCCAGCCTGGGCGACAGAGCGAGACTCCGTCTCAAAAAAAAAAAAAAAAAAAAAAAAAAAAGAAGCACGAACACAAGAGTGAGGTTGGAATTAAAAATTTAATAAGACAAAGAAGAAAGCTCTTCATCAACAGAAAGGGGGACCTGAAAAGATTGGCTCCTATGAGACCAGTTCTGGCGGTTTTATAGACTGGAATGGGAAAAAATGTGCTGAGTCTGTGAGCTGTTCTGAAAAACTTGTGACTATGCGTGGCCTGGGACCTTGGACTGGGACCTACAAGGGGCTAATGTGATGATTCATAGAGGCTGCTTAGGTTGGACCCGGCCTATCAGGAGCAGAAGTAAAAGCTTGGCCTGGTATGTTGGCACAGGACTAATAAGAGACTGATTATTTGTCTCTGAATGATGATTCAGAGACTGATTATTTGTCTCTGAATGATGATTCAGAGACTGATTATTTGTCTTGGCCAAAACCCAAGAAAGCAGTCATTAAACCTTAAAAATCCAAAGCAATTTTATTTGACTTTATGTCTGACATCTAGGAAAAACTGGTGAACAAGGTAAGCTCCAAAGGCCTTGGGCAGCTTCTTCCCTTTGTCTTTGCAGGATTCAGAATTGGGTTACCTTGAGCTTATTTTATGGGTTTTAGTTGAGTGTCTGCAGCTTTTTAAGTCTCAGGGGCAAGTTGCCAGTGCATCTACCACTTTGGGGTTTGCAGGATGATGGCCCTCTTCCCACAGCTCCACCAGGAAAGGCCCCAGTAAGGACTATGTATAGGATTTCCAGCCCCACATTTCCCCATGGTACAGGACTAGTAGAGTATCTCTGTGGGGCCTCCAACCTGCACCAGTCTTCAGCGTAAGGCCCAGGATTTCCAGTACATCCCTTGAAATTTGGTAGTATCTGTCATGCCTTCTTTATTTTAGCACTCTGCACACCCGCAGCCTTAGATGTAAATGGAGTTCACCAAGTCTTATGGTTTGCACCTTCCTAAGCAGTGGTCTGAGCTATAAGTGGAGCCCCTGAGCCAAGACTGGAGCAAGAGTAATCTAGATGCAGGAAGCAGTGTCCTGAAGTTGCACAGACCTGCCTGTCCCTGAGTCTGGCTACTGAAAGCATTCTTTTTTCTAAAGACTTTGGGGCTTTTAAGGGAGGGCCTGCAGAAAATATTCTTGAAAGGCTTTCAAGATCTTTTGTCCATTGTCTCTACTACTAGAAGTTGACTTTATTTTACTTATGCTAACATCTCTATCAAGTGGTTTCTCCACAGCCTCCTCCCAATAATGCTATTTTATTTTCTATGCCATATGACTAGGCTGCAAATTTTCCAAAATTTTACACTCTCCTTTTGCTTAAAAAATATAGCTTTCACCTTTAAACCATTGCTTTGCTCTTACATTTAAACATAGACTGTTAGAAGCCACTATTTTTCCTCTCAGATGTTTTGCTGTTTAAGAATTTCTTCTAGGAGATACCTTGAATCATAACTATTAAGTTTACATTTTCACAGATGGCTAGGGCATAAAAATAATGCAGCCAAGTTTCTTGCTAGAATATAACGTGTGCAACCTTCTTCCAATCTCTAATAAGTTCCTCATTTTCACCAGATACCTTATAAACCTGGACTTCACTGTCATCACTGTCAGCATTTTGGTCACAACCACTTAGTCTCTAAGAAGTTCCAAACCTTGACTTATCTTTCTGCCTTTCTGAACTCTCTTACCTCTTCCAACTCCAACCTATTATCCAGTTCTAAAGCTACTTTGACATTATCAGGTACCTTTATAGCAAATTCGTACTCCTTTGTACAAATTTTTTGTATTAGGCTGTTCTTGTATTACTATAAAGAAATAACTAACACCGGGTAATTTTTTTAAAGGGAGGATTTTTTAGCTTAGTGTTCTACAGGCCATACAGAGAGCATGCCACTACCACTTGCTCACCTTCTGAGGAGGCCTCAGAGAGCTTTTACTCATGGCAGAAGGTAAACTGAGAGCAGGCACATCATATGGCAAGAGCAAAACTAAGAGAGGGGAGATTCTACACACTTTTAAACAATTATATTTTACAATAACTCTCCTTCTCTCACAAGGATAACACCAAGCCATGAGAGATTTATTCTCCTTAATCAGAAGACTTCACACTAGGACCCACCTATGGCACTGGAGATTACATTTTATAATAACATAAGATTTGGTAGGAACACAGACACAAAACTTATCAACTACATAAATAAAGTGAATACAAAATCAAGAATGTAACACTATGTATACTTGCTACCAAAAAAATAAAAACCACTTGGGAAACCACTTAGCAAAGAATTCAAAATATCTGTGTGAGAAATAATACAAAATACTAATAAAAATATAATAGATGACACAAACAAATAAAAACATTACTTATTCTCAAAATTGGAAAAGTCAATATCTATGATGATCCTATTGCCTAAAGCAATTTTACAGATTTACTAAAATTTTCATTAAAATGCCAGAGATATTGTTCAATAATTTAGAAAAATAATCCAAAATTTAGATGGAACACAAAAGTAGCCTGAATAGCCAAAGTAGTCCTAACCAAAAACAACAAAGAATTACATTACCTGACTTCAAAACTATATTATTAGACTACAGGAGCAAAAAGAATATAGGACTGGCATAAAAATAAACACATATACCAATGGAAAAGAGAAGAAAAAACAGAAATAACGCCACATATTTATTATCAACTGAACTTTAACAAAGTCAAGAAGAACATGCTTTACAGCAATTGGTGCTGAGAAAACTGGATAGTCTTCTATAGAGTAATAAAACCAGACTTCTATCCCTCACCATATAAAAAATCAAATAAAGATGATTTAAAACATAAGTGTAATGCTTGCACCTATAAACTAGTTAAAGGACCCTTAGTAAAGAGATCTGGAGTTTGGTCTAGTCAAAGAATTTATGACTAACACCTCAAAACCACAGGTAAAAGTAAATAAATAAATATATCAAACTGAAACTGAGAAAAGCTTCTTCACAGAAAATAAATAGTGAAACTCTGAGTGAGAAGATGACTCACAGAGTGAGAAAAATTGTTTGCAAATTTTGCATCCAAAAATACACAATATTGAGAAGCTACAATGAATTCAAACAAGTAAAAACAAATAATTTACTTAAAACATGGATATAAATAGATATTTTTAGAAATACATAAATATGAAAAACTATGTTTTAAAAATGTTCAGCATCTCTAATTATCAAAGAAGCACAAATCAGAAAAAAAAATACCATCTTACCCTACTCAGAGTGGCTCTTATTTAGAAGATAGCAGGAGTTAAAATGACCTAGATATAGCCAGGAAGAAATATCCCCCACTGAGGGATCAGGCCATCAAAAAACAAGGACTCTCCAACAGAAAGTCTACACTCTCTCTTCACTCTCATTGCCTTTATTCCAAAGACTAGCAGAAAAACAATGAGTATGGACAGAGAGGCAATGCAGACTTCAGGCTAAAAAAGAGGAAGCTAGAAGTGCTTAATGAGACATGTAAGCACCAAGACTCATTCCTGAAACTGAGTGGTTCCTAGGAAATAGGTGACTTAAACAGAAATGGAATTGACCACTGTTTCCGTAGATCTCATAGAATCCTAGCTACAAGAAACTTCCATGACACACATCAACATTTGAGCTAGTAGAAAAGTCTTGGGAAGATCTCAGAAACAGGACTCCAGTCTATGCAGAGCCAAAACAGTGGCATGGGAAAGGCCAGTGAAGCACATCCAGGAAAGCCCAACCTTTATGGCTTACCATGCTCCTCTAGGTAGTTTTAGTTTTTGTTGATGGTCAGAACTGGAAAATCAGGGCTGTCTTGCCATGCAGTGTTGCAAGTCTAATGTAAATGCATGGCTATGATCACTCTCAGCACAAACACAGATGCCCAACTGGGGCTCAAATCATAATTTCTTTACTGGCACAGTTTAACTAACAATTAGAGAGCTTCTGCAGATGAACCCAACAGCATGAACCCACTTGCAGCCCCTTCCTAACACCTTGTCAGCACACAAAGCCAATAGACTTTGCCAACTGTTGTGCTGGAATTTAAACATACCGAGATGTCACTACCACCCTCCTTGTCCTAGCCAGTACACATACCAATGAACCCCACCACAAGCCATTTTTGAAACAGAAATTAACAAATAACAGTACACTTCAGAGAACTAGAAAAGAAAAGTGTAAGCCAAACCCAAATATAGCAGAAGAAAAGAAATAACCAAATTCAGGGATGTACTGAATGACATTAAGATGTAAAGAACTATAAAAAGATTAATACAACAAAAATTTGGTAATCTGAAATAATAAGGTAGACATAGCAATTAGGTAGGTAAAGAGGAAGATGATAGATGATTAGAAAGATGATAGATAGATAGATAGATAGATAGATAGATAGATAGATAGATAGATAGATAGAAAAAATCTACATAAACAAAATCACAAATGGAAAAGGGGACATTACCACTTATGCCACCAAAAAAAACCTTTAGAGACTATTCTGAACACCTCTATGCACACAAACTAGAAAACTTAGAAGAAAAAAAGTTTATGCAAACAACCTACTAATATTAAGCAAGAAAGATATTTAAACTCTGAACAGATAAACAATAAGTTTCAAAATTAAATTAATAATAAGAAGCTTACCAACTAGAAAATGTCCTGAACAGATTCAGAGCTAAATTATACCACATGTTTAAAGAAAAGCTGGTATCAGTGCAACTGAAACTATTGCAAATAATTGAATGGGGGGAAATCTCTCTAACTCATTCTATTAGGCCAGCATAGTTCTGATAGCAAAACCTGGTAGAGATGCAATGAAAAATAAAACTTAAGACCAACATTCCTAATGAACATTGGTATAAAATAGTAACAAATTGAATACAGTAGCACGTCAAAAACTAATCCACAATAACCACATAGGCTGCATTTTTGAGATTCAAGGAAGACTCTCCATATGAAAGTCAATAAATATGGTTTATTATGTAAGCAGAATGCAAAACATAAACCACAAGATTATTTCAATGTATGAAAAATGTCTTTCAATAAAAATTGACATCAGTTTTCCTAAAAATCCTAAACAATCTGAGGCATTAAATAAACATAATTTAAAACAATAAAAATTATCTATGAAAAACAAACAGCAAATATTCTAGGTGTGCGAGACCAGCTTGGACCATACATTGATACCCTATATGTATATTTTTTTAAATTATCCAGCCATGGTGGTGTGCACCTGGAGTTCCAGCTACTTGGGAGGCTGAGGTATGAGGATCAATTAAGCCTGGATGTGGAGGATGCCATGAGCTGAGACTGCCCAACTGCACTCCCACCTGAGTGGCAGAGTGAGATTATGTCTGAAGAAAAAAAGGAGATAAAGAACATGTCCTTCAAAAAGGGACATATACACAATGAACAAAGATATTTTCAAATTGCTTAACATCACTATTTAAAAACACAAATTAAAAATCACAATGAGATATGATCTCACACCAGTTAGACAGACTATTGATGAAAAGTGAGAATATAATAAATACTGGACAGGTTATAGAACAAACAGAATGCTTATACACTGCCGATGTAAACAGAAATTACTTCAGCCATTGTGAAGAGCAGTTTAGAGGTTGCAGAAATAAAACACAGCTACCATTCGACCCAGCAATCCCATTACTGTTTATATATCCATGAAATTATAAATTGTTTTATCAGAAAGACACATGCACTTGTATGTTCATCACACTATTCACAATAGCAAAGAAATAAAATCAACTTGATGCCTATAATATGAAACTATATTTTTAAAATATGTAACATTTATACCATGGAATACTATGCAGCCATAAAACTTAAAACATGACATCTGCAGCAACACATACAGACGTGATGATAATTATTTTAAGTGAATTAATGCAAAAACAGCAAACAAAAAACTTCAAGACGTTGCTTATAAGTGAAAGGTGACTAATGAATACATGTCAACATACAAAAGGACGTTAGATACCAGAGCCATCCTTGTGGGTTGAGAATAAAAGGAAACCGAGGATTGAAAAGTACCCATCACCAAGATGAGCGAATAGGAACAGTTCTGGTGTGCAGTTCCCAGCAAGACCAATGCCGAAGGTGGGTGATTTCTGCATTTCCTATTGAAGTACACAGTTCATCCAATTGGGACTGGTTAGACAGTGGGTGCAACACATTGAGGACAAGCAGAAGCAGGTTAGGGCATTGCTTCACCTCAGCAGTGCAAGGAGCTGGGGGG
Source organism: Homo sapiens (assembly GCF_000001405.40). Classification (NCBI taxonomy): domain Eukaryota; kingdom Metazoa; phylum Chordata; class Mammalia; order Primates; family Hominidae; genus Homo; species Homo sapiens. The sequence continues at coordinate 19,360,231 of NC_000024.10, forward strand.
CCTCCCTTCCCCAGCCAAGGGGAGCTGTTAGGGACTGTGTTACTTTGCCCAGATACTACACTTTTCACACTGTTTTTGCAATCCACAGATTGGGAGATTCCCTAGTGTGCCAATACCATCAGGGCCCTGGGTTTTAAGCACAAAACTGAGTGGCTGGGCAGACACTGAGCTAGCTGCAGGAGTTTTTTTCATACCCCAGTGGCACCTGGAATCCCGGCGAGACAAAACCTCACTCCCCTGGAAAGGGGGTTGAAGCAAGGGAGCTAAGTGGTCTGGCTCAGTAGGTCCCACTCCCACAGAGCCCAGCAAGGTGAGAACCACTGGCTTGAAATTTTCACTGCCAGCACAGCAGTCTGAAGTGGACCTGAAATAATCATGCTTGGTGGGGATAGGGATACCCACAATTACTGAGGCTTTAGTAGGTGCTTTTCCCCTACAGTGCTGGAGTCTGGGAGGGGTGGAAGGCATGGAATTCACCATAGTGTGGCAAAATGGCTGTCGTCAGAATGCTTTTCTGTATTCCTCCTCACTGGACAGGGTATCTCTGAAGGAAAGGCAACAGCTCCAATCAGGGGTTACCCATAATCTCCTATCTCTCTGGCACAGAGCACCTGGAGCAGGGGGAAGATATGCATGCAGCTTCAGTGGATTTCATCTCTCCTGCCTGCCAGCTCTGAAGTGAGCAGCTCATCCTGATGCTCCCAGCTGATTCCCCCAGCACAGCGCACTGGCTCTGCTAAGAGACAGACTGCCTCGCTTCAGGGACAGAGAAAAAAAAGAATGAAAAAGAACAATCAAAGCCTCCAAAAAATATGGAACTATGTGAAAAGACCAAACCTAAAACTGACTGGTGTACCTGAAGTGATGGGGAGAATGGAACCAAGTTGGAAAACACACATCAGGATATTATCCAGGAGAACTTCCCCAACCCAGCAAAACAGGCCAACATTCAAATTCAGGAAAGACAGAGAATGCCACTAAGATACTCCTCGAGAAGGGAAACCCCAGGACACACAATCATCAGATATCCCAAGGTCGAAAGAGAGGAAAAATAAATGTTAAGGACAGCCAGAGAGAAAGGTCAGGTTAAATACAAAAGGAAGCCTATTACACTAACAGCCAATCTCTCTACAGAAACCCCACAAGCCAGAAGAAAGTGGGTGCCAATATTCAACATTCTTAAAGAAAACAATTTTCAACCTTGAATTTAATATCCAGCCAAACTAAGCTTCATAAGCCAAGGAGAAACAGATTCATTTCCAGACAAGCAAGTGCTGAGGGATTTTTGTCAGCATCAGGCCTGCCTTACAAGAGCTCCTGAAGGAAGCACTAAATATGGAAAGGAAAAACCAGTACCAGCCACTGCAAAAACACAGCAAAATATAAAGACACAATGAAGAAATTGCATCAACTAATGTGCAAAATAACCAACTAGCATCATGACGACAGAATCAAATTCATAAATAAAAATATTAATCATAAACATAAATGGCAAAATGCTGCAATTAAAAGACACAGACTGGCAAATTGGATAAAGAGTCAAGACCCATCTGTCTGCTATATTCAGGAGATGATTTTCACAAGCAAAGACACACATAGGTTCAAAATAAATGTATGGAGGAATATTTAACACGCAAATGAAAAGCAAAAAAAAAAAAAAAGGCAGGAGTTGCAGTCCTAGTCTCTGATAAAACAGACTTTAAACCAACAAAGATCAAAAAACACAAAGAAGGGCATTACATAATGACAAAAGGATCAGTTCAACAAGAAGAGCTAACTATCCTGAATATGCACACACCTAATGCAAGAGCACCCAGATTTATGAAACAACTTATTAGAGACCTACAAAGAGACTTACACTGCTGCATAATAATGTTGGTAGACTTTAACACTCACTGTCAATATTAGGTCAGCAAGACAGAAAATTAACAAGGATATTCAGGACTTGAACTCAGATCCAGACAAAGTGGGCCTAAAAGATGCTTATAGAACTCTCCACCCCAAACCAACAGAATACACATTCTTCTCAGTGCCACATAGAATGTACTCTAAAATCCACCACATAATTCAGCAAATGCATAAGAATGGAATTAAAAACAAACAGCCTGTCAGACCACTGTGCAATCAAATTAGAATTCAGGATTTAAAAACTCACTCAAAACTGCACAACTACATGAAAACTGAACAACCTGCTCCTGAAGGACTACTGAGTAAATAACAAAATTAAGGCAGAAATAAAGAAGTTATTTTAAACCAATGAGTACTAAGAGACAATGTACCAGAATCTCTGGGACACAACTAAAGCAATGTTAAGAGGGAAAGGTATAGCACTAAATGCCCATATCAGAAAGTGGGAAATAAAGAGAAAAAGAAAGAAGAATCAAATAGACAAAATAAAAAGAGATAAAGGGAACATCACTACTGATCCCACAGAAAAACGAACCACCATCAGAGAATACTATAAAGACCCCTGCGTAGATAAGCAAGAAAATCTATAAGAAATAGATAAATTCCTGGACACATACACCCTCCAAAGGCTAAACCGTGAAGAAGTCAAATTCCTGAATAGACCAATAACAAGTTCTGAAATTGAGGCAGCAATTAATAGTCTTCCAACAAAAAAACCCTAGGATTAGATGGATTCACAGCCGAATTCATCCAGAGATAGAAACAGGAGATGGTACCTTTCCTTCTGTAACTATTCCAAACAATTATAGAAGAGAGACTCCTCCCTATCTCTTATGAGCCCACCATCATTATACAAAAATCTGGCAAAGACACACACAAAAAAGAAAAATTCATGCCAATATACATGATGAACATTGATGTGAAAATCCTCAATAAAATACTGCAAAGTGAACCCAGCAGCACATCAAAAAGCTTATCCACCATGATCAAGTTGGCTTCATCTCTGGGATGCAAGACTTGTTCAGCATACACAAATCATTAAATGTAAGCCATCGCATAAACAGAATCAATGACAAAAACCACATGATTATCCAATAGATGCAGAAAGGCTTTCAGTAAAATTCAACATTGCTTCATGGTAAAACTCTCAATAAACTAGGTATTGATGGAACATATCTCAAAATAATAAGAGCTTTTTATGTCACATCCATAGACAATATCATACTGAATAGACAAAAGCTGGTAGCATTCCCTTTGAAAGCGGGCACAAGACAACGATGCCTTCTCACACCACTCCTATTCAACATAGTGTTGGAAATTCTGTCCAGGGCAATCAGACAAGAGAAAGAAATAAAGGTATTCAAATAGAGAAGAAGTCAAATTGTCTCTGTTTGCAGATGACATAATTGCATATTTAGAAAACTCCATCATCTCAGCCCCAAAACCCTTTAAGCTCATAAGAAACTTCAGCAAATTCTCAGGATACAAAATCAATGTGCAAAAATCACAGTCATTCCTATACACCAGTAATAGACAAGCTGAGAGCCAAATCATGAGTGAATGCCAATTCAGAATTGCTACACAGAGAACAAAATACCTAGGAATAAAACTTACAGGGGATGTAAAGGACCTCTTCAAGAAGAACTATAAACCACTGTTTAAGGAAGTAAGAGAGGACCCAAACAAATCGAAAAACATTCCATGATCATGGATAGGAAGAATCAATATTGTGAAAATGTCCATAGTGCCCAAAGTAATTTATAGATTCAATGCTATTCTTATCAAGCTACCATTGACTTTCTTCAAAGATTTAGATAAAAATAATTTAAATTTCATGTGGAACCAAAAAAAAGAGCTCATATAGTCAAGATAATCCTAAGCAAATGAACAAAGCTGGAGTCATCATTCTACTTAACTTCAAACTACACTACAAGGCTACAGTATCTAAAACAGCATGGTGCTGGCACCAAAACAGATATACAGACCAATGGAACAGAACAGAGGCCAGAAATACCACCACACATCTACAACCATCTGATATTTAACAAACCTGACAAAAACATTCAATGGGGAAGTATTCATTATTTAATAAATGTTGCTGCAAAACTATGTGGAGAAAACAGAAACTGGGCAGTTCCTTACACCTCATATAAAAATTAACTCTAGATGCATTAAGGATTTAAATGTAAAACCTAAAACTATAAAAACGCTAGAAGAAAACCTAGGCAATGCCATTCAGGACATAGGCATGAGCAAAGACTCATGATGAAAACACCAAAAGCAATGGCAACAAAAGCCAAAATTGACAAATCATATCAAATCAAACTCAAGAGCTTCTACACAACAAAATAAACTAGCATCGGAGTGAACAGGCAACCTACAGAATAGGAGAAAAATTTTGCAATCTATCTATCTGACAAAGGTCTAATATCTAGACTCCACAAGGAACTTAAACAAATTTATAAGAAAAAAACAACCTCATCAAAAAGTGGGAAAAGGATATAAATGGACACTTCTCAAAAGAAGACTTCATGTGACCAACAAACATATGAAAAAAAGCTCATCATCACTCATCATTAGAGAAATGCAAATCAAAATCACAATGTGATGCCATCTCACTCCAATTAGAATGGCAATTATTAAAAAGGAAGCAACAGATCCTGGAGAAGCTGTGGAAGAATAGTAATGCTTTTACACTGTTGGTGGGTGTATAAATTAGTTCAACCATTGTGGAAGAGTGTGTGGTGATTCCTCAAGGATCTAGAATCAGAAATACAATGTGGCCCAGCTATCCCATTACTGAGCACACATCAAAGTGTTATAAATCATTCTACCCTTAAGACACATGCACATGTATGATTATTGCAGCACTACTTACAATAGCAAAGACTTGGAACCTACCCAAATGCCCATCAATAATAGATTGGATAAAGAAAATGTGGCACATATACACCATGGAATACTATGCAGCCATCAGAAATTAGTTCATGTTTTTGCAGGGACATGGATGAAGCTGGGAGCCATCATTCGCAGCCAACTAACACAGGAACATAAAACCAAACACCGCCTGTTCTCACTCATAAGTGGGAGTTGAACAATTAGAACAAATGGACATAGGGAGGGGAACATCACACACCAAGGCCTTTTGGGGCCATGGGGGAAAGTGGAGGGAGAGCATTAGAAAACACATAGGGCATGTGGGGCGTAAAACAGAGATGACAGTTTGATAAGTGCAGCAAACCACCATGGCACATGTATACCTATGTAACAAACGTTCATGTTCTGCACATGTATCCCAGAACTTAAAGTAAAATAAAAAAATAGAAAAATATCCATCATGTACTCTATTCATTACCCTGGTTACAAAATAATTTGTACACAAACCACTGTGACACACAATTTAAACATGTAACAAGTCTGAACATGTACCCTCTGAACTGAACATAATAATTGAAAATTAAGAAAGACAAAAATAAGACAATTTTGTGAATATGTAAAAAAAAAAAAGAGAATTCTTTTTCATTGTTGGTGGGAATGTAAATTAGTACAGTCACTATAAAAAATTGTGAAGAACAAATATTTTTCACAGAATCATACATACAGCTTCTACTAAATTCTGCCATTTTTGGGGGGGTATTAATTTAAATGAAAAAAAATAAATATATAAAAAATATATATTCCAATCCTATACTTATCCCAGCCCTGCTTACATCAGCAGAAACATGGACTCTACATGTATCCACAAATACATGATGAAGAAAGTATAATATATACATATATATATACAAAAAAATTACTTATTCACTAAAAAAATAAAAAATGTTTTGCAACAAGAATAATGAAACTGAAGGTTCTTATTTTAAGTAAAACAAGTCTGGCATAGAAAGTTAAATATTGCATGTTCTCACTCATAAGTAGGTGCTGAAAGCATGTACTCATGGTTATAGACAGTAGAGAGTGGATATAGACAAGGAGGCTGTGAATGGGATGGATTGGAAGAAGCATGGCTGATCAATTAATGGATAATGGATACAAAGTATGTTTTTCAAGTAATCAGTACCATAAAGTTCTTACTTGAACATCATGCAATCAAAGCCTCTAACTAACTTATATCCCATAAATTTATGACAGATAGAATTAAAAAGTAAAACAATTGTTTAAAGGCTTAAACACAAATTTCTTCAAAAGAGATATACAAATGTTCAAAAAGCACATAAAAAGAAATTCAACAACGGTAATTATTAGAATGAGAACACATGGACACAGGAAGGGGAACATCACACACGGTGGCCTGTTGTGGGGTAGGGGGAGGGATGAGGGATAGCTTTTGGAGATATACCTAATGTCAAACGGTGAGTTACTGGGTACAGCACACCAACATGGCACATGTATACATATGTAACTAACCTGCACCTTGTGCACATGTACCCTAAAACTTAAAGCATAATAAAAAAAAGAAATTGCAAATTAAAACCATAGTGAGATATCACCTCACACACATTAGTATAGCCAATATTAAAAAAAAAAGAAGAAGACATGTTAGTAAACTTGTGAACAAAGGAGAAAGTAAAATGGTACAGACATTGTATTAAACAGTATAGTAGTTCCTCAAAAATTAAAATGTACTGAACTGAGTGCACTGCTTTATGACTGTTACTCCATTTACATGAGAGGCTGAAGCAAAAGAATCACTTGAATCACTTTAACTTAAATTTTTAAGAGACTAACAAACCCATCAAAAGGGGTCAAAGGAAAGGAACAGATACTTCTCAAAAGAAGACATTTATACAGCAAAAAGACACAAAAAAGAACTTCAACATCATTGATCATTAGAGAAATACAAATCAAAACTACAATGAAATACCATCTCATGCCAGTCAGAATGGCAATTATTAAATATATTGGTAAAGTCTGTAATTTTAGTGTACCCAAATAGCATACACTGTGCCCAATAACCAGTGTTTTATTTCTCACTCTTCTCTCACCTTCCTTGTCTCTGAGTTTCCAAAGTTCATTATACCATTTTGTGTGCCTTTGAGTACCCATAACTCAGATCCCACTTATAAGTGAGAATATGTGTTATTTGATTTTCCAATCTTGAGTTACTTCACTGAAAATAGTGTTCTCTAGATTTAGTCAAGTTTCTGCACAACAACTTCTTTTATTTTTGCTATGGCTATCTAAATTCCATTGTATATAAGTAGCATATTTTCTTTATCTGTTCAGTGGTTGATGAGCACTTGGATGGATTCCATATCTTTGCAATTCGAAATTGTGCTGCAATAACCATTCACATGCAGATTGATATTTATTATATAATGACATTTGTTGGGGGTAGGAACTCAATAGTGAGATTGTTAAATTGGATGTTAGATTTATTTTTAATTTTTTAAGAAATCGCCATACTATTTTCTGTAGAGATTGTACTAATTTACATTCTTATGAGCAACTTGAAAGCATCAACTTTTTACCACATTTGTGCAAACATATATTGCTTTTTGAATTTTTAATAATGCCATTCTGGATGGGGTAAGTTGATGTAACATTGTTTTAATTTGCATTTATCTGATGATTAATGGTGTTGAGCATTACTTCATTTGTGGTGAGCATTCATACATTTTCTTTTGGGAAATATTTGTTCAGGTTATTTGTCTATATTTTAATGGGTATACTTGTGTTTGTTTTCTTTCTGCTTTAGTATTTTTTAGTTTAGTAAATATTAATTTAAAACTTTTACTTATATTTGCTTATTAAACAAATTCAAATATTAGTTGTTGAATACATAATTTGCAAATGTTATCTCCTATGGATAACTGTTTATTTTATTTTTCATCCTGCATTAATTCATTTAATTTCTTCTAGCTGCATTGATTTGTCTCTAAAATTTCAGACATCAGCAGTACGTGATATCTCAATATTAGGATTAAATGTAAATAATTTACTCTGTTGATAATTTTATTAGCTATGAAGATTTTTAATTTAGTTAGCTCCCATGTATTTATTTTTGTGTCTTTGCATTTTCTTTCAGGGCCTTAATCATGAAGTCTTTGCCTAGATCAAAGTCAAGTAGAACCATTCCTCTTTTCTTTTAGAATTTTTTGGTTTTGTATCTTACATTTAAACCTTTAATCCATGTTGTTTTAATTTGTACATATAGTAAAAGGCAGAGATCCAGTTTTATTTTTCTACATATGATGCAACTTAATGAATAGGGTACACATTTTCTAATTTATATTTTGTCTCTTTTATCAAAAATCAGCTGCTCATAAGTATTTGGCTATATTTCTTGCTCTCTGTTCTGTTCCTTTGGACTGTGTGTTTATTTTTACAGCAGTTTCCATGCTGTTTTTGTTACTACAACCTTGTGTTAAAATTTGACATTCTGTAATGAGACAACATAATGCCTCCAGATTCTTTTTCTTAGAATTGCTTTGGCTTTTAGGGCTCGTATTGGTTCCACACAATTTATATTTTTTTCTATATTTGTAAAAATGACATTGGTATGCTAGATAGATATAGCATAAAATCTATAGATTGCTATGTTCAGCCTGGTTATTTTTACATTAATTTTTGTTTAAATCCATGAGCATAGGATATAGTTCTATTTGTTTGTCCTATAAAATTTTTGATCAGTGCTTTGTAGTTTTCCTAGTAGAGATATTTCATTTGCCTGGCTAAGTATGTTCCCAGGTATTTTTAGAAAACATTCTGTTTTTTGTATTTTATGAGATGGAGTTTCACTTTTGTTTCCCAGGCTGGAGTGCAATGGCACCGTCTCAGCTCATTGCAACTTCCTTGTCCAGGGTTCAAGCGATTCCTCTGCCTCAGCCTCCCGAGTAGCTGGGATTACAGGCAAACGCCACCATGACCGGTTATTTTAGTTTCCTTAGTAGAGACATGGTTTCCCCAGGTTGGTCAGGCTGGTCTGGAACTCCCAACCTTGGGTGGTCCACCGGCCTTGGCCTCCCAAAGTACTGGGATTACAGGTGTGAGCCAGCGTGACTGGCAGAAAACATTTATAAAAAGGATTGCATTCATGATCTATTTCTCAGCTTGGTTATGCCATTCTGGATGGGGTAAATTGATGTAACATAGTTTTAATTTGCATTTATCTGATGACTAGTGGTCATGAGCATTCTTCATTTGTGGTGAGCATTCATATATTTTGATATTTAGCAGTGCTACTAATTTGGGTAAATTAATTTTGTAACCTAAAACTTTACTAAATTTATTAATCACATCTAGAAATCTTGAAGGATACCTGAGGGTTTCTAGATAAAAGATTATATCATCAAAAAACAGAGATAGTTTGACTGTTTTTAAATTTGGTGACCTTTATTACTTTTTTCTTGCCTGATTGGTCTGAGTAAGACTTCTAGTCCAGTTTTAATAGAAGTGGTGAAAGAAGTATCCTTTTCTTTTTTCAGTTTTTAGAAAAAATGTTTCAATATTTCCCCATTTACTATGAAATTGATTGTAGTTTTTATTACATACACTTTTTCTTATTTTGAGATTTTTTTCTAAGTCTAGTTTGCTGACAGTTATAATTGTTAGGCAATCCTGGATTTTATTGAAAGCTTTTTCTGCACCTATTAAGATGATCATATGTTTCTGTTTTTAATATTATTTATGTGATGAATCACATTTACTGACTTGTGTTTTTATAGTTCTGCATCCCTGGAATAAAACCAACCTGATCATGGTAAATGGTCTTTTTGATATTATGTTAGATTTGGTTTGCTAATATTTTAATAGGAATGTTTGAATCTTATTTCCATCTGAGATATTGGTCTGTAGTTTTGTATTTATATTATGTTTTTATTCTGGTGTTGTTTTCAAATGATTCTGACTTACGGAATGACCAATGTAGGATTCCCTCATTCTCAGTAATTTGGAATAGTTTCAGTAAAATTGATATGAGTTCCTGGCATGTCTACTAGAATTTAGCTGTGAATTTATCTGGTCCTTGGGAGATTCTTCATCTCACTGATTATTACTAGTCTGCTCATGATATCCATCTAGTTCTGATTAAATTAAGAGGGTTGTATGTGTCCAGAAATTTTTCAGATTCCTTTACCATTTCTAGTGTGTTTGCATATAGGCTGTGTTATAGTATCCTCTAACAATCTTATAAACTTCTGGGGAGTCAGTTTTCATTTGTTCATTTTTAATTCTAATTGATCTTCTTCGAACCTCCTCTCTTCTTTTTTAATCTCTAGATAATGTTCTATTATTATGTTTATCTTTTTAATAAATTTGCTACTTTAATTGTTGTTGTTTCAATTTTATTCTGCTCTAAATATTCTTCTTTTTTCTTCTACTTATTTTGGGTTTGGTTTGTTCTTGTTTCCCTTATTCTGTGAGGTGTGATGTTGGATTGTTAATTTGTGCTGTTTCTGACCTTTTGATGTAAGTGCTTAATGCTATAGACATTTTTAATGCTGCTTTTCTGTATTCTAGATGTTTTGATAACTTGTTCAACTGACATCAGTAATTTCAGTTTAGAAATTTATTTTATTTTATGGTTCTTTTGGCTTTTATTTTAAGTTCAGGGGTACAAGTACAGATTTGTTACATAGGTAAATGAGTGTGATGGGGTTTATTCTGCAGATAAGTTTTTCACCCAGGTATTAATCCTAGTACCCCAGTGTTGTTCTCCTCTGTGTGTCTATGCCTTCTCATCATTTAGCTAGTACATACAAATGAGAATATGTAGAATTTAGTTTTCTGCTCTTGCATTAGTTGGCAAGGAATAATTGTGTCAGCTGCACTCATGTTTCTGCAAAGGACATGATCTCATTCTTTATTATGGCTGCATAATATTTCATGGCATGTATGTACCATATTTTCTTTATCCAGTATATCACTGCTAAACAAAAAAAAATAATTCAGGAGCAAATTTATTTTCACACATTTGCATAATTTTGAGAATTTATTTTCATTTTTTATTACACTTTAAGTTTTAGGGTATATGTGCACAATGTGCAGGTTTACTATACATGTATACATGTTCTAAATTTGATATGCTGTGGTCAAAGTAAATTCTATATAAAATTTTGATGTTTTTAGTTTATTGAGACTTATTTTGTGACCTATTATGTGGTCTATCTTGGAGAAGACATTATCATATGCAGATAAAAATGCATATTTTTGAAGATTTTTGTTAAAATCTACTGTAAACATCTGTTATGTTTGTTTGTTCGAAAGGTAATTTAAGTTCAGTGTTTCTTTGCTGACTTTCTCTCTCAGTGATCTGTCTAGGAATTTCAGTCAAATGTTAAAGTTTTCCACTATTATTGTGTTGCTCTGTCTGTTTTTTATTAGATCTAATGGTAATAAGTCTGGGACGTCCAGAGTAGAGTACACATATATTTAGTGTTGTTGTATTTTCTTGTTCAACTGATCATTTTATAATGTTATTTATTTTTTATTATCGTTGCTTTAAAATCTGTTTTATCTGATATGAGAATAGCTATTCTCGCCCACTTTTTGTTTTCCTTTTTATAAAATGCTGTTTTTGGCCAGGCTTGGTGATTGAGCACCTGTAATCCCAGCACTTTAGGGGGCTGAGGCAGGTGAATCATGAGGTCAGGAGATCGAGACCATTCTAGCTAACACAGTGAAGCCCCATTTCTACAAAAAAAAATACAAAAAATTAGATGGGCATGGTAGCACATACCTGTAGTCTCAGCTACTCAGGAGGCTGAGGCAAGAGAATTGCTTGAACCCAGGAAGCAGAGGATGTAGTGTGCCAGAGGTTGTAGAGAGCCAAGACTGCATCACTGCACTTGGTGACAGAGTAAGACTCCATCTCTAAAAAACAAAACAAAATGCTGTTTTCTACTTCTGAACCTTGAGTCTATAATGGTCTTCATACATTAAATGGGTCTCTTGAAGGTAGATATATGGTTTGTGAATTGTAAAATTTATGCAATCAACATATATCCTTAAGTGAGTTATTTAGATTATTTACATGTAATCCTAATATTGAAATATCAAGTACTGCTGAAGTCATTGTGTCAGTTTTTAGGGATTACTTATGTTACTGTTTATATACCCTTTGCATATTATGCCCTCAAAACTTTTTATTACAGTATGTAGCAATCATTTTCCTCAAAATTTAGAACTTCTTTTAGCATTTGTTATAGAACTGATTTAGTGGTGACAAATTTTGTCTTGAAAACACTATTTATTCTTTATTTATAGAAATTATGTCTCCAATCTTTCAAAACAAAACAAAACAAAAATTTTGGCTGACAGTTATTACCTTTAAAGGAACTAAGGACTTTAAGTTCTCAAAAAAAAGGAGTAAAATTTTCCATAAAATTGTCTCTAAAATTTCAGACATCTAGTTTTTCTTTTGATCTTGCAGTTTATTTATTTCTTTGTTTATTTTTTGAAACTTTATTTTAGGTTTACAGGGTAAATGTGAAGGTTCATACTTCAGTAAATTGCATGTTGTGGAGATTTGGTGTGCAAATGAATTCACTGCCCAAATTGTGAACATAGTATTTCACTCATAGTTTTTCTACTTATACCCACTTTCCACCTTCCTTTTTTAAGTAACTCTTGGTGTCTATTGTTTTTTTCTTTAAGACCACTTGTATTCAGTATTTAGTAAAAACTTATAAGTGAGAAAATATGATATTTAATTTTTCATCCTGCATTAATTCACTTAAAGTAATGTCCTCTAGCTGCGTCCATGTTGCTGCAAGAAATATAATTTTTTCCATGAATCAAATATTATAAAACAGCTTTTTAAACTTTTATTTTAAATTTAGCGGTACTACAATTTTTCCATCCATTTGTCTGCTAATAAATACTTGGGTTGCTTCCAAATCTTGGGTATTGTAAACAGTGGTGCAGCAAACATGAGTGCAGGTATTTCTTTGATATATTGATTTCCTTTCAGAAACATTTAATCAAAAGTAAAATTGCTGAATAATATGGTCCCTTTATTTTTAGATGCTTTGAAAAATTTAAAACTGTTCTTTGTAATTATTGTACTAATTAGCAATGAGAGTTCTCTTTCACACTACCTTCTAGTTAGCATTTTTTATTGCCTGTATTTTGGATAAAAGCTATTTTAACTGAGGTGAGATGAGATCTCATTGTAGTTTTAATATGCAATTCTCTGATTATCAATTTTTTTTATATATATACGTTTAAGTTTTAGGGTACATGTGCACATTGTGCAGGTTCGTTACATATGTATACATGTGCCATGCTGGTGCGCTGCACCCATTAACTCATCATCTAGCATTAGGTATATCTCCCGATGCTATCCCTCCCCCCTCCCCCCACCCCACAACAGTCCCCAGAGTGTGATATTCCCCTTCCTGTGTCCATGTGATCTCATTGTTCACTTCCCACCTATGAGTGAGAATATGTGGTGTTTGGTTTTTGTTCTTGAGATAGTTTACTGAGAATGATGATTTCCAATTTCATCCATGTCCCTACAAAGGACATGAACTCATCATTTTTTATGGCTGCATAGTATTCCATGGTGTATATGTGCCACATTTTCTTAATCCAGTCTATCATTGTTGGACATTTGGGTTGGTTCCAAGTCTTTACTATTGTGAATAATGCCGCAATAAACATACGGGTGCACATGTCTTTATAGCAGCATGATTTATAGTCCTTTGGGTATATACCCAGTAATGGGATGGCTGGGTCAAATGGTATTTCCAGTTCTAGATCCCTGAGGAATCGCCACACTGACTTCCACAATGGTTGAACTAGTTTACAGTCCTACCAACAGTGTAAAAGTGTTCCTATTTCTCCACATCCTCTCCAGCACCTGTTGTTTCCTGACTTTTTAATTATTGCCATTCTAACTGGTGTGAGATGGTATCTCATTGTGGTTTTGATTTGCATTGCTCTGATGGCCAGTGATGATGAGCATTTTTTCATGTGTTTTTTGGCTGCATAAATATCTTCTTTTGAGAAGTGTCTGTTCATATACTTTGCCCTCTTTTTGATGGGGTTGTTTGTATTTTTCTTGTAAATATGTTTGAGTTCATTGTAGATTCTGGATATTAGCCCTTTGTCAGATGAGTAGGTTGCAAAAATTTTCTCCCATTTTGTAGGTTGCCTGTTCACTCTGATGGTAGTTTATTTTGCTGTGCAGAAGCTCTTTAGTTTAATTAGATCCCATTTGTCAATTTTGTCTTTTGTTGCCATTGCTTTTGGTATTTTAGACATGAAGTCCTTGCCAAAGCCTATGTCCTGAATGGTAATGCCTAGGTTTTCTTCTAGGGTTTTTATGGTTTTAGGTCTAACGTTTAAGTCTTTAATCCATCTTGAATTGATTTTTGTATCAGGTGTAAAGAAGGGATCCAGTTTCAGCTTTCTACATATGGCTAGCCAGTTTTCCCAGCACCATTTATTAAATAGGGAATGCTTTCCCCATTGCTTGTTTTTCTCAGGATTGTCAAAGATCAGATAGTTGTAGATATGCAGCGTTATTTCTGAGGGCTCTGTTCTGTTCCATTGATCTATATCTCTGTTTTGGTACCAGTACCATGCTGTTTTGGTTACTGTAGCCTTGTAGTATAGTTTGAAGTCAGGTAGTGTGATGCCTCCAGCTTTGTTCTTTTGGCTTAGGATTGACTTGGTGATGCGGGCTCTTTTTTAGTTCCATATGAACTTCAAAGTAGTTTTTTCTAATTGTGTGAAGAAAGTCATTGGTAGCTTGATGGGGATGGCATTGAATCTGTAAATCACCTTGAGTAGTATGACCATTTTCACGATATTGATTCTTCCTACCCATGAGCATGGAATGTTCTTCCTTTTGTTTGTATCCTCTTTTATTTCATTGAGCAGTGGTTTGTAGTTCTCCTTGAAGAGGTCCTTCACATCCCTTGTAATTTGGATTCCTAGGTATTTTATTCTCTTTGAAAAAATTGTGAATGGGAGTTCACTCATGATTTGGCTCTCTGTTTGTCTGTTATTGGTGTATAAGAATGCTTGTGATTTTTGTACATTGATTTTGTATCCTGAGACTTTGCTGAAGTTGCTTATCAGCTTAAGGAGATTTTGGGCTGAGATGAAGGGGTTTTCTAGATATACAATCATGTCGTCTGCAAACAGGGACAATTTGACTTCCTTTTTTCCTAATTGAATACCCTTTATTTCCTTCTCCTGCCTGATTGCCCTGGCCAGAACTTCCAACACTTTGTTGAATAGGAGTGGTGAGAGAGGGCATCCCTGTCTTGTGCCAGTTTTCAAAGGGAATGCTTCCAGTTTTTGCCCATTCAGTATGATATTGGCTGTGGGTTTGTCATAGATAGCTCTTATTATTTTGAAATACGTCCCATCAATACCTAATTTATTGAGAGTTTTTAGCATGAAGGGTTCTTGAATTTTTTCAAAGGCTTTTTCTGCATCTATTGAGATAATCATGTGGTTTTTGTCTTTGGTTCTGTTTATATGCTGGATTACATTTATTGATTTGCATATATTGAACCAGCCTTGCATCCCAGGGATGAAGACCACTTGATCATGGTGGATAAGCTTTTTGATGTGCTGCTGGATTCGTTTTGCCAGTATTTTATTGAGGATTTTTGCATCAATGTTCATCAAGGATATTGGTCTAAAATTCTCTTTTTTTGTTGTGTATCTGCCTGGCTTTGGTATCAGAATGATGCTGGCCTCATAAAATGAGTTAGGGAGGATTCCCTCTTTTTCTATTGATTGGAATAGTTTCAGAAGGAGTGGTACCAGTTCTTCCTTGTACCTCTGGTAGAATTTGGCTGTGAATCCATCTGGTCCTGGACTCTTTTTGTTGGTAAGCTATTGATTATTGCCACAATTTCAGCTTCTGTTATTGGTCTATTCAGAGATTCAACTTCTTCCTGGTTTAGTCTTGGGAGAGTGTATGTGTCCAGGAATTTATCCATTTCTTCTAGATTTTCTAGTTTATTTGCATAGAGGTGTTTGTAGTATTCCCTGATGGTAGTTTGTATTTCTGTGGGATCGGTGGTAATATCCCCTTTATCATTTTTTATTGCATCTATTTGATTCTTCTCTCTCTTTTTCTTTATTAGTCTTGTTAGCGGTCTATCAATTTTGTTGATCCTTTCAAAGAACCAGCTCCTGGATTCATTAATTTTTTGAAGGGTTTTTTGTGTCTCTATTTCCTTCAGTTCTGCTCTGATTTTAGATATTTCTTGCCTTCTGCTAGCTTTTGAATGTGTTTGCTCTTGCTTTTATAGTTCTTTCAATTGTGATGTTAGGATGTCAATTTTGGATCTTTCCTGCTTTCTCTTGTGGGCATTTAGTGCTATAAATATCCCTCTACACACTGCTTTGAATGCGTCCCAGAGATTCTGGTATGTTGTGTCTTTGTTCTTGTTGGTTTCAAAGAACATCTTTATTTCTGCCTTCATTTCGTTATGTACCCAGTAGTCATTCAGGAGCAGGCCGTTCAGTTTCCATGTAGTTGAGTGGTTTTGAGTGAGATTCTTAATCCTGAGTTTTAGTTTGATTGCACTGTGGTCTGAGAGAAAGTTTATTATAATTTCTGTTCTTTTACATTTGCTGAGGAGAGCTTTACTTCCCAGTATGTGGTCAATTTTAGAATAGGTGTGGTGTGGTGCTGAAAAAAAATGTATATTCTGTTGATTTGGGGTGGAGAGTTCTGTAGATGTCTATTAGGTCTGCTTGGTGCAGAGCTGAGTTCAATTCCTGGGTATCCTTGTTGACTTTCTGTCTCATCGATCTGTCTAATGTTGACAGTGGGGTCTTAAAGTCTCCCATTATTAATGTGTGGGAGTCTAAGTCTCTTTGTAGGTCACTCAGGACTTGCTTTATGAATCTTGGTGCCCCTGTATTGGGTGCATATATATTTAGGATATTTAGCTCTTCTTGTTGAATTGATCCCTTTACCATTATGTAATGGCCTTCTTTGTCTCTTTTGATCTTTCTTGGTTTAAAGTCTGTTTTATCAGAGACTAGGATTGCAACCCCTGCCTTTTTTTGTTTTCCATTTGCTTGGTAGATCTTCCTCCACCCTTTTATTTTGAGCCTATGTGTGTCTCTGCATGTGAGATGGGTTTCCTGAATACAGCACTCTGATGGGTCTTGACTCTTTATCCAATTTGCCAGTCTGTGTCTTTTAATTGGAGAATTTAGTCCATTTACATTTAAGGTTAATATTGTTATGTGTGAATTTGATCCTGTCATTATGATGTTAGCTGGTTATTTTGCTCATTAGTTGATGCAGTTTCTTCCTAGTCTCGATGGTCTTTACATTTTGGCATGATTTTGCAGTGGCTGGTACCAGTTGTTCCTTTCCATGTTTAGCGCTTCCTTCAGGAGCTCTTGTAAGGCAGGCCTGGTGTTGACAAAATCTCTCAGCATTTGCTTGTCTGTAAAGTATTTTATTTCTCCTTCACTTATGAAGCTTAGTTTGGCTGGATATGAAATTCTGGGTTGAAAATTCTTTTCTTTAAGAGTGTTGAATATTGGCCCCCACTCTCTTCTGGCTTGTAGGGTTTCTGCCGAGAGATCCACTGTTAGTCTCATGGGCTTCCCTTTGAGGGTAACCCGACCTTTCTCTCTGGCTGCCCTTAATATTTTTGCCTTCATTTCAACTTTGGTGAATCTGACAATTATGTGTCTTGGAGTTGCTCTTCTCG
Organism: Homo sapiens; assembly: GCF_000001405.40. NCBI lineage: Eukaryota > Metazoa > Chordata > Mammalia > Primates > Hominidae > Homo > Homo sapiens. The sequence goes on from NC_000024.10 coordinate 19,377,783, forward strand.
AGGAGTATCTTTGTGGCGTTCTCTGTATTTCCTGAATCTGAACGTTGGCCTGCCTTGCTAGATTGGGGAAGTTCTCCTGGATAATATCCTGTAGCGTGTTTTCCAACTTGGTTCCATTCTCTCCATCACTTTCAGGTGCACCAATCAGACGTAGATTTGGTCTTTTCACATAGTCCCATATTTCTTGGAGGCTTTGCTCATTTCTTTTTATTCTTTTTTCTATAGACTTCCTTTCTCGCTTCATTTCATTCATTTCATCTTCCATCACTGATACCCTTTCTTCCAGTTGATCGCATCAGCTCCTGAGGCTTCTGCATTCTTCACGTAGTTCTCGAGCCTTGGTTTTCAGCTCCATCAGCTCCTTTAAACACTTCTCTGTATTTGTTATTCTAGTTATACATTCTTCTAAATTTTTTTCAAAGTTTTCAACTTCTTTGCCTTTGTTTTGAATGTCCTCCCATAGCTCAGAATAATTTGATCATCTGAAGCCTTCTTCTCTCAGCTCATCAAAGTCATTCTCCATCCAGCTTTGTTCTGTTGCTGGTGAGGAACTGCGTTCCTTTGGAGGAGGAGAGGCACTCTGCTTTTTAGAGTTTCCAGTTTTTCTGTTCTGTTTTTTCCCCATCTTTGTGGTTTTTATCTACTTTTGGTCTTTGATGATGGTGATGTACAGATGGGTTTTTGGTGTGGATGTCCTTTCTGTTTGTTAGTTTTCCTTCTAACAGAGAAGACCCTCAGCTGCAGGTCTGTTGGAGTACCCTGCCGTGTGAGGTGTCAGTGTGCCCCTGCTGGGGGGTGCCTCCCAGTTAGGCTACTTGGGGGTCAGGGGCCAGGGACCCACTTGAGGAGGCAGTCTGCCCATTCTCAGATCTCCAGCTGCGTGCTGGGAGAACCACTGCTGTCTTCAAAGCTGTCAGACAGGGATATTTAAGTCTGCAGAGGTTACTGCTGTCTTTTTGTTTGTCTGTGTCCTGCCCCCAGAGGTGGAGCCTACAAAGGCAGGCAGGCCTCCTTGAGCTGTTGTGGGCTCCACCCAGTTGGAGCTTCCCGGCTGCTTTGTTTACCTAATCAAGCCTGGGCAATGGCGGTCGCCCCTCCCCCAGCCTCGCTGCCGCCTTGCAGTTTGATCTCAGACTGCTGTGCTAGCAATCAGCGAGACTCCGTGGGCGTAGGACCCTCCGAGCCAGATGTGGGATATAATCTCGCGATGCGCCGTTTTTTAAGCCTGTCAGAAAAGCGCCATATTCGGGTGAGAGTGACCCAATTTTCCAGGTGCCATCCATCACCCCTTTCTTTGACTCAGAAGGGAACTCCCTGACCCCTTGTGCTTCCCAAGTGAGGCAATGCCTTGCCCTGCTTTGGCTCGTGCACGGTGCGCGCACCCACTTACCTGCGCCCACTGTCTGGCACTCCCTAGTGAGATGAACCTGGTACCTCAGATGGAAATGCAGAAATCACCCGTCTTCTTCGTCGCTCACGCTGGGAGCTGTAGACCGGAGCTGTTCCTATTTGGCCATCTTGGCTCCCCCCGCCCCCATGATCAATGTTGATTACCTTTTTCTATTCATATTTGTCTTTTTTATATCTTCTTTTGAAAAGCATTTATTCATGCATTTTTGCTAATTTTTCAATTGAATTATCATATTTCTAGCAGTTGTTTGAGCTTCTTATGTATTGTGTTTATTAATCTCTTAGATGAGTAGTTCACAAATGTTTTCTCCCATTCTGTGTATTGTCTCTTCACTTTGCTTTTTTTGTTGTTGTTTTTTTTTTTAGTGCAGGAGGTTTTAAAATTGGTGATCCCACATACACATTTAAGCTTTGGTTATTAGTGCTTGTATAATATTACTTTAAAACTATTTTTGCCTAGCTCATTGGCCTGAATCATGCTCCCAATTTTTGGAGTTGATTTATAATTTAAGGTCTTATATTTAAGTCTTTCATCTTTTTTGATTTATCACATATAATAAGAGGTAAGGACCTGGATTCATTTTTCTCCATATTTATATCTATTTTTACAACAGTTTTTGAAAAGACTGACATTTTTCTTACATTCATTTTGCAATTTTGCCAAAAATAAATTTACTGTAGGTGTATGAATTTGCTTTGGAGTTCCTCTATTCTGTTGCCTTGCCCTGTGTGTTTATTTGTATGTCAATACCATCCTGTTTGGTTACTACACTTCATAATATAATTTAAAGTCAAATCATGTGATTCCTCCTGTTGTGTTCTTTTTGCTCAGAATAGTTTTGGCTATTCTGAGACTTTCATGATGCCATATGTTTTAGAATAGTTTTTTATAATTATATAAATAAAGTTATTGTTATTTTTTATAGTGACTGCATTAAATCTGTGATTATCTTAGGCCCATAAATCACTAAGCTAAAAAGAAAAGTCTAACTGGGATCTGCTTAAGGCAATCCTGCCTCCCATTGTATTCAAAGTCACCACTTTGCACACTGAGATAAATGCATATCTTATTGCCTCTTTTGAAGAGGCTAATAAGACAGCAACAGTTTGTCTCTTATCTACTGATGATCTAGAAGCCCCCTCCCTGCTACAAGTTGTCTCTCTTTTCCAGACCAAAGCAACGTTCATGTTAGGTATTTTGATTGTTGTCTCATGTCTCCCTAAAATGTATAAAACCAAACTTTGACCACTTTGGGCACATGTGGTCAGGACAGGCTGAGGTTGTGTAATGGTCAAGAGTCCTCAACCTTGGCAAAATTGACCTCCTAAGTTAAATAAGACCTGTCTCAGATTTTCACAATCCTTACATTGACTTTGGTAGTAAGGATGTTTTACAATTTTACTGCTTTCAATAAGTGAGCATAGAATAACCTTTATTAGAGGATGTCCACTTCAATTTTTTCATCAGTGTTTTAAAGATTTTATTACAGAGATCATTCAGTTTTAGTTATTTTCTGTGTATTTTATTTGTGCTATTGTAAGTGGATTTACTTTTCTGTTGCTTTTTCAGGTTGCTTTTACATAAAATGCTACTGGTTTTTGTATGTTCATTTATTTCTTGACTGACTTACTCTTACTTTAAGCTTTGAAATAAATGTGCAGAATGTGCAGGTTTTTTACATGAGTGCAGTGGTGGTTTGCTGCAGCTATTGACCTGCCATCTAGACTTTAACCCCTGCATGCCTTACATTTTGTCCTGATGCTCCATCTTCCCTCCAACCCCAACAGGCCCAGGTGTGTGTTGTTCATCTTCTTGTATTCATGTGTTCATATTTTTCAACTCTCACTTGTAAGTTAGAACATGTGATGTTTGATTTTCTATTCCTATGTTAGTTTGCTGAGCATGATAGCTTCCAGAATAATCTGTGTCTCTGAAAATGACATAATCTCATTCCTATTATGGCTGCATAGTATTCCATGGTGTATATGTACCATATTTTATTTATCCAGTCTATTATTGCTGGACATTTTGGTTCATTTCGTGTCTTTGCTATTGTGAACAGTGCTGCAATAAACATACATGTGCATGTATCTTTATAATAGAATAATTTATATTCTTTTATGTATATACCCAGTAATGAGATTGCTAGATCAAATGGTATTTCTGGTTCTAGCTCAGTGAGGAATGGTCACACTGTCTTCCACGGTGGTTGAAACAATTTACATTCTCACCAACAATAGAAAAGATTTCCTGTTTCTCCAATACCTTGTCAGTATCTGCTGTTTCTTGACTTTGTAATAATTGCCATTCTGACTGGTATATTATTGTGGTTTTGGTTTCCATTTCTCTAATGATCAGTAATCTTTTATTTAATGTTTACTGACTACATAAATGTTTTCTTTCGAGAAGTGTCTCAAATACTTTGCCCACTTTTTGATGAAGTTGTTTGTTTTGTCCTTGAAAATTTGTTTACATTCCCTGTAGATTCTGAATATTAGACCTTTGTCAGATTAGTAGATTGCAAAAATTTTCTCCCATTCTGTAGGTTGCTTGTTCAGTGTGATGTTAGTTTCTTTTGCTGTGCCAAAATTATTTAATTTAATGTAATTTCATATGTCAGTTTTAGCTTTTGTTGCAATTGCTATTGGAGATTGCATTTTAAAATATTTGCCCATGGCTGTTTTCTGAAAGCTATTGCCTAGTTTTTCTTTTTGAGGTTTTATGGTTTTGGGTTTTATATTTTAGTCCTTAATTTATCTTGAGTTAATTTTTGTGTAAGGTGAAAGTAACGGATCCACTTTCAGTTTTCTGCATATGGCTAGCCAGTTTTCCTGGCAACATTTATTAAATAGGGAATCCTTTTCCCATTGCTTGTTTTTGTCAGGTTTGTCAAAGATCAGATGGTTGTAGATGTTTGGTGTCATTTCTGAGATCTCTATTCTGTTCCATTGATACATCTGTTTTGGTACCAGTACCATGATATTTTGGTTACTGTAGCCTTGTAATATAGTTTGAAGTCAGGTAGCGTAATGCTTCCAGCTTTGTTCTTTTTGCTTAGGATTGTCTTGTCTATGTGGCCTATTTTTGGGTTCCATATGAATTTTAAAGTAGTGTTTTCTAATTCTGTGATGAACGTCCATGGTAATTTGACAGGAATCGTATTTAATATATAAGTTACTTTGGGTGGTATAGCCATTTTTGTGATATTGATTCTTACTATCCCCAAAGACAAACTGTTTTCACATTTGTTTGTGTCCTTTCTTATTTCTTTGGGCAGTAGTTTTAGTTTGTTTTGAAGAGATCCTTCACATCCCCTGTTAGCTGTATTTCTAGGTATTTTATTCTCTTGTAGCAATTGTGAATGGGAGTTCATCCATGACTTGGCTTTCTGCTTGTCTATTGTTGGTGTATAGGAATGCTTGTGATTTTTACACACTGGTTTTGTATCCTGAGGCTTTGCTGAAGTTGCTTACCATCATAAGGAGTTTTTCAGCGGAGACAATAGAGTTTTCTAAATATAGGATTATGTCATCTGCAAACAGAGAGAATTTTAATATTTGAATAGTTCCTATTTGAATACATTTTATTTATTTCTCTTGCCTGATTGCCCTGATCAGAGCTTCAAATACTATGTTGAATAGGAATGGTAAGAGATGGTATCTGTGTCTTGTGCTGGTTTTCAAAGAGAATGCTTCCAGTTTTTGCCCACTCTGTATGATATTGGCTGTGGATTTATTATAAATAGTTTTTATTATCTTGAGATATGTTCCATTAGTACATAGTTTATTGACAGTATTTAGCATAAAGGAATATTGAATGTTATTGAAGAACTTTTCTGCATCTATTGAGATAATCATGGTTTTTGTCATTGATTCTCTTTATGTGATGGATTATGTTTATTGATTTCTGTATGTTAAACCAGGTTGGTATCCCAGAAAAAAAGCCAATTTGATCATGATGGATAAGTTTTTGCTGTGCAGCTGGATTTGGTTTGTAAATATTTTATTGAGAATTTTCACTTCAATATTCATCAGTACTATTAGTCTGAAGTTTTTTGTTGATGTTGAGTCTCTGCCAGGGTTGGTGTCAGGAAGATTCTGGACTTACAAAATAGGTTAGGAAGGAGTTCTTCCTTTTCAATTGTTTGGAATAGTTTCTGAAGGAAGGGTGCCAGCTCCTTCTTGTACCACTTGTAAAATTCAGCTGTGAATCTTTCTGGCCCTGGGCTTTTTTTGGGGGGCAGGGGTTGGTAGGCTATTTATTACTGCATCATTTTCAGAACTTGTTATTGGTCTATTCATCAATTTGACTTCTTTCTGGTTTAGCCTTGGAAGAGTGTATGGGTCTCAGAATTTATCCATTTCTTCTAGATTTTCTAATTTATTTGCACAGTGGTGTTTATAGTGCTGTCTGATGGTAGACTGTATTTCTGAGGAGTCAGTGGTGATATCCCATATATCACTGTTTATTGTATCTATTTGATTCTTCTCTATTTTTTTCTTTATTTTAGTATAGCTAGGATTAAGTTTCTTAAAAAACAAGCTCCTTGATTTACTGATTTGTTAAGGGTTTTTCATGCCTCTATCTTTTTCAATTCTGCTCTGACCTTAGTTATTTCCTGTCTTCTACTAGCTTTTGCATTCATTTCCTCTTACTATTTTAGTTCTTTGATTTGTGATTTTAGGGTGTCAATTTGAAATCTTTCTAACTTTCTGATATGGGCATTTAGTGCTCTAAATTTACCTCTTAACACTGCTTTAGCTGTGTCCCAGTGTCTGGAATGTTATCTCTTTGTTCTCATTGGTTTCAAATAACTTCATAATTTCTGCCTTATTTACCCAAGTATCATTCAGTAATAGCTTGCTTAATTTTCATGTAGTTGTGCAATTTGGAGTGAGTTTCTTAATCCTTAGTTCTAATTTGATTGCACTGTGGTCTAAGAGACTTTTATAATTTCAGTTATTTGCATTTGCTGAGGAGTATTTTACTTTCAATTATGTTGTTGATCTTAGAGTAAGTGCTATGTGGCACTGAGAAGCATGTATACTTTGTCAGTTTGGGATGGAGAGGTCTATAGGTATCTATTAGGTCCACTTGATATGCTTGGCACTGAGTCAAGCCCTGAATATCCTTGTTAATTTTCTGCTGCATTGATTTGTCTCATATCGATAGTGGGGTGTTAAAGTCCCCCACTATTATTGTGTGGGAGTCGAACTCTCTTTCTAGGCCTCTAAGAACTTGTTTTATAAATATATGTGCCCTTGTATTGGGTGGATATATGTTTACTTAGTCCTTCTTGTTGAATTGAACTTTTTACCATTATGTAATGCCCTTGTCTTTTTTTTCTCTTTGTTGGTTTGAAGTCTCTTTTATCCAGATACTAGGATTACAACCCCGCTTTCTTCTGTTTTCCGTTTTCTTGGTAAATTTTCTTCCATCCCTTTATTTGTAATGTATATGTGTCTTGCACATGAGATGTGTCACTTCAATACTGCACACCAATTTGTCTTTGCTCTTGATTCAGCTTGCCATTCTGTGTTTTTTAATTGTGGCATTTAACCTATTTACCTTTAAGGTTAATATTGTGATGTGTGAATTTGATCCTGTCTTCATGATGCTAGCTGGTTATTTTACACACTAGTTGATGCTGTTTCTTCACAATATTATTGGTCTTTATATTTTTGTGTGTTTTGCAGTGACTGGTGCCATATTTTTTTTTCTGTATTTCATGCTTTGTTCAGGAGCCCCTGCAAGGCAGTCCTGAAGGTGCTGAATCCCCACAATAGTTGCTTGTCTGAAAAGAATTGTATTTTTCTTTTTTCTTATGAAGTTTAGTTGGCTGGATATGAAATTCCGGGTTGAAAATTCTTTTCATTACCTATGTTAAATATAGGCCCCCAATCTCTTATGGTGGTAAGGTTATCTACTGAGAGATCAACTGTTATTCTTATGATCTTTCCTTTCTAGTTTAGTTGGCCTTTCTCTCTGGCTGCCCTTAATATTTTTCCCTTCATTTAGACCTTGAAGAATCTGATGCTTATGTGTCTTGGGGTTGATCTTCTTGTGGTATGTCTTAGTGGGGTTCTCTGTATTTCCTGAATTTGAAGCTTGGTCTGTCTTGCTAGGTTGGGGAAGTTCTCCTGGTTAATATCCTAACGTGTGGTTTTCAACTTGGTTCTATTTTCTCTGTATCTTTCCGGTACTCCCAGTCATTGATTAGGTCTTTTACATAGTCTCATATTTCCCAAAGTGTTTGTTCATTAATTTTCATTCTTTTTCTCTAATCTTGTCTGCCTGCCTTACCTCAGCAAGATAATCTTTCATCTCTAATATTCTTTTTTTCTGCTTTTTTGATTCAGCTATTGATACTTGTGTTTGCTTTATGAAGTTCTTGTGCTGCATTTTTCACCTCCACTCCCCAGGTCATTTATATTCCTCTCTAAATTGGTCATTCTAGTTACCACCTCCTCTAACCTTTTATTAATGTTCTTAGCTTTTTTGCTTTGGTTTAGAACATGCTCTTTTACCTCAGTGAAGTTTGTTCTTACCTACCTTCTGAAGTCTTCTTTTGTCAATTCATTCATCTCATCTTCCATACAGTTCTGAAGAGGCATTGCGATTATTTGGAGGAGGAAAGGCACTCCAGCTTTTTGGGTTTTTAACATTTTTTGTTGATTATTTCTCATCTTCTTGAGTTTGTTCAGTTTTGATCTTTTAGACTGCTGATGTTTTGACAAGGTCTTTGTGGTGACTTTTTTTGTTGATGCCATTGTTACTTTCTGTGTGTGTGTGTGTGTGTGTGTGTGTGTGTGTGTTTTCTAACAGTCAGTTCCCTCTTCTGTAGGGCTGCTGTTTGCTGGGGTTTAATTTCAAGCCCATTTATCTGGTTCACTCCTGTGCCTGGAGATATCATTTGAGGAGTCCCGAGGACAGCAAAGATGGGTGCCTGCTCCTTCCTCTGGAATTTCTGACCACAAGGGGTGCTGACCTGATGCCAGTAGGTATGTTCATGTATAGGATTTCTGACAACCCCTGTTGTGGGATCTCACCCAGTTAGGTGGTATAGGAAGGAGGACCAATTTAATAATGCATTTTTGCTATCGTTTGGTGGAAGGAGTGTGCTGCACTGGGGGGAAAACCACTCGTCTGGGCTGCCCAGATTCCTCAGAGCTAGCAGGAGAAACAACTGAGTCTGTTGGTCTATGGCGACTATGGCGTCCTCTCCTCCTAGGGGCTTGGGCCCAGGGAGATCATAGTTCTCTTCCTGACCCCAGGGAGACCCTGAAGCCATAGTGTTGGCTGCTGGACCTCCCCCATGGAGCTCAGATAGCTTAGAGTTCAGGCAGCTCCAACAGTGGTTACGGCGGCCCCTCTTCCTTGATAACTCAGCAGGATTAGGCCAATTATAGCCATATGGGTGTTAACAATGTGCATGCCTTTGTGTTTGGGGCCCAAGGACCCAGGGGTGTGGGCCCTGAGAGAGATCTTGTGATCTGTGGGTTTCACAGTTTCCAGAAAAAGCTTAGTTTCTTTGGCTGTGTAGCATGCTAACTCACTGAGTCCATTGGCTGAGAGTGGAAGTTTCCCTGCCCCATATGGCTGTCAGGTGGGCTGCTGCACCGCACAGCTCTGTTTCTGTCCGTGGGTCACGCTAGCTGCCTAGTCATTCCTAATGACAGAGCCTGAATGCCCAATTGCTCGTGCAGGGTTCTGATGTTGCTTTGGATATTTTTGATGGGAATCTTTGATCACCCTTGCTTCTAGTCAGCCATATTGGCCCCTTCCTGTATGTCAATTTTTTTTTTGTTTTGTAACTTTATTGAATTTGCTTACCAGTTCTAATAGTTTTTCGTGGATGCTTTAGTATTTTCTAAATAGATTATATTATCTGAAAACAGATAATTTGACTGCTTTTCTAATTTTGTTTTCTGTGTTTTTTTTCTCCCTCCCTTCTGATTGTACTTTTTAGGACTTCCAGTACTATGTTGAGTAACAGTGGTAAAAGTGGACATCTTAACAAGGATTGCAACAGTGTTGCAGATCTTATAAAAAATACTTTTTTTCACCATTCAGTATGATGTTAGCTATGGGTCTGTTGTGTATGTTTTTTTTTTTTTTTTTATTTTCAAGACAGTGTTTTGCTCTTGTTGCCCAGGCTGGAGTACAATGGAACAATCTTGGCTCACTGCAACCTCCGCTTCCTGGGTTCAAGTGATTTTCCTGCCTCAGACTCTTGAGTAGCTGGGATTACAAGCAAGTGCCACCATGCTCAGCTAATTTTGTATTTTTAGTAGGAATGGGGTTTCTCCATGTTGGTCGCCAGTCTCAAATGCCTGACCTTAGGTGATCCTCCCACCTCGGCCTCTCAAAGTGCTGGGAATACAGGCATGAGCCATCGTGCCTGGCCTGGATTTTTCTATAATATGTTGCAGAATATGGCTTTTAATTATAAAGAAATGTTCAACTTTATCAAATGATTTTTTCCACATCAATTGAAATGATTATATGATTTTGGCCTTCATTCAGTTCATATGACTGTCACATTGATTTACATATATTGAACTATTCTTATATCCCTCAGATAAACTCCATTTGGTCACATTGAATGATGTCTTTAGTGTGTTGAATTTGGTTTGCTAATATTTTGTTGAGAATTTTTGCATAAGTACTTATTAGAGATATTGGCCCCTAGTTTATTTGTTTATGTGTCTGTCATTTTGGTTATTAGGGTAATCCCAGTCTCCTATAATGAGTATGAAAGTATTCCCTCCTTTCCATTTTTTGAAATAATTTTAGTAGAATTCATGCTAGTTATTATTTAAGTGTTTTGTAAAATTTAGCGGTGAAGCCATCAGCTACTGGACTTTTTTTTTTTTTAATTAAAGATATTATATTGGCTGGGTGCAGTGGCTCACACCTGTAATCCCAGCACTTTGGGAGGCGGAGGTGGGCAAATTACCTTAGTTTGGGGGTTCAAGAACAGGTTGACCAACATGTAGAAACCCCATCACTACTAAAAATACAAAATTAGCTGGGGGTGGTGGTGCATCCCTGTAATCCTAGCTACTTGGGAGGCTGAGGCAGGACAATCGCTTGAACCCAGGAAGTGGAGGTTGCAGTGAGCCAAGAGTGTGCAATGCCCTCCAGCCTGGGCAACAAGGGCAAAACTCTGTCTAAAACAAACCAAAAAATATTTTCTTATAATTTTCTTTTCATTACTTTGTTATTGGTCTGTTCAGGTTTTGGATTTATTCTTGATTCAATTATAGCAGACTGTTTGCATCTTGCAATTTACCACCTTCTCCCAAATTTCCAATTAATTGATATATGGTTGCTCATATTATCTGCTGATGATATTTGAATATTTGTAGTATAAGTTGTAAAGTCTTTTTTTAAATCTCTGATATGATTTGGCTCTCTGTCTCCACCCAAATCTCAAGTTGAATTTTAATCCCCATTTTTGGAAGTGGACCCTGATAGGAGGTGACTGGATCAGGAGGTGATATCTAATGCTTTATTTCTACCTCCTGTCCTAGTTCTGGCTTATGATGGAGTTCTCACAGATCTGATTGTTTGAAAGTGTGTAGTACCCCCTTTCTTTCTTTCTTGCTGGCCATATGCAAAGGTGCTTGCTTTCTCTTTATCTTCAGCCATGACTGTATGCTTCCTGAGGCCTCTCTAGAAGCAGATATCTGTACAGCTTATAGAATTGTGAGCCAGTTAAACATCTTCTCTTTATAAATTACTCTCAGGTATGTCTTTGTAATGGTGCAAGAGCAGACTAATACAATCTCTAATTCTATTTAATTAAATTTTCTCCAATTTTTTCTTCATTAGTCTGATTAAGTTTGTCAATACTGTTTATCTTTTTTAAAAACTTTTTTTAAATTTTTTTTATTTTCTTAGGTTTTGGTGGAAACAGTTGGCATTTCATTACGAGTGAGGTCTTTAGAGATTATCTGTGAGATTTTTGATGCATCCATCACCTAAGCAGTATACACTAAACTCAATTTGTATTGTATTATTCCTTATCTCCCTCCCTCCTTTCCCCTCAATCCCCAACATCCATTATACCATTCTTATGTTTTTCACCCTCATAGCTTAGCTATCTCTTATAAGTGAGAACATATGATGTTTTGTTTTTCATACCTACTTAAGTAACTTCATGTAGAATAATAGTATGTACTTCCATCCAGGGTCCTGTGAATGCCATTAATTTCTTTTTATGGCTGAGTAGTATTTTAGTGTGTGTGTATATATATATGGTGTGTACATATATATGTAGTATTTTGTGTATATATATGGTGTGTGTACATATATATGTAGTATTTCATATATATGCAGTATTTTGGTATGTGTTTATATATATATGGTGTGTGTACATATATATGTAGTATTTTGTGTATATATATGTAGTATTTTGGTGTATGTGTATATATATGATGTATGTGTATATATATGTAGTATTTTGGTGTGTGTGTATACATACATATATACATGTATATACACACATATATGTATGTATGTATGTGTACATATATGTATGTATGTGTACATATATGTATGTATGTGTACATATATGTATGTATGTGCACATATATGTATGTATGTGTACATGTATGTATGTATGTGTACATATATGTATGTATGTGCACATATATGTATGTATGTGTACATATATGTATGTATGTGTACATATATGTATGTATGTGTGCATATATGTATATATGTATGTGTACATATATGTATGTATGTGTACATATATGTATGTATGTATGTGTACATATATGTATGTATGTGTACATATATGTATGTATGTATGTGTACATATATGTATATATGTATGTGTACATACATATGCACTTCCATATATACATGGATAAATATACACACACCAAAATACTACATATATATACATACACCATATATATATACTCACACCAAAATACTACATATATATACACAAAATACTACATATATGTACACACAGCATATATATACACACACACCAAAATACTACATATATAAATACACCATATATATACACACACCAAAATACTACATATATATACACAAAATACTACATATATGTACACACACCATATATATATACACACACATCAAAATACTACATATATATACAAAATACTACATATATATATACACACCATGTATATACACACCAAAATACTACATATATATACATATACAAAATACTATATATATATACAGCTTCTTTATCAACTAGTCGATTGACAGAAATTTGGGCTGGTTCCATTTTTTGCAATTGTAAATTGTGCTGCTATAAAAATGCATGTGCAAGTATGTTTCACATATAATAACTTTTTTTCTTCTGGGTAGATACCCAGTAGAGAAATTTCTGGATCAAATGGTCGTTCTACATTTAAAAATCTTCACAGTGCTCTCCATAGTGGTTGTACTAGTTTACATTTCCACCAACAGTGTAAAATGTTCCCTTTTAACCACATCTACACTAACTTTTTTTTTAAATTATGGACATTCTTGCAGGAGTAATGTGGTATCACGTTGTGATTGTGATTTTTATTTGCATCCCTGATTATTATTAATGTTGAGCATTTTTAAACATGTTTGTTGTTCATTTGTATATCTTTTTTTGAGAATTGCTTATTCATGTTGTTAGCCCATTTTTTGATAGGATTTTTTGTTTTTTCATTGTTAATGGGTTTGAGTTCCTTGTAGATTTTGGATATTATCTTCTGACAGATATATAAATTGTAAATATTTTCTTCCACTCTGTGGGCTGTTTACTCTGCTGACTGTTCCATTTGCTGTGTAGAAGCTCGTTAGGTTAATTATGTTTCACCTATTTATCTGTGGGTGTTTTTGTTGCATTTGCTTCTGCATTCTTGGTCGTGAAGTCTTTGCCTAAGCAAATGTCTGCAAGGGTTTATCTGATGTTATCTTCTAGAATTTTTATAGTTTAAGGTCTTAGATTTGAGTTCTTGATCCATCTTGAGTTGAGGTTTTTATATGGTGAGAAATGAGTATCCAGTTCCATTCTCCTACATGTGGCTTCCCAATTATCCCAGTACCATTTGTTGAAAAGGATGTATTTACCCACTTTATGTTTTAGTTTGCTTTGCCAAAGATCAGTTGACCACAAATATTTGGCTTTATTCCTGGGTTCTCTATTTTGTTTCATTGGTCTATGTGCCTATGTTTGTACCAGTACCATGTTGTTTTGGTGACTGTGGCCTTATAGTGTAGTTTGAAGTCAGGTAATGTAATGCCTCCAGATTTGTTCTTTTTTCTTTGTCTTAGCCTTGCTTTGGCTAGACAGGCTTTTTTTTTTTTTTTTTTTTTTTTTTTTTTTGGTTGCATATGAATTTTAGGATTTTTTCTCTGCTTCTGTAAAGAATAATAGTGGTATTTTGATGAAATTACATGTAATTTTTAGTTGCCTTTGACAGTATGGTCATTTTCTCAATATTGATTCTGCTTAGCTATGAGCATGAAATGTGTTTCCATTGGTTTGTGTCATCTATGATTTCTTTCAGCACTGTTTTGCAGTTTTCCTTGCAGGGGTCTTTTATTTCCTTGGTTAGTTATGTTTCTAAGTATTTTTTGCAGCTATTTTAAAAGGAGTGGAGTTCTTGATTTGATTCTCCAGTTGGTTGCTGTTGGTATATAGCAGAGCTACTGATTTGTGTACATAAATTTTGTATCCTGAAATTTTGCTGAATTTATTTTTCAGTTCTATATGGTTTTTGGAAATGTATTGAGCATTTTCTAGGTATATGATTAAATCATCAGCAAACAGGGACAGTTTGACTCCCACTCTACCAATTTAGATATCTTAATTTTCTTCTCTTGTCTGACTACATTAGCTAAGACTTTCAGTTCCATGTTGAATATAAGTGGTGAGAAAGGGCATCCTTGTTTTTTTTCAGTTCTCAGAGAAAACACTTTCAAGTTTTCTTCACTCAGTATTATGTTTGCTGTGAGTTTGTCTTATGTGGTTTTTATTACACTGAGGTATGTCCCTTTTATGACAACTTTGCTGGGGGTTTTAATCACAAAGCGATGTTGGGTTTTGTCAAATACTTTTATCTGTGTCTATTGAGATGATAATATGATTTTTGTTTTTAATTATGTTTAGGTGGTAAATCACATTGGTTGAGGGTTAAAGCATCCCTGCATCCCTGGCATAAAATCCACATGATCATAGTAGATTATCTTTTTGATATATTGTTGAATTCAGTCAGCTATAGCGTTTGGTTAAGGATTGTCACATCTATATTAATCAGAGATATTGATCTGTAGTTTTATGTTGTTGCTATATTATTTCTTGGTTTTGGTAATAAGGTGATACTGGCTTTCTCTTGTGGAATATTATCGATAGATTCAAAGCATTTTTTTTTTTTTTTTTGAATCCCTGATAGAATTCAGTGGTGAATCCATCTAGTCCTGGCCTTTGTTTTTGTTGTTGGTAATTTTTAAATTACTTTTTCAATCTCACTCCTTGTTATAGGTCTGCTAAGGGTTTCTAATTCTTACCAGTTTATGCTAAGAGGGTTGTACATTTTCAGGAATTTTTTCATTTCTTCTAGGTTTTCTAGCTCCTGTATGTAAAACTGTTGATAGTAGTCTTGAACAATCTTTTGTATTTCTGTGGTGTCAGTTGTAATATCTCTCATTTTCTTTCTAATTATTTGGATCTTCTCTCTTCTTTTCTTGGTTCATATTGCCAATGGTCTATCAATTTTATTTGTCTTTAAATAACTGCTTTTTGTTTCTTTTATGTTTTGTATATTTTTGTTTCAGTTTCACTTAGCTCCTCTCTGATCTCAGTTATTTCCTTTCTTCTGCTGAGTTTTGGATTGGTTTCTTCTTTCTTTAGTTCCTTGAGATGTGATGTTAGATTGCCTATTTGTGCTCCTTCAGTCTTTTTTAACATAAGGGTTTAAAGCTATAAGCTTTCCTCTCAGCAGCCACTTTGCTGTATCCTGGAGGTTTTTATAGGTTTTTTTCACCATTATTGTTCAGAGCAAAAAAATTTTTAGTGTTTATCTTGATTTCATTTTTGATCCAATGATCATTCTGGAGCAGGTTATTTAATTTCTATGTATTTACAAGGCTTTGAAGGTTCCTTGGAACCTTCAAAGGTTTCTTTTTTCTTTTTTTTTTTTTTTAGACTGAGTTTCACTCTTGTTGCCCAGGCTGAAGTGCAATGGTGTGATCTCAGCTCACTGCAACCTCTGTCTCCTGGGTTCACATAACTCTCCTTCCTCAGCCCCCTGAGTAGCTGAAATTACAGGCATGCACCACCATGCCCAACTAATTTTGCATTTTTGTAGAGACAGGGTTTCTTCATGTTGGACAGGCTGTTCTCGAACTCCCAACCTCAGGTGATCTACCCATCTCAGCCTCTCAAATTGCTGGAATTACAGGCATGAGCCACTGCACCTGGCCTGGAGTTGGTTTTTAATTATATTCCAGTGCGTTCTGAGAGAGTACTTGATATAATTTCAATTTTCTTAAATTTATTGAGGCTTGTTCTGTGGCCTATCATATGGTTTATCTTAGAGTAAGTTCCATCTGCTAAGGAATAGAATGTATATTCTGTAGTCATTGGGTAGAATGTTCGGTAAATACCTATTCTATTTTTCTTAGGTTAGAGTTTAAATCCCTTGTTTCTTTGCTGACTTTCTGTCTTGATAACCTGTACAGTGCTGTAGCCACAGTATTTAATTCCCACATTATTTCAGTGTTGCTATCTATTTTATTTCTTAATTTAGTAGCAATTGTTTTATAAATTTGGGAGTTCCAGTGTCAGGTGCATATATATTTAGGATTGTAATATTTTTCTGTTTGACAAGGCCTTTTATCATAGTATTATAATTCACCATCTTTTTTAACTTATGTTACTTTAAAGTTTGCTGTGTCTAAAATAAGAACAGCTACTTTTGCTCAACTTTGGTGTCCATTTGCATAATTTTTTTTTCACCCATTTACTTTAAGTTTATGTGAGTCCTTATGGGTTAGGTGAGTTTCTTGAAGATAGCTGATACTTGATTGGTGAATTCTCATTCATTCTGCTATTCTCTGTTTTCTAAGTGTAGCATTCAGTCCATTTACAGTTGACATTATTATTGAAATGTGAGATACTCCTCCATTCATTGTGCTGTTAGATGCCTGAATACACCTTCTTTAATTTTTATTTTTATAGGTCCTGTAAGATTTATGCTGTAAATATGCTCTGTTTTGATGCATTTCTAGGATTTGTTTGAAGATGTAGAGGTTTTTTTTGGCGGGGGGAGTTTCTTTAAGTGCTGGCTTGATAGTGGTGAACTCACTCATCATTGGTTTGTCTAAAAAATATGTATGTTTCCTTTAGTTATGAAGCTCAGTTTCACTGGATATGAAATTTTTGGCTGATAATTGCTTCATTTAAGGAGGCTAAAAATAAGCCCCAATTCCTTCCAGCTTGTGGGGTTACTGCTGAAAAATCTGCTGTTAATCTAATAATCTTTATAAGAATCTATAATTCTTTATAAATTATCTAGTGCCTTTTCTTCACAGCTATTATGATTCTTTCCTTCCTCTTGACTTTAGAAAGCCTAACGACAATGTCTCTTGGTGATGACATTTTTGCAATAAATTTCTCAGGTGTTCTTTGAGCTTCTTGTGTTTGGATGTCTACATCTCCAGCAAGGCCAGAAATTTTTTCTGAATTATTATTTCCTCAAATACATTTTCTAAAATCTTAGATTTCTCTTCTTCCTCAGAAATGTCTATTATTCTTAGGTTTAATTACTTAACATAATCCCAAATATCATGGAGGCTTTCTTCTTCTTCTTTTTTTTTTTTTTTTTTTTTTTGTCTTTTTTAGATTGGGTTAATTCAAAACTCTTTCTTTGAGGCCTGAGGTATTTTCTCATACTTGTTTGATTCTATTGCTGAGACTTTCTGGTACTTTTTGCATTTTTCTAAGTGTTTCCTTTATTTCTTGAAATTGTAATTGTTTAATGCTATCTATTTCCTGACAGTTTATTTTCTCTGGTGGTGCCGTGTTTACTTTAATAATCAAAACATTCAAATTCTTCTTCAGGCAATCCAGGGATTTTTTTCTTAGTTTAGATATACTGCTGGTGAGCTAATGTGACATTCTGTGGATGTTAAAGAACCTTGTTTTGTCAAATTACCAGTTACTTTTCCAGTTTCTTCTCCTTTGGGTTGGCTATTTCAGAAAAAAGATCTGGGGCTTATGGCTGCTGTTCAGATTCTTTTCTTCCTTGGGGTTCTCTCGATGTAGTACTCTGCCCCTCTTACTAGAGATGTGGCTTCCTCTGAGCTGAATTGTAGTGATTTTTATTTTTCCTCAGGATCTAGCCACTCAGCAAGCTAACAAGCTCCACACTGATACTAAAGTGCAGAGTCCTGTGATGTGAACCATATTCAGGTCTCTTAGCCATGGATACCAGCACTAGCACCAGTGGAGGTGAAAGGGAAGTACAATGGGCTCTGTGGGGGTACTTAGTTGTATAGTTCTTTAATGCATTAGTGTAGTGCTGGTTGACATCCTCTCAGAAGCTGGTGCTTTCAAGAGAGCACTAGCTGTGGTAAGTATAGAAAGGATCAGACAGTGGATGCACCCGCAGAACTCTCAATAGAATAAGACGTTTGTCCTCAGCTACAATGTTACAAGCTTGGATAGGAAAGGACCATCAGGTGGAGGAAGGGTGAGATGAGTCTGAGCTCAGACTCCCTTCTGGAAGGTCTTGCTGCTGCTGCTGCTATGGGGATGGGGATCTGGTTTTCAGGTCAGTGAGTTATGTTCCCAGGAGGTTTATGGCTGCATCTGTTGTGCCATTCAGGTTTTCAGAGATGTGGGGAAAATTCAGCATTTACAGGCCTCACTCAGCTTCCATACAACCCAAAAATCCAGTTTCACTCCCACAGTGTTCCTCTCAGCAGCACTGAGTTAGTTTCCAGACAGTGAGCCAGCAGGACTGAGAACTTGAACCAGGATACTGAGAAAGCAAGCAGGACTTTCCCCGCTCCCTGCCTGTCAAGTCTGCACGCTGGATTAATTTCTTCCTCGAGTTCTGACCAGGAGACTTCATATTTGATTGTAATTGTTTAAAATTTCAGTTGGAGGTTCCTTTCTTCTTGTAGTCTTTTTCCAGTTCCTCTGGCATTCACCATGAAGACCCCAGGGAGAAAAGTAAGAAATTACTTTCTTGGGGACCCAGAGAACTCAAAAGGCTTTTCCCACTGCCTCCTCTACCCAGGTATTTGGCTTGGCTCTCTAAATTAACTCAGCTTCAGGTGAGCTGCAATTCTACTATCCTGACATCGACATTTAGGTTCCCTAGTGGGGTGTGTTTTCAGGGGCAAATGATCCCATTCTCCCACTTCCACAATTTGGACAGTCTCAGTATTTGGATTGTCCCCAGGTACTGCAGAAGTAATTTGTTTTTGCTTTTTGTTTTTTCCAAAGAGTCTCTGGACTATCTCACCTTTCCTGGTATATTTCTGCAGTAGTTATTGAAATAAGAGTTCACAGTGCAGGTCTCCACCTGCTGCCCTATCTGTCCCAGCTGGAGCTGCAGTTTAGTCCTGCCTCCTGTCTACCATTTTTTTTTTCTGATGTCTTCCAAAAAAAAAAAAAAAAGGCCCTTCCTTTATTAATGTTTGTTATTCTTTGAATCATTTTATGTTTATTATTTTTTATTTGATTTTTGTTAGGTTTTTTCTTGTACTAATCTTTGGTTTGACTTGCTGTTGCTTGTTTAGTCTTTTAAATTCATCAGTAGTTAATTTATCTAATTTTTTCTTCTTTATTTGAGGTAGACACGTAACGTTTTTTCTTAGTACTGCTTACACTGTACTTTATAGATTTTGTTATCTTGTGTCTCTTTCATTATATGTTTCAAGTCTTTTTAAATTTCTTAATTTCTTTATTAACCCAGCCATACAGGACCATATTGTTTAATTTCTATGTTTGCATAGATCCCCAAAATTCATCATGTTATTTGTTTGTAGTTATATTGTGTTGTGGTCAAAGAAGATACTTTATATTATTTCAAGTTTTCAAATGTTTTCCGACCTTTTTAGAAGCTAATATATAGACATAAGACTTGTATTGTGACCTAACATAAATTATACTAATAAATGATAGTTGTGCTTCATAAAAGATGGTATTCTGCAATCATTAAATAAAATGTCCTCTAAAGATCTACTAACACCATTTTGTCTATAGCGCCAACTAAGTTCAGTGTTTCTTTGTTAGTTATCTGTCTGGAAAATATTTCTAATGCTAAGAGGTGGAGAATGAAGTCTCCAGCTCTTATTATACTTGGATCTATTTTTCTCCTTGACTGTAATCTTGTTGCTCCAGTATTGGGTGCCTATGTTTTTACAATAATTTTTTCTCCCAAAATAGATTCTCATATTACTATATTACCACCTTACTCTCTGTTCTTACAATTTTTATCATGAAGTATATATTGTTTCATGCACACATAGCTACTCCTGCTTTCTTTGTATTTGTTTTTAGATATTTTGCTTGGGATACCTATTTTCATTCCTTTATTTTCAGTCTATGCATATATGTGATATGTATTTCTGTACCAAATAGATTATTGTTTTGTTTCTCTATTCATTCAGCTACTCTATGTATTTTCATTGGAGAGTTTACTATATTTATATGAATATTATGTTATTCGTAAATAAAAATTTACTTTTTAAATATTATTATTTAGTTCTTTTTTTGGTTTCTTTCTGCTTTTATTTCTATATTCTTTTTAGTAAAGATAAAAAATAATTTCTCATGATATGATTAAATTTTCTGCTTTTCATTTTTGGGTATCTGTTTTATGTTTTTCAATTTGAGCATATCATAGGGGTTGTAAATACTATGTTATAGCTCATTATTTTAAATGCATGGCCACTGAACACTGATTGTGTAAACATACAAACATACAAAACATAAACTAAAGAAACTCTACATTTGAACTTAATCTCCCCAATTTTTAATCTTTCTTTGTTTCTCTTTATGTTTTATCATACTATTTCTTGGTGTGTTGCTGTAGTTATTATTTTTGATTGGTTTATTATTTAGGTTTTCTACTAAAGATATGAATAGTGTACATACAAAAATTACAGTGTTTGAATGTTCTGTATTTTTTGAGTGCTTACTATTATCAATAAATCTCACACATTTAGATAATTTCTCTTCTCATTAATAATTTTTTCAGGTACAAAAACTGCCTATGGTACTTCTAATAGGACAGGTCTGGTGTTGATAAAAATCCCTTATCTTTTGTATCTTTTAATAGGTCTTTATTGCTCTTTCATGTTTGAAAGATATTTTTCACCAGGTGTACTATTCTGTTTATTCAATAACACAAATAGTCTCAAAATAAATAAAAAAGAAGAAAAACCTATCAAGCAAATAGAAAACAGAAAAAAGCAGGGGTTGCAGTCATAGTTTCTGACAAAACAGATTTTAAGCCAACAAAGATAAAACAAGACAAATAATGGCATTTTATAATGGTAAATATTTTGATTCAACAAGAGGATCTATCATATATATGCACCCAACACAGGAACACCTTGGATTATAAAGTGAGCTGCTAGAAACCATCAAAGATACTTAACCACCCATACTACAATAGTGGAAAACTGTAACACCCCACTGACAATATTAGACAAATCATCAGACAAACCATTAGATCTAACTATCGTATATAGGCACCCAACACAGGAACACCCAGGATTATAAAGTGAGCTCCTGGAAACCATCAAAGATACTTAAACTGCCACTCTACAATGGTGGAAAACTTTAACACCTCGCTGACAATATTAGACAAATCATCAGGATGAAAAATTAAAAATTATACTCAAGAACTGAACTCAGTGCTAAATCAAATAGACCTGATAGACATCGACATAACTCTTTACACAAAAACAACAGATTATACATTCTTCTCATCAGTACATGGTACATACTTTAAAACTGATCACATAATCAAAAGTAAAACATTTCTCAGCAAATGCAAAAGAACTGAAACTATAACAATCTCTCAAACCACAATGCAATCCAATTAGAAATCAAGACAAAGAAATTCATTGAAAAACAAGACAAAGAAATTCATTGAAAAGAAATTCATTGAAAACGCAATTATATGCAAATTGAATAACCTGTTCCTGAATGACTTGTGAATGAGTAATAAAATTAGGGCAGAAATTATGAAGTTATTTTAAACTAATGAGAACAAAGATACCAATACTAGAATCTCTGGGACACAGGTAATGCAGTTTTAAAAGAAGATTTTACAGCACTAAATGCTTATATCAAAATTTAGAAAAATCTTAATTTAATAATATATTATTATAACTAAAATAATTAGAGAACTAAAAGCAAACAATTCCCAAAGCTGGCAGAAATAACCAAAAATCAGAGCTGAATTGATAGAGACAAAAAAAAATTCAAAATGTAAACAAATTTAGGAGTTTTTAAAAAAATAACAAAATAACCCACTTTCTAGATTAATAAGCAAAAATGAGATGATTTAAATAACAAAATTAGAAAACAAACCAAAGTGGATATTACCACTGACCTCACAAAAATACAAAGAATTATAAGAAAATATCATGTACATGTCTATGAATATAAATTAGAAAATATAAAAGAATTGATAAATTCTTGGACACATACATTCTCCGAAGACTAAGACAGAAAGAAATTTAAATCCTAAACAGAGCAATAATGAGCTCTGAAGTTGAATCAGTAGTAGTTAATCTACCAACTCGTAAAAGCTCAGAACTAGAGTATTCACAGGTGAATTCTACCAGCTATACAAAGAAGATCTGCTATTATTCCTGATGAAACTATTTCAAATAATTGAGGAGGAGGGACTTCTTGGTCAGCATTATCTTGATAAAACCTTGCAGACACACACAACCACACAGGCACATGCTCACACACACACACACACACACACACACACACACACAGATGTCAGGCCAGCATCCTTGATGAACAGCGATGAAATAATAGTGAACAAAATACTGGGAAACTGAATCAAGTAGAAAACCAATATAATGATTCACTGTGACTGAGTAGTTTTTATCTCTGGAATGCAAACTTACTTCAGCATATACAAATAAATATGACTAATCACATACCCAGAACTAAAATGTGATTATCTCCATAAATGCAAAATAACCTTTCATTAAAATCAACCCCTCTTTTTGTATTAAAAAAAAACTCACAATAAACTAGGTATTAAAGAAATATATCTCAAAATAATAAGACCTCATAGTAAGACAAACCCATGGCCAACCTCATCCTCAACTGGCAAAAGCTGTACGCATTCTTCCTTGAAAACCACTACAGGAGAATGCTGTCTTTCATCTCTCCTATTTAACATAGCATTGAATGTCCTGTCCAGAGCAGTCAGGAAAGAGGAATAAATAAAGTGTTCTCAAATAGAAAAAGAAGAAATCATACTATTCCCCTTTGCAAACAACATGATTCTATATGTGAATAACCCTGTAGATTTAACCCCAAATATCCTAAATTTAAAAGACAACTTCAGCGAAGTCTAATAATACAAATTCAATGTGCAAAACTTGCTAACATTCCTGTATATAAATAGCAACTAAGCAGAGAGCAAAATCAGGTACACAATATTATTTACAATTGCCACACACACACACAAAAAAACACCTAGGAATAGTTCTAACCAGGGAGGGGAAATATCTCCATAGAAAGAACTACAAAACACTGGTCAAAAGAACAAGGGAGAACATCAACAAATGGAGTATATTCCGTGTTCATGGATAGAAAAACAAAATCAGTTTTTGTGTGTGTGTGTTTTTTTTTTTTTTTTGAGATGGAGTCTCACTCTGTCAACAGGCTGGAGTGCACTGGCACAGTCTCGTCTCACTGCAACCTGTGCCTCCTGTGTTCAAGTGATTCTCCTGCCACAGCATCACGTGTAGCTGGGAATATAGGTACCCGCTACAATGCCCAGCTAATTTTTGGTACTTTTAGTAGAGATGGGGTTTCACCATGTTGGCCAGGATGGTCTCGATCTCTTGACCTCGTGATCCACCTGCATCAGCCTCCCAAAGTGCTGGGATTACAGGCATAAGCCACCACACCTGGCTCAAAATGAGTATTATTAAAATGCCCATACTGCCCACAGCAATTCATAGATTCAGTGCTATTTTATTAAACTACTATTGACATTCCTTATAAAACTAGAAGAAAAACTATTTAATTTTTTTGTGGAAACCCAAAAAAAGGCCAACTACCCAAGGCAATCCTAAGCATAAAGAACTAAGCTGAAGGCACCATGGTACCAAACTTCAAACCATACTACACAGTTACAGTAACAAAAACCACATGGTACTGGTATCAACAAAGACACAGAAATAAACTAAACAATATAGACATCACAGAAACAAAGCTGAGCACATATAACTATCTGATATTTAACAAAGCTTACAAAAACAAGCAATGTATAAAGGATTCTTTATTTAAGAAATCGTGCTGAGATAACTGCCTAGCCATATTCAAAAGATTGAAACAAGACACATTCTTACATTATATACAATCATTAACTGAGGATAATTAAAGACTTCAATGTACAATCATAAACTGTAAATACCCTGAAAGGTAACCTATGCAGTATCATTCTGGAATTGTGAACTGGTAAAGATTTTATGATGAAGACACCAAAAGTAATTGCAACAAATGCAAAGTTGACAAATGAGATCTAATTAAACTTAATAACTTCTACACATAAAAATAATTCGTCAATATAATGAACAGAGAACTTATAGAAAGGGAGAAAACATTTTACAAACTATGTAGCTGATAAAAGTTTAATATTAAGCATCTATAAGAATCTTAAATTTACAATTAATAAACAAATAATCCTATAAAAATTGTCACCAAAGAACATGAAATGGACAGTTTTTGAAAAAGACATGCATGCAAACAACAAACATATTTTTTTAAAAATAAAGCTTATCACTGATATTAGAGAGGTGCAGATTAAAACCACGATGAAATGCCATCTCATATCAATCAGAATGTCTATTGTTAAGAAGTCAAAAAAATAAAAATAAAAAAAAAGATGCAGCAAGTTTACAGAGAAAAAGGATGACTTGGCTGAAGTCTTTATCTCCAGTTAATGATATGAAAGTGTAAAATAGCTTAGCCAATTTACAAGACATTGGGGTGATTTCTCAAAGGCCTAAAACAAAAATACTATTTAACTGAACAATCGCATTTCTGGATATATATCCAAATGAATATAAATAGCCCTCTTATAAAGATACATGCACGTGTATGTTCAATGCAGCATTATTCACAATAGCAAAGAGATGGAATCAACCAATATGCTCATCAATGGTTGACAGCATAAAAAAAAGTGGAAGCGGTAAACGCACATCATGAAATGTTATACATTATACATTATGAAACATAACGAGATCATGTCATTTGCAGAAAAATGTTTAAGACAGAAAGCCTACCAAAAAACAATAAACCTAAACTATACACTAGAAGACATAGAATTCAAAGCTAGAAGATATGGAATTCAAGGCTACAATGAACACCTTTACAGAGACAAACTAGAAAACCTACAGAAGACAAATAAAATCTTGGAAATAGATGATCCTCCTAGATTAAACTGGAAAGAAATCTAAACTATGGACAGATGGACAACAAGCAGCAAGCTTGAAAGAGTAATTTTTTTAAAAAATGAAAACACAAAAACCCTATGATTGATGGATTCACATCTGAATTTTGTCAGACATTCAAAAAAGAAGTGGTACCACACCAGTCCTACTGAAACAATTTCAAAATACAAAGAAGGAATCCTCCCTAAATTTTTCCATGAAGCAAGTATTGTGTCCTAATACTAAAACTAGGAAATAACATAATAAAAACTAAACTACAGACCAAGATTCCTCATGAACATAGATGCAAAATTCTCAACAAAATACTGGCTAACCAAATTGAAAAACATATTTAAAAGATAATACATCATAATCAAGCAAGTTTCACACAAGAGATACAGGGACGATTTAACATTTGTAAGTCAAGAAATGTGATACACCACATAAAAATAATTAAAAACAAAATTATATAATCATCCCAATAGATGCAGATAAAGAATATGACAAAATTCAGCATCACTTTATGATTAAAAGCTTCAGTGAAATTGGCAGAGACACACCTTAAGGTGATAAAAACCATCTATGACAAACCCACACCTGAAATTATACTCAGTGGGGAAAAGTTGAAAGTATTTTCCTAAAGAACTGGAACAAGACAAGAATGGCCACTTCCATCACTTTTATTCAACATAGTACAGACAGTCCCAGGCAGAGCAAACAGACAATACAAAAAAGATAAAAGAGCATTTAAATCAGTAAACAGAAAGTCAATGTGTTGCTATTTGCCAGTTATATAATTATATATCTAGAAAACATGAAAGACCAATTTGTAAGGCTCCTAGATCTGATAAATGAATTTAGTAAAGCTTCAGAACACATAATCAATGTACTCAAATCACTAGCACTCTGAAACACCAACAGCAACCAACCTGAGAAATGAATCAAGAACTCAACATGTTCTCACTCATAGGTGAGAACTGAACAATGAGAACACTTGGACACAGCAAGCGGGACATCACACACTGGGGCCTGTTGTGGGGTTGGGGGAGGGGGGAGAGATAACACTAGGAGATATACCTAGTGTAAATGACCAGTTAATGGGTGCAGCACACCAACATGGCACATGTATACATATGTAACAAACCTGCACGTTGTGCACATGTACCCTAGAACTTAAAATATAATAATAAAAAAATTAAAAAAAGAACTCAACCCTTTTAACAATAGCTGTAAAAAGTAAAATACATAGGAATATACCTAACCAAGAAAATGAAAGCCCTCTGCAAGGAAAACTACAAAATAGTCCTAAATTTTGTTTTTCAGAGAAGTAGAAATACAATGCTAAAATTCACGAGGACACAAAAAAAGAGCCTGCACAGTCAAAGCAAGACTAACCAGTAAGAACAAATCTGGAGGCATCACATTATACAACTTAAACTATACTGGAAGGCTGCAGTTACCAAAACAGCATGATATAGTTATAAAAACAAGGAGACAGACCAATGGATCAGCATAAAGAACCCAGAAATAAAATAAAATATAAAATTGGAAAAACTCTTCTAGACATAGGCTTAGGCAAAGAGTTCACAACCAAGAAAACAAAAGCAAATGCAGTGAAAACAAAGATATATATATGGGACTTAATTCAACTGAAAAACCTCATTCTGCTTGGCAGAGGAAACAGACAACCCACAGAGTGGGAGAAAAATTTTACAATCTATGTATCTGACAAAGGACTAATATCCAGAATATACCAAGAACTCAAACAAATCAGCAAGGGTAGAAAAATAGTGTCATTAAAAATTTGAAAAGAATTGAATAGCCAATTCTGAAAAGAAGATATACAAATGACAAACAAACATTTTAAAAAAATGCTTAACTTCATTAATTACCAGGAAAATGCCAATCAAAACCACAATGCAGTACCACCTTACCATGCAAGAATGATCATAATTTTAAAATTATAGGTGTTGGCATGAACATCGTGAAAATGAAACACTTTTACACTACTGTTGGGAATGTAAACTAGTAGACTTACTATGGAAAACAGTGTGGATATATTTAAAAGAACTAAAAGTGGGTCTACCATTCAGTCCAGCAATCTCACTTCTGGGTATCTGCCCAAGGGAAAAGAAGTTATCCTGAAGCAACTCAGGAATAGAAAACCAAGCATCACATGTTCTCACTTATAAGTATGAGCTAATCTCTGAGGATACAAATGAATAAGAATAATAAAATAAACCTTGGGGACTTGAGGGGTAGAATGAGAGGAGAGTGAGAAATAAAAGAGTACATGGGCATCATGTACACTGCTTGCATGATAGGTGCACCAAAATCTCAGAAATCACCAATAAAGAAAGTATTTACATAACCAAACACCACCTGTTTCCCAAATTTTATCAAAACAATGAAATAAATACTATCTAAACAGAAAAAAAACCTTATAAAAAATAAAAAATAGATACACACCCATATACCTAGTTTTAGTTTTATACTGCTGAAAAGGGCACTACAAAGATGGAATAAAGTTTTGATTTACTGACGCCATTCCTGGCAGCAGTGGAGCAGAGTGTCTCTAGGTGCTGGGAGAGAAAGAATACAGCAGTTGTGAGGCATTGAACTCATCTTGTTCTGTTAAAGCAGAAAGAAATTGAAACAAAACTCAGCTGAAACCCACCCCCACAAGAAGTATTTATACCAGCAATAGTGTTGTAGGATTTTTGAGTTGTCAGTATTTTGACCAAAATCGTCTGTCGCTCATGGCAACTTTGCCCAAGTTTTGCTTGGGTCTTCTGGGCTCATTACCCTCTCAGCCTGGCAAGCTGCACTCGGCTCCTGCTACCAGCCTAGATCCATGCTTTCCAAGAGTGAGTCAGACATGGAGAAGTGATGGGAGTGTGACTGAACGTAAGGTCTGGCCAGTGCACAGAGACAGACATGCCAGCTGTTGCTGTGGGACAAGCAGTTCCAAGTTCTGTCATGAGCACTGGCTCACTCACAGGCTACAGCTATACCAGGAACACCACAAGCAGCTTCCCTGACAGGCATCAGGGAATGCAGTGGTGCCTGGAAGCTTGGAGACACCAGGAACTGCAGTGGCACAAGAGGCATCACAGCCCTGGCTCAGGAAGCTCTGATGTCTAGGTTCCGTGAATGGCCACACCTCTCCTCTCCTTCTCTTCATCAGTAATGTGGTGAGCATGGAACATGTTTTAGTCCTTTTTGTGCCACAGCTCTTTCAGCCTTGCCATTTAATGGGTCTCAATTTCTTGTTCTGAAACCAGGAAGAATGAGCTATGCAGACAAGTGGAGAATGAGGAAGATGAAGAGCTTTGTTAAGCAACTGAACAGTTCAAAGGAGACCCACAGTGAGCAGCTCCTCTCCATAGTCAGTTTTTCCTGATAGCTATTCCTCTCTCAGCAGAAAAGGTAGCTCCTCTCTGCAGCTGGTCATGTGGCATTTATTCAGCTTTCAGCCAAAAGTAGGTTCTCTCTGCAGCTGGTTGTCTCATTGACTCCTCAGCTCTTAGCAGTGAGGAGAGCCTGAGGTGGCAGTTCTTCTCTGCAGCTGGTTATCTCATCATCTACACATTGTCTGTCTGTTCTCTGCTCAAGTCTGGTTGAGTACAAGGTTTATATTAACCTCAGAGGGGAGGAAGTGTGTGGTGATTGGCCCATGGTTGGCCATGGGTGGGCCCAGAAAAAATCATGAAAAATTTCCCCTCCAGTTATTGGGACTGGTGGCCCATCCCTCAGGAATCAGGTCCTCCCTGGTTTGAAGATGGGGTTTAAGCAGGGACTAGCCCCCTTCCACCCAGGAACCTGTCTGCCTCATGTCAATCTTATGGTGCCCAGGTTGTTTATGCTAAGGGGTGTTCTCAGGTCAACACTGGGCTATCTTCAGACCCCCACTTGCCCCCCACTAAGGCTTATTGGCACCCAATGTCTAGAAGGGGCAGAGGCAGCAGGAAGCTGACATGTCATCACTGCCCTGATTATGTGAACCCCAAGCCAGACTGTGACAGCACCCAGCCTCTTTCCAACTTTGCTCCAAGATTAAAGCAGGTGCCAACAGTAGGGAGAAGCCTGGCTGTGAGAGAAGGCACTTCAGAGCCTGCAGGGAATGAGGGGTCAGTAAGCCTTTACATGCCCCTGAGATTGCAGAGATGTCTGGGCCCACAACCTCTGCAGGACAGCTGCAGCTGCATCCAGGGATGTTCTGCCATGCCGACTCAGAAGTAGAGAGGGTCTCATTTTCCCAGCTCCCACTGGCTCCATGGAGCATGCAGTCCTGGCTGCTCCTCATTACAGCCTGGGGCAGGGGCTGCAGGTCCTTGCTGGGTCCTTCTCTGTTTGCTTCTCCATGCCCAACCACACTGCTCTCCAGATGGTGTCTGGCCTGTCATGGTGGCCTTTAGATGGCAGGCCCTAGGGGGATTCCCAAGGGTAGGCTTTGGGGACTATCTGCCACCTCCTCTGTTGCAGCAGTGGAAAAGAGTAATGATGTAGGGCCAGGATCCAGAGCGGCAAAGTCTCTGGGCTTGGGACTCGGTCTCACCCAGTGATGCCAGTATGGGGGTGGTACAGGTGACAGCCTGGGGGATACAGGCACAGGGGACACAGGCACAGGATTTCCTCTGCCATTCTTGCTGCTCACACCTCCCTTCTGCAGCCTGTGTAATGGCAGTGGTCAATCTACATGTTCCACAGCTGCCATCAATAACAATAGGAAAATCATTGATCCCAGGAGTCAGAAGTCAAGATTCCACAAACCTGACCACCCAGGTATATAGTGCTTTGTGTCTCCAAGTAATCTTAAAAGGCATTCTATGTCATTAGAACTGTAACTCTTAGGTTAATTCTAGTTCTGACCTAGGCTCAGAGATACTGAACCGTTGAGCAGGTGGGTGGGTGTGTCACGTCATGCCAAAAGAATGCTGGCATTACCCCTCCCCTAATCCCAGGCTGCACATCTCATAGCAAAAACAAAACAAAACAAAAACAAACAAACAAACAAAAAAACTCACTTTCCTTCTGCATAAAGAGAAGAAAGAAAAAAGTAGAGAAGACTTGGTATTGCATCTTGGCTACACGCGCTAAACCACAGCAGTATAAAATTTGTCAGATCGTGGGGCCCTAAACTCTAAATGACATTTTAGACACACTCTGGACCAGAATAAAACCAGAAGTCTTTAAAAAAAAAAAAAAAAAAAAAAAAAAAAAAAAAAAAAAAAAAAAAAGGACATTATCCTGGCAGAGTATGTTACTACTCACAGAAGTACCTTTGGATCCTGAATAACCAACCAGCAGTGATACCCGGGTACTACACTGAAGGCTTTTAAAGAGTCTCTGAGGCTTGCTGGCTTGAGAAGAGACATAGAAAATTATCAACTGTGGTGGATATGTGGCAAAATTTCTTCTGATTGAAAAAATGAGGAAAAAGTAAAGAGAGCTTTGTCTTCTTAGGTAGCAGCAAACCCACATGTGGTGGATGGGTAGAACACCAAGTAGGTTCTTGGGATCCCATAATCCAGAATTTGACTTTTGGACTGCATTTCTGGACTTGCCCTGCCAGAGAAAAGCCCTAATAAGTGAATTCCAGGCCAGGAAGCATTCCATGAACACATAGGGTTAAGCAATACACATGGGGCATTTCAGGGGGTCTAAGGATGAGTGGGAGGAAGATCAAGAAAAATAACTAATGGGTACTAGGCTTAATGCCTGAATGATAAAATAATCTGTACAACAAACCGTCATGACACAAGTTTACCTATGTAAAAAATCTGCATTTGTTACATCCCTGACCTTAAAATAATAGTTTTAAAAAAACAACAAACTGTAAGGGAATATTGTCAGTAATCTTTCAGTAGTCTTTGTGGGTTGAGATGGTAGTGGTTACAGGATAAGGGCCTTCTGCCTTTAGAAAGAGGAGAAGAGTGGGGAAAAAAAAAAAGAACTGACTCATACCGCTTGAGTTCTAGCTCATCTGCAATAAAACAGAACACCAGTTAGAGTTCGGATGTTTTCGATTCTAGTTACACATTCCCATACAGCACTTCTGAATGCATGTGGAACCTGGGTCACCTTGCTGTGCTGAGGCGAAGAACACAGGCTTTGCTGTTTTGCCACTAGCTAATTGTAGAGCCACAAAGTCTAGGGTCAACATGGGTGGTAGCCCATGGGTGAGATCCAGTGCTGAGGTGGCTTCCATTTTGACCTAGTGCAGTCATAGCAGTGTTGGCTACAGAAGTTCTTTTTTCTCTTCACCTCCACTACTATGAAAAACAGTGTGGAGATTCCTTAAGGAACTATCATTTGATCCAGCAATCCCACTACTGGGTTTTAACAGGAAGATGAGGAAAAGCCTGGTAATTCACAAAGATATTTAAATTATTGTTACCAAAATGTGACAGTGACAAGAACAATGAAGTCCAGGCTAAGAACGTGTCAGATGAAGATGAGTAACTTACTGGAAACTGAAGAAAAGATCACCTTTGTTGCACATTATTAGGAAAGGGGTTGGAGGCCTTGTGCACTTGAGAGTGATAATTTAGGGTATTTGGAGAAATAAATTTCAAAAATATTCAAAGCATTCAAGCATTCAAGCATTCAAGATGTGGCCAGCTGTTTCCAGCTGTTTCTAGGAGCTTAAGTTTATATTCTTTAGCAAAGAAATAATGTAAAACTGAAAGTTATATTTGAAAGAAAACCACAGAGTAGAAATTTGAAAAACTTTTAGCTGGCATGTGGTAGAAAAAAAATAACATTTTCAGAGAGAAATGTAAGCTGTTGTAAAAATTTACATAAGTTAAGAAATTAAAGAAGACAAATGTTGACAGGCAAGATAATGAGGAAAATGCCTCAATGACATTTCAGAGACCTTAGTGGCAGTTTCTCTCATCATAGACCAAGATACTGAGGAGGACAGAATGATGTTACTGACCAGGACAAGAGTGCTGCTGCCCTGTGTCACCTCAGGACACTAATTTGTGCATCCCAGCTGCTCCAGTTCCAACCTCTGCTCAAAGTGCAAAAGGTACATCTTGGGGCCACTGTTTCAGAAGGTAAAGGACATAATAAGCCTTGGTAGATATGACACAGTGTAAGTCTTGTGGATACACAGAGTACAAAAGTTGAGGCTTGAGATCCTCTGCCTGAATTTCAGAGGATGTGCGGAGAAGCCTGAATGCCTAGGCAGAAATATGCTGCAGGCGCAGAGCCCTTATAGAGAACCTCTACTAGGGCAGTGCAGAAAGAAAATGTGGGGTTCACCGTTTATGTAAAAAATTACATAATTTTGTAAAAAATTTTATGTACAAAAATTAACATAAGGTGGATTTAAAAACTTGAATGTAAAACCTAAAACTATAGAGACTCTAGAAGAAAACCTAGAAAATACTATAATGCATATCAGCCCTAGTAAATACTTCATGATGCAGACTCTGAAAACAATTGCAATAAACGAAAAAAAAAAAAAATGGCAAGTTTGTCCAACTAAACAGCTTCTGCACCATAAAATAAATGGAGTAAACAGCGTGCAGGATGCAAAAATATATTTGCAAACTATGCATCCAGCAAAGCTATAATACCCAGAATCTAGAAGAAACTTACAAAGCAAAAACCAAAGAACCTCATTTTAAAAAAGAGACAAAGGACATGAACACACCCTTCTCAAAAGATGACATCCGGATGACAAATGAACATATATTTAAAGGTCAAATTTGTTAATAATTAAGTGCAAATCAAAACCACAATCTGATGCCATCTCACAAGTCAGAATGGCTATTATTAAGAAGCCAGGGGAGGGAAGAAAGATGGCAGACTAGAAGCAGCTGCACTGAATGTCTCTCACAGAGAGGAACAAAAACGGTGACTAAATAATGCACCTTCAACTGAAACATCCAGGCACGCTCATTGGGACTGATCAGGGAAATGGTTTGTCCCATGGAAAATGGAGAGAAGCAGAGCAGGATGATGGCCCACCCAGGAGCAACATGGAGAAAAGGAAATCCCCCACCCCCAGCCAGAGAAGTGGTGAGTGAATGTCTGAACCCAGGAAACCAAGCTTCTTCCATGGATCTCTGAAACACTCAGATCAGCAGATATCACTGTGAACAAGGGCCTTGGGCCCGACACATATAGCTGCATAGAATCTCACTAGAGCTGTTTCTCAGGCATGCACAGAGATCCAGGGGATTTACATAATCAGGGTCTGAGATCCATGACTAAGGTGACTGCAAGGTGACGTGGCAGTTCTATGAATACCCATAGGAAATGAGCTAAATCCAAGGGGCCAAGAAGATTTGGTCTGAGGTTCTCACTTCCACAGCATGTCAAACAATAAGGCTGACTTGGAATGCCAGCCAGCCACAGTCAACAATGTAGCACCAATCTGAAACAGGATGGAGCTCCCAGAGGAAGGTGGGGCCCCCACCTTTGCTGTTTGCACAACTCAGCAATTTCAGTCTGTGGTTTTGGAAAGTACAAATTGTTTGGGTGCAGAAGGGCTCCCCCAGCACAGAACAGCTGCTCTACCAAAACGTGGCCAGACTGCTTCATTAAACAGGACCTTTATCCATTCCTCCTCACTGGGTGACACCTCCCAAGCAGGGACTCCAGCCACACCTGCTTGTATTCTATAGACAACAGATTTCTAACTTCTCCCTAAGGCAAAGTGCCTGGGGGAGTGGCCAGCTGCCAATTTTTCTGTTTGTATGGCTCAGGTATTCCAGCCTGTGGGCTTAGGAAAGTCCAAACTGAGTGAGAAAGAGAGACACACCAGCACAGCACAGCTGCTATACCAAAAATGGCCAGACTACTGCTTCAAGTGTGACCCCAATCTATTTCTCCTCACTGGGTAAGACCTCCAAACCAAGACATCCAGCCTCCTCCTACAGGTGTATTTCAGTCATCAAAAATTTCATACTCCCATGGATTGCACTCACAGAGGAAGGTTCATACTGCTATCTTTGCTGTTTCATAGCCTTCGCTGGAGAAACCTCCAGGTACTGGAAAAGATGTGGTGACTAGGATCTGGAGCAGACCCCCAGCAAACTGCAGCAGCCCTACAGAAAATTGGGCAGACTGTCAGGCCTCTGAGCCCAAGCTAAGACATTGCATCCCCTGTGACTTGAACATATACGCCTAGATGGCCTGAAGTAACTGAAGAATCACAAAAGAAGTGAAAATGCCTTGCCCTGACTTAACTGATGACATTCTAACACAAAAGAAGTGTAAATGGCCGGTCCTTGCCTTAACTGATGACATTCTAACACAAAAGAAGTGAAAATGGCCGGTCCTTGCCTTACGTGGTGACATTACCTTGTGAAAGTCCTTTTCCTGGCTCATCCTGGCTCAAAAAGATCCCCCACTGAGCACCTTGTGACCCCCACTCCTGCCCACTAGAGAACAAACCGCCTTTGACTGTAATTTTCCTTTACCTACCCAAATCTTATAAAAACAGCCCCACCCCTATCTCCCTTCACTGACTGTCTTTTCAGACTCAGCCGGCCTGCCCCCAGGTGATTAAAAGCTTTATTGCTCACACAAAGCCTGTTTAGTGGTCTCTTCACACAGATACGCATGAAATTTGGTGCCTTGACTCAGATCGGGGACCTCTCTTGGGAGATCAATCACCTGTCCTCCTGCTCTTTGCTACGTGGGAAAGGTCCACTTACAACCTCAGGTCCTCAGACTGACCAGCCGAAGAAACATCTCACCAATTTCTTTTTGTGTTTTTTTTTTCAGCAGTAACATTTTATTTTATTTATTATTATTATTTTATTATTATTATTATTATACTTTAAGTTTTAGGGTACATGTGCACATTGTGCAGGTTAGTTACATATGTATACATGTGCCATGCTGGTGTGCTGCACCCACTAACTTGTCATCTAGCATTAGGTATATCTCCCAATGCTATCCCTCCCCCCTCCCCCCACCCCACAACAGTCCCCAGAGTGTGGTGTTCCTCTTCCTGTGTCCATGTGCTCTCATTGTTCAATTCCCACCTATGAGTGAGAATTTGCAGTGTTTGGATTTTTGTTCTTGTGATAGTTTACTGAGAATGATGATTGCCAATTTCATCCATGTACCTACAAAGGACATGAACTCATGAATTTTTATGGCTGCATAGTATTCCATGGTATATATGTGCTACATTTTCTTAATCCAGTCTATCATTGTTGGGAATTTGTGTTTGTTCCAAGTCTTTGCTATCGTGAATAATGTCGCAGTAAACACACGTGTGCATGTGTCTTTATAGCAGCATGATTTATTGTCCTTTGGATATATACCCAGTAATAGGATGGCTGGGACAAATGGTATTTCCAGTTCTAGTTCCCTGAGGAATCGCCACACTGACTTCCACATGGTTGAACTAGTTTACAGTCCCACCAACAGTGTAAAAGTGTTCCTATTTCTCCACATCCTCTCCAGCACCTGTTGTTTCCTGACCTTTTTTTTTTTTTTTTTTTTTTTTTTTTTTTTGAGACGGAGTCTCGCTCTGTCGCCCAGGTGGGACTGCGGACTGCAGTGGCGCAATCTCGGCTCACTGCAAGCTCCGCTTCCCGGGTTCACGCCATTCTCCTGCCTCAGCCTCCCGAGTAGCTGGGACTACAGGCGCCCGCCACCGCGCCCGGCTAATTTTTTTTGTATTTTTAGTAGAGACGGGGTTTCACCTTGTTAGCCAGGATGGTCTCGATCTCCTGACCTCATGATCCACCCGCCTCGGCCTCCCAAAGTGCTGGGATTACAGGCGTGAGCCACCGCGCCCGGCCTGTTTCCTGACTTTTTAATGATTGCCATTCTAACTGGTGTGAGATGGTATCTCATTGTGGTTTTGATTTGCATTTCTCTGATGGCCAGTGATGACGAGCATTTTTTCATGTGTTTTTTGGCTGCATAAATGTCTTCTTTTGAGAAGTCTCTGTTCATGTCCTTCACCCACTTTTTGATGGGGTTGTTTGTTTTTTTCTTGTAAATTTGTTTCAGATCATTGCAGATTCTGGATATTAGCCCTTTGTCAGATGAGTAGGTTGCAAAAATTTTCTCCCATTTTGTAGGTTGCCTGTTCACTCTGATAGTAGTTTCTTCTGCTGTGCAGAAACTCTTTAGTTTATTTAGACCCCAATTGTCAATTCGGCTTTTGTTGCCATTGCTTTTGGTGTTTTAGACGTGAAGTCCTTGCCAATGCCTATGTCCTGAATGGTATTGCCTAGGTTTTCTTCCAGGGTTTTTGTATTTTTAGGTCTAACATGTAAGTTTTTATTCCATCCTGAATTAATTTTTGTATAAGGTGTAAGGAAGGGATCCAGTTTCAGCTTTCTACATATGGCTAGCCAGTTTTCCCAGCACCATTTATTAAATAGGGAATTCTTTCCCCATTGCTTGTTTTCATCAGGTTTGTCAAAGATCAGATAGTTGTAGATATGCGGCGTTATTTCAGAGGGCTCTGTTCTGTTCCATTGATCTATATCTCTGTTTTGGTACCAGTACCATGCTGTTTTGGTTACTGTAGACTTGTAGTATAGTTTGAGGTCAGGTAGTGTGATGCCTCCAGCTTTGTTCTTTTGGCTTAGGATTGACTTGGTGATGTGGGCTCTTTTTTGGTTCCATATGAACTTTAAAGTAGTTTTTTCCAATCCTGTGAAGAAAGGTATTGTTAGCTTGATGGGGATGGCATTGAATCTGTAAATTACCTTGGGTAGTATGGCCATTTTCACGATAGTGATTCTTCCTACGCATGAGCATGGAATATTCTTCCATTTGTTTGTATCCTCTTTTATTTCCTTGAGCAGTGGTTTGTAGTTCTCCCTGAAGAGGTCCTTCACATCCTTTGTAAGTTGGATTTCTATGTATTTTATTGTCTTTGAAGCAATTGTGAATGGGAGTTCACTCATGATGTGACTCTCTGTTTGTCTGTTGTTGCTGTGTAAGAATGCTTGTGATTTTTGTACATTGATTTTGTATCCTGAGACTTTGCTGAAGTTGCTTATCAGCTTAAGGAGATTTTGGGCTGAGACAATGGGGTTTTCCAGATATACAATCATGTCATCTGAAAACAGGGACAATTTGACTTCCTCTTTTCCTAATTGAATACCCTTTATTTCCTTCTCCTGCCTAATTACCCTGGCCAGAACTTCCAACACTATGTTGAATAGGAGTGGTGAGAGAGGGCATCCCTGTCTTGTGCCAGTTTTCAAAGGGAATGCTTCCAGTTTTTGCCCATTCAGTATGATATTGGCTGTGGGTTTGTCATAGATAGCTCTTATTATTTTGAAATACATCCCATCAATAACTAGTTTATTGAGAGTTTTTAGCATGAAGGGTTGTTGAATTTTCTCAAAGGCTTTTTCTGCATCTATTGAGATAATCATGTAGTTTTTGTCTTTGGCTCTGTTTATATGCTGGATTACATTTATTGATTTGCATATATGGAACCAGCCTTGCATCCCAGGGATGAAGCCCACTTGATCATGGTGGATAAGCTTTCTGATGTGCTGCTGGATTCAGTATGCCAGTATTTTATTGAGGATTTTTGAATCGATGTTCAACAAGGATATTGGTCTAAAATTCTCTTTTTTTGCTGTGTCTCTGCCTGGCTTTGGTATCAGAATGATGCTGGCCTCATAAAATGAGTTAGGGAGGATTCCCTCTTTTTCTATTGATAGGAATAGTTTCAGAAGGAATGGTACCAGTTCCTCCTTGTACCTCCGGTAGACTTCGGCTGTGAATCCATCTGGTCCTGGACTCTTTTTGGTTGGTAAGCTGTTGATTATTGCCACAATTTCAGATCCCGTTATTGGTCTATTCAGAGATTCAACTTCTTCCTGGTTTAGTCTTGGGAGACGGTACATGTCGTGGAATTTATCCATTTCTTCTAGATTTTCTAGTTTATTTGCATAGAGGTGTTTGTAGTATTCTCTGATGGTAGTTTGTATTTCTGTGGGATCAATGGTGATATCCCCATTATCATTTTTTATTGCGTCTATTTGATTCTTCTCTCTTTTTTTCTTTATTAGTCTTGCTAGCGGTCTATCAGTTTTGTTGATCCTTTCAAAAAACCAGCTCCTGGATTCATTAATTTTTTTAAGGGTTTTTTGTGTCTCTATTTCCTTCAGTTCTGCTCTGATTTTAGATATTTCTTGCCTTCTGCTAGCTTTTGAATGTGTTTGCTCTTGCTTTTCTAGTTCTTTTAATTGTGTTGTTAGGGTGTCAATTTTGGATCTTTCCTGCTTTCTCTTGTAGGCATTTAGTGCTATAAATTTCCCTCTACACACTGCTTTGAATGCGTCCCAGAGATTCTGGTATGTTGTGTCTTTGTTCTTGTTGGTTTCAAAGAACATCTTTATTTCTGCCTTCATCTCGTTATGTACCCAGTAGTCATTCAGGAGCAGGCCGTTCAGTTTCCATGTAGTTGAGTGGTTTTGAGTGAGATTCTTAATCCTGAGTTCTAGTTTGACTGCACTGTGGTCTGAGAGATAGTTTGTTATAATTTCTGCTCTTTTACGTTTGCTGAGGAGAGCTTTACTTCCAAGTATGTGGTCAATTTTGGAATAGGTGTGGTGTGGTGCTGAAAAAAAATATATATTCTGTTGATTTGGGTTGGAGAGTTCTGTAGATGTCTATTAGGTCCGCTTGGTGCAGAGCTGAGTTCAATTCCTGGGTATCCTTGTTGACTTTCTGGCTCGTTGATCTGTCTAATGTTGACAATGGTGTGTTAAGTTCTCCCATTATTATTAATGTGTGGGAGTGTAAGTCTCTTTGTAGGTCACTCAGGACTTGCTTTATGAATCTGGGTCCTCCTGTATTGGGTGCATATATATTTAGGATAGTTAGCTCTTCTTGTTGAATTGATCTCTTTACCATTATGTAATGGCCTTCTTTGTCTCTTTTGATCTTTGTTGGCTTAAAATCTGTTTTATCAGAGACTAGGATTGCAACCCCTGCCTTTTTTTGTTTTCCATTTGCTTGGTAGATCTTTCTCCATCCTTTTATTTTGAGCCTATTTGTGTCTCTGCACGTGAGATTGGTTTCCTGAATACAGCACACTGATGGGTCTTGACTCTTTATCCAATTTGCCAGTCTGTGTCTTTTAATTGGAGCATTTAGTCCATTTACATTTAAAGTTAATATTGTTATGTGTGAATTTGATCCTGTCATTATGATGTTAGCTGGTTATTTTGCTCATTAGTTGATGCAGTTTCTTCCTAGTCTCAATGGTCTTTATATTTGGGCATGATTTTGCAGCGGCTGGTACCGGTTGTTCCTTTCCATGTTTAGCGCTTCCTTCAGGAGCTCTTTTAGGGCAGGCCTGGTGGTGACAAAATCTCTCAGCATTTGCTTGTCTGTAAAGTATTTTATTTCTCCTTCACTTATGAAGCTTATTTTGGCTGGATATGAAATTCTGGGTTGAAAATTCTTTCTTTAAAATGTTGAATATTGGCCCCCACTCTCTTCTGGCTTGTAGGGTTTCTGCCCAGAGATCCGCTGTTATTCTCATGGGCTTCCCTTTGAGGGTAACCCGACCTTTCTCTCTGGCTGCCCTTAACATTTTTGCCTTCATTTCAACTTTGGTGAATCTGACAATTATGTGTCTTGGAGTTGCTCTTCTCGAGGAGTATCTTTGTGGCGTTCTCTGTATTTCCTGAATCTGAACGTTGGCCTGCCTTGCTAGATTGGGGAAGTTCTCCTGGATAATATCCTGCAGCGTGTTTTCCAACTTGGTTCCATTCTCTCCATCACTTTCAGGTACACCAATCAAACATAGATTTGGTCTTTTCACATAGTCCCATATTTCTTGGAGGCTTTGCTCATTTCTTTTTATTCTTTTTTCTCTACACTTCCCTTCTCACTTCATTTCATTCATTTCATCTTCCATTGCTGATACCCTTTCTTCCAGTTGATCACATCAGCTCCTGAGGCTTCTGCATTATTCACGTAATTCTCAAGCCTTGGTTTTCAGCTCCATCATCTCCTTTAAACACTTCTCTGTATTTGTTATTCTAGTTATACATTCTTCTAAATTTTTTTCAAAGTTTTCAATTTCTTTGCCTTTGATTTGAATGTCCTCCTGTAGCTCAGAGTAATTTGATCGTCTGAAGCCTTCTTCTCTCAGCTCATTAAAGTCATTCATGCAGCTTTGTTCCATTGCTGGTGAGGAACTGCGTTCCTTTGGAGGAGGAGAGGCACTCTGCTTTTTAGAGTTTCCAGTTTTTCTGTTCTGTTTTTTCCCCATCTTTGTGGTTTTATCTACTTTTGGTCTTTGATGATGGTGATGTACAGATGGGTTTTTGGTGTGGATGTCCTTTCTGTTTGTTAGTTTTCCTTCTAACAGACAGGACCCTCAGCTGCAGGTCTGTTGGACTACCCCTGCTGTGTGAGGTGTCAGTGTGCCCCTGCTGGGGGTTGCCTCCCAGTTAGGCTGCTTGGGGGTCAGGGGTCAGGGACCCACTTGAGGAGGCAGTCTTCCCATTCTCAGATCTCCAGCTGCATGCTGGGAGAACCACTGCTCTCTTCAAAGCTGTCGGACAGGGACATTTAAGTCTGCAGAAGTTACTGCTGTCTTTTTGTTTGTCTGTGCCCTGCTCCCGGAGGTGGAGCCTACAGCAGCAGGCAGGCCTCCTTGAACTGTGGTGGGCTCCACCCAGTTCGAGCTTCCCAGCTGCTTTGTTTACCTAATCAAGTCTGGGCAATGGCAGGCACCCCTCTCCCAGCCTCGCTGCCACCTTGCAGTTTGATCTCAGACTGCTGTGCTAGCAATCAGTGAGACTCTGTGGGCGTAGGACCCTCTGAGCCAGGTGTGGGATATAATCTCTTGGTGCACCGTTTTTTAAGCCCATCGGAAAAGCGCAGTCTCAGGTGGGAGTGACCCAATTTTCCAGTTGCCATCGATCACCCTTTTCTTTGACTAGGAAAGGGAACTCCCTGACCCCTTGCACTTCTCAAGTGAGGCAATGCCTCGCCATGCTTCCGCTCGCACACAGTGCACGCACCCACTGACCTGCGCCCGCTGTCTGGCACTCC
Source organism: Homo sapiens (assembly GCF_000001405.40). Taxonomy (NCBI): domain Eukaryota; kingdom Metazoa; phylum Chordata; class Mammalia; order Primates; family Hominidae; genus Homo; species Homo sapiens. Next base: position 19,418,905 of record NC_000024.10, read on the forward strand.
CTAGTGAGATGAACCTGGTACCTCAGATGGAAATGCAGAAATCACCCGTCTTCTGTATCACTCATGCTGGGTGCTGTAGGCCAGAGCTGTTCCTATTCGGCCATCTTGGCTCCTAACTGCACATCTCACCAATTTCAAATCCAGTAAGCAGCCTTTTTTTTTACTCTGTTCTCCAACCTCCCTGACTATCCCTCAACCTCTTTCTCCTTTCAATCTTGGCATCACACTTCAATCTCTCCCTTGTCTTAATTTCAACTCCTTTCATTTTCTGGTTGAGACAAAGGAGACACATTTTATCCGTGGACCCAAAACTCTGGTACCAGTCATGGACTAGAGAAGGCAGCCTTCTCTTGGTGTTTAATCATTGCAGGGACACCTCTCTGATTATTCACCCAGGTTTCAGAGGTGTCAGAACACACAGGGATGCCTGCCTTGGTCCTTCACCCTTAGTGGCAAGTCCTGCTTTTCTGGGGGAGAGGCAAATACCCCAAACCCTTCTCTGCTTTTCTGGGGCAGGAGCAAGAACCACTCAACCCCTTCTTCTTCACCCTTAGCGGCAAGTCCCACTTTTCTAGGGGGCAAGAACCCCCAATCCCTTATTTCTGCTACCCACCTCTTATCTCTGCAACCCAATCCCTTATTTCTGTGCCCTGACCTCTTATCTCTGCACCCCAATCCCTTATTTCCACATTCCAACCTCTTAACACTGCTTCCCAGTCCCTTACTTCTGTGCCCCAACCTCTTATCTCTGCTTCCCAATCCCTTATTTCTGCACCTTGACTTCTTATCTCTGCATCCCAATCTCTTATTTCCACACCACTTATTTCCATGCCCTGACCCCTTTCCCACTTTTCTGGAGGGTAAGAACCCCTGAACCCCCTCCCTCCATGTCTCTACTCTCTTTTTTCTCTAGGCTTGCTTCCTTCACTATGGGCAACCTTCCACCCTCCATTCCTCCTTCTTCTCCCTTAGCCTATGTTCTCAAAAACTTAAAACCTCTTCAACTCATACCTGACCTAAAACCTAAATGCCTTATTTTCTTCTGCAACACTGCTTGGCCACAATACAAAGTTGGCAATGGCTCTAAATGGCCAGAAAATGGCACTTTTGATTTCTCCATCCTACAAGACCTAAATAATTTTTGTTGAAAAATAGGCAAATGGTCTGAAGTGCCTTACATCCAGGCATTTTTCACACTTCATTACCTCCCTAGTCTCTGTTCCCAATGTGATTCCTCCCAAATCCTCCTTCTTTCCTTCACACCTGTCCCCTCAGTCCCAACCCCAAGCATCGCTGAGTCTTTCCAGTCTTCCTTTTCTACAGATGCATCTGACCTTTCCCCTCCTCCCCCAGCTGCTTTTCGCCAGGCCAAGCTAGGTCTCAATTCTTCCTCAGCCTCCACTCCTCCACCCTATAATCCTTCTACCACCTCCCCTGCTCACTCCAGCTTACAGTTTGGTTCAATGACCTGTTCTTCCCCACCTGCCCAACAATTTCCTCTTGGAGAGGTGGCTGGAGCTGAAGGCATAGTCAAGGTACGTGTACCTTTTTCTCTACCAGACCTCTCTCAGATCAGTCAGCATTTAGGCTCTTTCTCATCAGACCCCACTAAATATACACAGGAATTCCAATATCTAACTCTGTCCTACAACTTAACCTGGAGTGACTTAAATGTCATCCTGACTTCTGCCCTCTCCCCAGATGAACGGGAAAGAGTTTTTTCTCTAGCCCAATCTCATGCTGATAACCACCGGCTTCATGAGCCAGACCCCCAGGAAGGCATTAGAGCAGTTCCCCGAGAGGATCACCAATATAACTATCAAGCAAATTCCTCAGGTATAGCTAGGTGAGATTACATGATTTCCCGCCTAGTTGAAAGGCTTAAAAAGGCAGCTTACTAAGCTGGTAATTATGACAAACTTAAAGAAACTACCCAAGGTAAAGAGGAAAACCCAGCCCAGTTCATGGCCCGCTTAGTGGCAACCCTTAGACGCTTTACTGCCCTAGATCCAGAAGAGCCAGAAGGCTGCCTTATTCTTAATATGCATTTTATCACCCAATGCACTCCTGACGTTAGGAAAAAACTTCAAAAATTAGAATCTGGCCCTCAAACCCCACAACAGGAATTAATCAACCTTGCCTTCAAGGTGTACAATAATAGAGAGGAAGCAGCCAGATGGCAACGCAGTTCTAAGTTACAATTACTTGCCTCTGCTGTGAGATAAAACCCAGCCACACCTCCAGCATACAAGAACTTCAAAATGCCTAAGCCACATACGCCTAAGCCACAGCAGTCAAGCATTCCTACAATACTTGCTCCATCAGGCTTTTGCTTCAAGTGCCAGAAATCTGGCCACTAGGCCAAGGAATGCCCTCAGCCTGGGATTCCTCCCAAGCCATGTCCCATCTGTGCAAGGACCCACTGGAAGGTGGACTGCCCAGCTCACCAGGCAGCCACTCCTAGAGCCCATAAAGCTCCAGCCCAAGGCCCTCTGATTGACTCCTTCCCAGATCTGCTCAGCTTAGCAACTGGAGATTGATGCTGCCTGATCACCTCAGAAGCCCCCTGGACCTTCACGGACGCTGAGCTTCAGGTAACTCTCACAGTGGAAGGTAAGTCCATCCCCTGTTTAATCGATATGGGGGCTACCCACTCCATGTTGCCTTCTTTACAAAGGCCTGTTTCCCTCGCCCTGATAACTGTTGTAGGTATTGACAGCCGAGCTTCAAAACCCCTGAAAAGGCCCCCACTCTGGTGCCAACTTGAACAACACTCTTTTATGCACTCTTTTTTAGTTGTCCCCACCTGTCCAGTTCCCTTATTAGGCTGAGATATTTTAACCAAATTATCTGCTTCCCTGACTATTCCTGGACTACAGTTGCTTCTCATTGCTACCCTTCTCCCCAACCCAAAGCCTCCTTTGTGTCCTCTTCTCATATCCCCCAGCTTAACCCACAAGTATAGGACATCTCTACTCCTTCCTTGGCAATGGATTACATGCTCATTGTCATCCCATTAAAACCTAAACACCCTTACCCTTCTCAAAGCCAATATCCCATCCCACAGCATACTTTAAAAGGATTAAAGCCTGTTATCACTCGCCTGCTACAGCATGGGCTTCTAAAACCTATAAACTCTCCTTACAATTCCCCCATTTTACCTGTCCAAAAACCGGACAAGTCTTACAGATTAGTTCAGGATCTATGCCTTATCAACCAAATTGTTTTTCCTGTCCACCCTGTGGTGCCCAACTCGTGAACTCTTTTGTCCTCAATACCTTCCTCCACAACTCACTATTCCATTCTCGATATTAAAGATGCTTTTTTCACTATTGCCCTGCACCCCTCATCTCAGCCTCTCTTTGCTTTCACCTGGACTGACCCTGACACCCATCAGTCCCAGCAACTTACCTAGGCTGCACTGCCACAAGGTTTCAAGGACAGCCCTCATTACTTCAGCCAAGCTCTTTCTCATGATTTACTTTCTTACCACCCCTCCACTTCTCACCTTATTCAATATATTGATGACCTTCTTCTTTGTAGCCCCTCCTTTGAATCGTCTCAAGACACACTTCTGCTCCTTCAGCATTTATTCTCCAAAAGATATCACGTATCCCCCTCTAAAGCTCAAATGTCTTCTCCACCCATTACCTACCTCAGCATAATTCTTCATAAAAACACACATGCTATCCCTGCCGATCATGTCCAACTGATCTCTCAAACCCCAACCCCTTCTAGGAAACAACAACTCCTTTCCTTCCTACCCATGGTTAGATATTTTCACCTTTAGATACCTGGTTTTGCCATCCTAACAAAACCATTATATAAACTCACAAAAGGAAACCTAGCTGACCCCATAGATCCTAAATCCTTTCCCCTCTCCTCTTTCCATTCCTTGAAGACAGTTTTAGAGACTGCCCCCACTCTAGCTCTCCCTGACTCATCCCAACCCTTTTCATTACACACAGCCAAAGTGCAGGGCTGTGCAGTCAGAATTCTTACACAAGGACCAGGATTGCCTCCTGCAGCCTTTTTGTCCAAACAACTTGACCTTACTGTTTTAGGCTGGCCATCATATCTCTGTGCAGCAGCTGCTGCCACCCTAATACTTTTAGAGGCCCTCAAAATCACAAACTGTGCTCAACTCACTCTCTACAGCTCTCATAATTTCCAAAATCTATTTTCTTCTTCACACCTGACACATATACTTTCTTCTCCCTGGCTCCTTCAGCTAAACTCACTCTTTGTTGAGTCTCCCACAGTTACCATTGTTCTGGGCCCAGACTTCAATCTGTCCTCCCACATTATTCCAGATACCACACCTGACCCTCATGATTGCATATCTCTGATCCACTGGATGTTCACTCCATTTCCCCACATTTCCTTCTTCCCTATTTCTCACTCTGATCACACTTGGTTTATTGATGGCAGTTCCACCAGTCCTAATCGCCATTCACCAGCAAAGGCAGGCTATGGTATAATATCTTCCACATCTATCATTGAGGCTACTGCTCTGCCTCCCTTCACTACCTCTCAGCAAGCTGAACTAGTTGCCTTAACTCAGGCCCTCACTCTTTCAAAAGGACTACATGTCAATATCTATACTGATTCTAAATATGCCTTTCATATTTTGCACCACCATGCAGTCATATGGGCTGAAAGAGATTTTCTCACTACACAAGGGTCCTCCATCATTAATGCCTCTTTAATAAAAAGTCTGTTCGAGGCCGCTTTACTTCCAAAGGATGCTGGGGTCATTCACTGCAAGGGGTATCAAAAGGTGTCAGATCCCATTGCTCTAGGCAACGCTTATGCTGATAAGGTGGCTAGAGAAGCGGCTAGCTTTCCAACTTCTGTCTCTCACAGCAACACTTACGCTGATAAGGTGGCTAGACAAGCAGCTAGCTCTCCAACTTCTCTCCCTCATGGACAGTTTTTCTCCTTCACATCAGTCACTCCCACCTACTGCCCCACTGAAAATTCCACCTATCAATCTCTTCCCACACAAGGCAAATAGTTCTTAGACCAAGGAAAATATCTCCTTCCAGCCTCACATGCCCATTCTATTCTGTTGTCATTTCATAACCTCTTCCATATAGGTTACAAACCACTACCTGTCTCTTAGAACCTCTCATTTCCTTTCCATCATGGAAATCTGTCCTCAAGGAGATCACTTCTCAGTGTTCCAACTGCTATTCTACTACCCCTCAGGGATTGCTTATGCCTCCTCACTTTCCTACACATCAAGCTCAGGGATTTGCCCCTGCCCAGGACTGGCAAATTGACTTTACTCACATGCCTCAAGTAAGAAAACTTAAATATCTCTTAGTCTAGGTAGCCACTTTCACTTGTAAGGTAGAAGTCTTTCCCACAGCATCTGAGAAGGCCACCACAGTCATTTCTTCTCTTCTGTCGGACATAATTCCTCAGTTTGGTCTTCCCACCTCTATACAGTCTGATAATGGACCAGCCTTTACTAGTCAAATCACCCAAGCAGTTTCTCAGGCTCTTAGTATTCAATAGAACCTTCGTATCCCTTACCATCCTCAAGTTTCAGCAAAAGTAGAATGGACTAATGGTCTTTTAAAGATACACTTCGCCAAGCTCAGCCTCCAACTTAAAAAGGATTGGACAGTACTTTTACCTCTTGCTCTTCTCAGAATTAGAGCCTGTCCTCAAGATGCTACAAGGTACAGTCCATTTGAACTTTTATATAGACGCACTTTATTGCTTGGCCCCAACCTCAACCCAGACACCAGCCCTCTAGGCAACTATCTTCCAGTCCTCCAACAGGCTAGACAGGAAATTCACCAGACTGCTAATCTTCTCTTTCCTACTCCAGATCCCCAGCCATATGAAGACACCCTAGCTGGACGATCAGTTCTTGTTAAGAATCTGACCCCTCAAACTCTACAAGCTCAATGGACCAGACCTTACTTAGTCATCTATAGTACCCCAACTGCAGTCCGCCTGCAGTATCCTCCCCACTGGGTTCACCATTCCAGAATAAAGCTGTGTCCATCGGACAGCCAGCCTAATCCCTCCTCTTCCTCCTGGAAGTCACAAGTACTCTCCCCTACTTCCCCTTAAACTCACTTGTATTTCTGAAGAACAGTAATAAACCTAATGAGCTTAATACATCCCTTCATTAAATTAGGTCTGTTCATTCTTACCCTACTTTTTGCAACAGGACTTTACGAAGTCACCCCCACCACTCAGGCCGAGCCCCAAAAAACTTGTCATCCCTACTATTTTCTTTCTAGTCATACTCCTATTCTCCATTCCCAACTACTTATAAATGCCCTACTCTTGTTTACACTGTCAGTTTACACTGTTTCTTCAAGCCATCACAGCTGATACCTCTTGGTGCTATCCCCAAACCAACACTCTTAATTCCCTCTTAGAGTAGATAGATGATCTTTGCTAGCAAGGCACCTTCCAATACTTCCAACCTGATGAAGTTCCATTCTTTACATTTATACTCACTCTTATTACCATTCCCGCTTTTATGTCACCCTCTACCTCTCCCCAGCTATCTGCACCACACTATCAACCTTACCCATTCTCTCCTAGCCACTTCTAATCCCTCCTTAGTGAACAACTGCTGGCTTTGCATTTCCCTTTCCTCCAGTGCCTACACAGCTGTCCCCGCCTTACAGACAGAGTGGGTAACATCTCCTGTCTCCTTACACCTCCCAACTTCCTTTAACAGCCCTCACCTTTACCCTCCTGAAGAACTCACTTACTTTCTAGACAGGTCCAGCAAGACTTCCCCAGACATTTCACATCAGCAAGCTGCCGCCCTCCTCCGCACTTATTTAAGAAACCTTTCTCCTTATATTAACTCTACTCTCCCCATATTTGGACCTCTCACAACACAAACTACTATTCCTGCTGCCGCTCTTTTATGTATCTCTAAGCAAAGATCCACTGGAATTCTCCTAGGTAATCTTTCACCTTCTCAATGTTCCTTTATGCTTCATCTCCAAAGCCCAACTACGCACATCACTGAAACAATTGGAGGCTTTCTGCTCCATATTACAGACAAGCCCTCTATCAATACTGACAAACTTAAAAACGTTAGCAGTAGTTACTGCTTAAGAAGACACTTACCCTGCATTTCACTCCATCCTCGGCTACCTTCCCCTTGCTTGTCAGACTCTCCTCCCAGGCCCTCTTCTTGTTTACTTATACCAAGCCCCAAAAATAACAGTGAAAGGTTGTTCATAGATACTCAACTTTTTCTCATACACAGTGAAAATCAAACCTCCCCCTCTACGCAGTTACCCCATCAGTCCCCATTACACCCTCTGATGGCTGCCACCCTAGCTGGATCCCTAGGAGTCTGGGTACAAGACACCCCTTTCAGCATTCCTTCTCACCTTTTTACTTTGCATCTCCAGTTTTGCCTCCCACAAGGTCTCTTCTTCCTCTATGGATCCTCTACCTACATGTGTCTACCTGCTAATTGGACAGGCACATGCACACTAGTTTTCCTTACCCCCAAAATTCAATTTGCAAATACGACCAAAGAGCTCCCTCTTCCCCTTATGACACCAACATGACAAAAAAGAGTTATTCCACTAATTCACTTGCTGGTTGGTTTAGGACTTTCTGCCTCCACTATTGCTCTCGGTACTGGAATAGCAGGCATTTCAACTTCTGTCATGACCTTCTGTAGCCTGTCTAGTGACTTCTCTGCTAGCATCACAGATATATCACAAACTTTATCAGTCCTCCAGGCCCAAGTTGATTCTTTAGCTGCAGTTCTCCTCCAAAACTGCCAAGGCCTTGACTTACTCACTGCTGAAAAAGGAGGACTCTGTGTATTCTTAAATGAAGAGTGTTGTTTTTACCTAAATCAATCTGGCCTGATGTATGACCACATAAAAAAATCTCAAGGATACAGCCCCAAATCTTGCCAACCAAGCAAGTAATTATGCTGAATCCCCTTAGGCACTCTCTAATTGGATGTCCTAAGTCCTCCCAATTCTTAGTACTTTAATACCCATTTTTCTCCTTTTTTTATTTGGACCTTGTATCTTCTGTTTAGTTTCCCAATTCATCCAAAACCATATCCAGGCCATCAGCAATCATTCTATATGACAAATATTTCTTCTAACAACCCCACAATATCACCCCTTACCACAAGATCTCCCTTCAGCTTAATCTCTCCCACTCTAGGTTCCCATGCCGCCCTTAATCCCACTTGAAGCAGCCCAGAGAAACATCATCCATTCTCTCTCTCCATACCACCCCCAAAAAATTTTCACTCCCCCCCAACACTTCAACACTATTTTGTTTTATTTTTCTTATTAATATAAGAAGGCAGGAATGTCAGGTCGCTGAGCCCAAGCTAAGCCATCGCATCCTCTGTGACTTGCACGTATACACTCAGATGGCCTGAAGTAACTGAAGAATCCTAAAAGAAGTGAAAATGCCCTGCTCCACCTTAACTGATGACATTCCACCACAAAAGAAGTGTAAATGGCTAGTGCTTGCCTTAACTGATGACATTCCATCACAAAAGAAGTGAAAATGGCCGGTCCTTGCGTTAAGTGATGACTTTACCTGTGAAAGTCCTTTTCCTGGCTCATCCTGGCTCAAAAATCTCCCCCACTGAGCACCTTGTGACCCCCACTCCTGCCCAACAGAGAACAAACCCCCTTTGACTGTAATTTTCCTTTACTTACCCAAATCTTATAAAACAGCCCCACCCCTATCTCCCTTTACTGACTCTCTCTTCGGACTCAGCCCACCTGCACCCAGGTGATTAAAAGCTTTATTGCTCACACAAAGCCTGTTTAGTGGTCTCTTCACACAGACATGCATGAAACAGACTGTTTGAAAAAATAAATAATAAAACAGCAACAACAAAGCAAAACCTACACCCAAAGGTCTGCAACCTCAAAGATTGAAGGTACATGAGCTCAAAAAAAAAAAATCAGCACAAAAACACTGAAAACTCAGTGTTTCAGAGAGCCCAAGTGCCCTCCTTCCTCTGAATGACTACAACACCTCTCTAGCAAGCATTCAGAACTGGGCTAAAGCTGAGATAGCTGAAATGCCAAAGTAGACTTCTGAATGTGAATACAAACAGATTTCACTGAGCTAAAGGAACTTGTTGTAACCCAATACAAGGAAGCTAAAAATCATGATGAAACAGCTTCATTGTCTGGAGTGTACATACCCTGGTTCTGTGTCATGGTCAAGAAAGACATACAGAAACAAAAAAAGGAGTAGGTTTCATAGTGGAAAGTTTAATATACAAAAAACAAGAGACAAAGAAAAAAGAGGCTTTCTCATGCTGAGAAACTAGTCACCCAAAAGACACACTATGTCACACAATAGACCCAAAAGAGAGTCTATTGTGGCAGAACACAGTTGGCTTTGAACAGAGGCTTAAGGAGGTGGTGCTTGATTTACATAAGGCACAAGGGATTGGTGTGATCAGGTGTTCCATTGACTTAGCCCACAAAAGACTGGCCCTCCCACCCTAGGCTTTTATTGTGCAAATATGGCATCTACTTTGAGGTCACCATGATACCTGCACACATGGTTTTGCCTGGATGGTGCCAAGACACCCATAAACATGGTGACAAGGAAAATGCCATATTGAATGTGCCTGGCTTCCAGGTACAGCTGCCAGCATTTAGATATAAAAGCTTCTAGTCTGCGTGTTCATCAGGCTGCTTTCTGTTAGAGAAGAAATGGTTTGGGGCTGCTTTTTATTAAAGGAAAATTCCACTAAGGCTTCTTTTACCCCTTTCTAAAACCTGCTTCAAAATATTTTTTTAATAATTCCTGTATTATTTCTTCCCTCAGGAGATGTGACTCTAACTGCTGTTAGGAGGTGTTGGATGATGATTATTTCTCTCTGCTTCTTGCTGAAAGGGGTGTCATGTCAGGGGACAGCAGATGGAGGTCCTCCTGAGGTTGATATAAGCTTTCTCAAAAGAATGATGTGTCCATGTGTGACTCTGTCTGCAGCACCATTTGAAGTTTGATTATTTCTAGGAAAAAGGAGATAAATTTTATAAGAGCATTTAAAATATAGGGTTAGAATATGAATATTAACATTACCACTGTTAGTAGGGGTACTATAGACTTTAACTATGACAGTAGAACTAAGTAGAACTTAGTTACACCAATGGATTGTAATATTACTGGTTTGCCTCCACTAGATGTTGATGTTACTGTACATTACCGTAAGTGTTAATATAAAAGCAACATTTTCTTTGAGGAAAGCATATATCTTTCCCCTATGATTTGCCTTTAGGAAAATATTTTAGGTTTAGGTCATTTTTATAACTTGGGATATGATTGGAAGAAATACATTATTGGCTGGCTAAAATAACTTCACTGTCAGTCTCAGGAATTTCTTTCCTTTAATCATTAAATTATTTTGTGACTTCTACAAAACATTTTACAACATTCTCAAACTTTCTGACCTGTCCTAAACATCCTTCCTTTAAATGACTGCCATTCCAGTCATTTCCTTTTAGGACAAGAATTTACCATACAAGATCCTTCCTTGTATAAAATCTCTTTTTTTATAACCTTATTTCCATAGCTTAGAGTGTTCCATATTTCTCATTTTCAATAAAAAGTTCTATCAAACTTAATGAAAGTAAAACTTTCATGCATACTTCTTGTTTGTAACTATTACTCCTAATATAAGCAAAATAATCTTGACAAAATCTTTCCTGCAATTATTCATTATTAAGATGATAATTTCACAAAATACAACAGTAATTAGAATTTTGCAACCAGAATTCCATACTGTGAGTGTCATAGCACATAGTTCTTTTGGAAATAGTAACGTGACTATAGCAATTCCCTCAAAAATGAAGCAGTAAATAATTTCGGTTTAAAATTTTACTTGCCAAGATATAACATTTCCCTCCGGGGAATCTATGAAGTTGCAAATGCAATTTAAAATCTCTCTGCAGATACGGTTAAAAATAAGTTCTAATATTTGGTGGTGAGTTCTGAGAGAATAGGGGGAAATGATAAAAATATCTGGTGAGGTGTGAGTGGAATTTAGTAAGATGAGTAGCCCTCACTGAGTTACTTTTGTTATTTTCAGCTTAAGATCTTCTATTTCTCCACATTGATATTCAAGACATTCCTCTGGGCTTTCAGGGATTGCTCCCTCAGCTCTTCAGGCTTTGAGTTGAGTATGATGTATTCAGAAGTTGACACCTGTAACTTTTACCGCGAAGGAAGTTGAAAGAAAAATGTAGGGCACTTAACAGCTTGGCTTAGAGAAAGAGAGTTGAGTTTTCACTAATACTAAACTTCCTGGATTAAGTAAAGGTGGTTGTATTTCCCATGGTCGGGCTTCTGCTTGTTTTAATTCCTACTGGAAGTGATCTAGAGAGCTTACACACTTAACCAATTTAGAGGTTGTCTGCCTGGAAACAATCTCTTAGCACATTGATCAATTTTATTCTTTCCTAAGTGAAAGGCTTAGTGAAGGATTTTCAGGACTTTCCATTGGCAGGAGGCTGGCAGATGGAGTTTGCCATCGTCTAACTGTAGCCATTCTGAGGGCTGAAAACTATATCCTCAGAAGTGGCCCATTCTATTCCTGCAGGAAAATACTAAGGTTTAATTTCTCTTATGGAGCCTTCTTGATCAGAATAATTTGGAACTTGTTAATGCCTTGAATCTTCCTTGCTGCTTACTTAGCTGACTGATCTGCTAACCTATTTCCTTTGGCTACTTTATTCCCTTTTGATGTTCCTAATGATGCATTCCTGCTATTTATTGTGAAATAAAAACTAAGAATAATAACCTGTTATTTTTCTGGTGATATTTTATGGGAGATTTATCAATGTTAAAAAAAAAAAAAATCCCCTTCCTTTCAAATGGTAGGATGAGCATGGAGAACTGATAAAGATACCTGGAATTAGTGTAAATGTTAACTACCTTTCCCTTGCTTAATTTAGATGCTCTTGTAAGAGCTATTAGTTCAGCTAATTGAGTGCTTATCTGGGGAGTGACATTATTTAGCATGGCTGTGGCTTATCCTGCCTTATGTACTTCTTGCTTTACCTGCTGTTTATTAGCTAAGAGCTCTCTGTAGAGAACAGTAATCCTGCTACATTATGTGGGGTTGTAAACAGTTAAGTTATTATCTCTTTGGGTTAATTTGGAGGGGTTTTTTGTTTTGTTTTGTTTTTTTCGACTAGCAGAGTCATAGTGACAATGGTTTGGAAGCATGTGGAAAAAACATGTCCTCCTAACTGCAACGATGAGCTTGAGAAAAATATTGAACTAAAGTTTTCCCTGAGATGCCCTCTGTGGTTATGCTATGAGAAGAGGGGAGGCCTGGATTAGAAACTACAAAATTAGAGACTGGCTCTAGTGTTTAGAAGGAGGTCTACTTTCCTTCCTTCAACTTCCAGAATCATCTGGGGCTTCCTGTATTATACTGGCAGTTTGAGGCACTGGAGCCAGGAATTTGAACCCCAGGACCCATCGGTCCTGCTGGACCATCTGTGAGACTGATTTTTAACCCACTGCCCTCCTCCCCTGGAAGAATTTTGGTCTCCAGTTGCCTTCACCACAGGCTGGACATGGTCGAGCTGGCTTCTTGCTATTTGGCCACTCCTTCTTAAAATACCCTGGTTTGCCAAACTGAGAGCACCTAGTGGATACATCTCAGGGATCTAGCACTTTGCAACTCTGCAAAGCAGACACTAGAATATTTGTCTTTCCCCTGAGCTTTCTCTCTTTCATTTGGGCCTCCTCTTTCTAGCTATTATAAAAGACCAAAGTGGCCACCTTCAGGGGGTTCTCTAAGTTGCCTCCTGGTCCTGTAGCTTGCTTCTGTCATTTCCTTCTAATATTTGGAGCTGCCTGTGTAATAAACTTATTCTTTAGAATGAACGGTTCCTTGACTGAATCAGGGGATAAGGAGAGGTACTCTATGAGTGTCTTTCTCAGCCTTTCCATGAAGGCTTCAGGATTCTCATTTGGCTTTTGGTCTATCATAGACAGTTTAGAATAATTGAGAGGTTTGGCCTTAGGTTTTCATAGGCCCTCTAAAATACATATTAAAAAGTGCTTCTTCTCCATTTATCTGTAGAGCTACTAAGGTATCAGGGCTATCAAAAAAACTGCTTCCCTTACTTTCCCTTCCTATTGAGAATGGTGTTTCTCCTATTTATTTGCTCTCCCTATCTGCTTTCTACTTTCTAGGTGTAATATAGGAGATACATTTCTCATCTCTGAAATTCTCTTCTGCCTATAGAGCTGCCTCTTTTTTAGCTGTGGTTAGGGTTTGGTTTAAGAGCAGCATAACATCCTTCCATGTGAGGTGAAACATCTGAGTTAAATTCTGCAAAGCTTCTGCATGCCTACTAGTGTTGTCAAAAAATTGGCCTTAGTTGTCCTTTATTTGCCTAAGGTCCTGCAATCAAAAGGGAATTTGAGGTGGCCCCAAATAAGGAAAATACTCAGATGATTCCATGGAAATTGCTTCTAATTCTGGTGAATTATTCTCTATATGCCTGCCTGATATGCCTGTTAAGAAAGCTGGGTTGATCTTACAAGCTTGCAAAGGTTTAGTAAAAATGCCATGGCCTTGAGCAAAAGAAAATGAGGGCTTTTCTTTTCAAATTGCTGAGGTTAAAAAAGTTCCAGTGTTTCAGAGTGCATGTCAGAGCGGTGCAAGCTAAAAATGGTCTGTTACCCATCTGGCATAAGAGGTGACAATTATTCCCCACTTCTTTTATTGTGACCCAAGATGGATGGGAAGGAAGTGGGAGTGTTCCCCCAACTATTTTCTCTCCTTGAGTTTTGAGTCCCAGCACTGGGTTAAATGTGCTGCTCACAGTTGTGAGCATGGTTCTCCAAGCCATGGAATGGGATAAACTAAGAGATGGGATTAACCACAAGTTACGCATGCAAGCTTAGCTTATCCTCCTGTGTGATTTGCCTGGCTCTCTGAAAAATGAGTGTTCAAAGAAACTACGATGTCTTTGGTAGAAGCTTCTTTAATGGAGGCAATGTGCTAGATTGCCTCCTATTACAGTCTGTGCTAAAACATTTACCATTAGAAAAGTGGTTCTGTTTAACTTCTAGACCATTAAAATCCACTTACTAATTAAGTACAATTCTAATTGAAGACAGAACAGATGTCTTAAAAGAACAGATGTCTTTCCTGCTGTTGGGACATTATTAGGACTAAAATTTGACTATAGAGGACGTTTAACTCCTAATTGTTGAAGGCTTCCTTTTCCCGGAAGGGGCTTAGAGCCTGATTTCTAGCAGTGCAAAAGGAGAGAATTAGGAAACTTCAAAGTGCCTGATGAAGAGGATTTGTTTGTCCACTAGGTGGAGATGTTGGCTCAGAAATACAATGGGATCATCAGGGAACCGATAGAGACAGCGAGGCACTTATTGAATAATATGTGTTTGCTAATACCTCTTAACAGAACTGTTTCCCTGAACTGTTAAACTCCCTTCACATTGCACAAACAGAGAGAATATAAGCCAGAGTGACTGAGGATAGAAAAGGAAGTAAAATTTTGCAACAAGATAGCTGGAGATGCATTACAAACATCCAGACTGGCTGTCAGAGTCTGGGTTCAGTCCAGAAGCCTTTGAATCACACCAGAATGTGCCCTGGCCAGAAATTCTTAGTTACCCCAGGACTCTTCCCAGGCTCAGGCAATGATGAGGACTTCTGTGAAAGAAAACTGCTTAGAAGAGAGCCTTGAGATTAACGACAGACGAGGTTCACTCCAAACTCACCACTCTGATGTTTCTAGTTCTTGTTCTGATCCTGATCCCAGGTGAGAACACCAAAAATGAAATGGCTCCATCATCTGGAGTATATATACCCTGGTTCTTAGTCATGGTTGAAAAAGACTTCAGGACACAGACACACGGAAGGAGTGCATTTAGGAGTGGAAAGTTTAATAGAAAAGAAGAGAGAGAAAAGGCTTCCTCATGCTGACAAAGCAAGTCGACCACAAGACGGTCTCCAAATTGCGGTGGCATGCAACTGATTTTGTAGAGAGGCTTTGGGAGGTGGTGTCTAATTTACAAAGGCTCCAGGAGATTGGATTGATCAGGGGTGCCGTTCATATAGCCAACAAAATAACTGGCTATCCCACCCCAGTCTTTTACTATGTAAATGTGGCACCTACCTGGAGGTTGTCATGATAACAGCACACATGGTTTTAACTGGATAGTGCCATGACACCAGTAAACATGGTGACAAGAAAAAAAAGTGGGAATCACCATATTGAATGTACCTGGCTTCCAGGTACACCTGCATTTAGATATAAAAGCTTCTAGTTTGCATATTTTTCAGGCTGCTTTCTGTTAAAGAAGAAATGGCTTGAGGCTGCTTTTTGTTAAAGGAAAGTTCCACAAGAAAAAGACAGGAAAAATTGCACCAAGTTGGAAAACATATTGCTTGAAATCATCCAGGAGAACTTTTCCAACCTAGCTAGAGAAGCCAAGACTCAAATTTGGGAAATGCAGAGAACCCCAATAAAATACTTCATAAGGAGATTATCCTCAAGACACATAGTCAAAAGTTCTCCGAGGTGAAAGAAAAATTAAAAAAAGTGAGGGTCACTCAGAAAGGAAAACCAGGTCACCTACAAAGGGAAGTTCATCAGACTAACAGCAGACCTCTCAGCATAAACTCTACAACCCATTAGAGATTAAGGGCCAATATTCAACATTATTTAAAAAAAGAAACTCCAGTCCAAAATTTCAAATCCACCCAACAGAAGCTTCAAAAGTGAAGGAGAAATGAGACCCATTTAAGATAAGTAAATGGTAGCAGAAATTGTTACCACCAGACCTGCCTTACAACAGCTCCTGAAGGAATCACTAAATATGGAAAGAAAAAAAACACTACCAGCCACAACAAAAACACACGGAAGTATACAAGCCAGTGAAACTATAACGCAATCACATAAACAAGTCTGCAAAATAACCAGCTAGTATCATGGCAACAGAATCAAATCCATGGTTGCTTCCAAGATGGCTGAACAGGAACAACTCCAGTCTGCAGCTCCCAGTGAGATTGATGCAAAAGACAGGTGATTTCTGTCTTTCCAACTGAGAGTACTTCGTTCATCTCATTGGGACTGGTTGGACAGTGGGTGCAGCCCACAGAGGGTGAGCCAAATCATGGTGGGATGTCATCTCACCCAGGAAGCACAAAGGGTTGGGGGATTTCACTTTCCTAGCCAAGGGAAGCCGTGACAGGCTGTACCTGGAAAAATGGTATACTCACATCCAAATATAGCACTTTTCCCACAGTCTTAGCAACTGGCAGACCAGGAGATTCCCTCCCATGCTTGGCTCAGAGAGTCCCATGTCCATGGATCCTTGCTCACTGCTTGTGCCACAGTCTGAGATCAACCTGCAAGGCTGCAGCCTGGTGGGGAAAGGGGGGTGCCCACCATTGCTGAGGCTTGTGTAGGTAAACAAACCAGCTGGGAAGCTCAAACTGCGTGAAGCCCACCACAACTCAGTAAGGTCTACTGCCTCTCTAGGCTCCACCTCTTTGGGCAGGGCATAGCTGAACAAAATGCAGCAGACAGCTTCTGCAGATTTAAACATCCTGTCTAATAGCCCTAAAGAGAGCAGTGGTTCTCCCAAGATGGCATTTGAGCTCTGAGAACAGAAAGACCACCTCCTCAAGAGGGTCCCTGACCCCCGTGTAGCCTAAGTGAGAAATACCTCCCAGTAGGGGAAAACAGACACTTTATACAAGCTGGTGACCCTCTAGGATGAAGCTTCCAGAGGAAGGATCAGGCAGCAATATTTGCTGTTCTGCAACATTTGCTGTTCAACAGGCCTGCAGATGAAGGGCCTGGCTCTTAGAAGGAAAACTAACAAACGTAAAGGAACGGCATCAACATCAACAAAAAAGAGATCCACACAAAAACCCCATCTGTAGGTACTTTGATATTGATCACAATATCAAAGACCAAAGGTAGATAAAACCACAAAGATGGGGAGAAACCAGAGCAGGAAACCTGAAAATTCCAAAAACCAGAGTGCCTCTTCTCCTCCAAATGATTGCAGCCCCCCATGAGCAATGGAACAAACCTGGATGGAGAATGATATTGGTGAGTTGACAGAAGTATGCTTCAGAAGGCCAGTAATAACAAGCTTCTCTAAGCTAAAGGAGCATGTTCTAACCAAATGTAGGGAAGCTAAAAACCTTGAAAGAAGGTTAGATGAATGGCTAACTAGAATAAACATTACAGACAAGACTTTAAATGTCCTGATGCAGCTGAAAACCACAGCAGGAGAACTTCATGAGGCATGCACAAGCTTCAATAGCAGATTTGGTCAAGTGGAAAAAAAAATCAGTGATTGTAGATCAAATTCATGAAATAAAGTGAAAAGACAAGATTAGGGGAAAAAAGAGTAAAAAGAAACAAAGACTTCAAGAAATATGGGACTATGTGAAAAGACTATATCTATGTTTGATTGGTGTACCTGAAAATGATGGGGAGAAGGGAACCAAGTTAGAAAACACTCTTCAAGATATTATCCAGGAGAAATTACCCAAAGTAGCAAGGCAAGCCAACATTCAAATTCAGGAAATACAGAGAACACCACAAAGATACTCAATGAGAAGATCAACCCAAAGACACATATTGTCAGATTCACCAAGGTTGAAATTAAGGAAAAAATGTTAAGGGCAGCCAGAAAGAACGGTCAGGTTACCCACAGGAAGCACATCAGACTAACAGTGGATCTCTCGGCAGGAACCCTACAAGCCAGAAGAGAGTGGGGGCCAATATTCAACATTCTTAAAGAAAAGAATTTTCAACCCAGAATTTCATATCCAGCCAAACTAACTTCAAAAGTGAAGGAGAAATAAAATCATTTACAGACAAGCAAATGCTGAGAGATTTTCTCACCACCAGGCCTACCTTACAAGAGCTCCTAAAGGAAACACTAAACATGGAGAGGAAAAACCAGTACCAGCCTCTGCAAAAAAAATGCCAAATTTTAAAGACCATCAATACTATGAAGAAACTGCATCAATTAATGGGCAAAATAATCAGCTAGTATCATAATGACAGGATCAAATTCACACATAACTCATTAATCTTAAATGTAAATAAGCTAAATGCCCCAATTAAAAGACACACACTGGCAAATTGGATGAAGAGTCAAGACCCATCGGTGTGCTGTATTCAGGAGACCCATCTCACTATTCTTCAAGGCTGCAGTAATGAAAACAGCATGATACTGGTACCAAAACAGATATATGTGCCAATGTAACAAAATAGAGCCCTCAGAAATAACACTGCACATCTACAACCATCTGATCAATCTGACAAAAACAAGAAATGGGGAAAGGATTCCCTATTTAATAAATGGTGCAGAGACACAAAAAGGCTCAAAATAAAGGGATGGAGGAAGATCTCCCAAGCAAATGAAAAGCAAAAAAAAAGAAAAAAGAAAAAAAAAAACAGCAGATGCAGTACTAGTCTCTGATGAAACAGACTTTAAACCAATAAAGATCAAAAGAGACAAAGAAGGCCATTACACCATGGTAAAGGGATCAACTCAAGAAGACCTAACTATCCTTAGTATATATGAACCCAATACAGGAGCATCCAAATTCAAAAAGCAAGCCTTAGAGACCTACAAAGAGACTTAGACTCCCACACAATAATAATGGGAGATTTTAACACCCCACTGTCAATATTACACAGATAAATGAGACAGAAGGTTAACAAGGATATCCAGGACTTGAACTCAGCTCTGCACCAAGTGGACCTAATAGACATCTACAGAACTCTACACCCTAAATCAACAGAATATACATTTTTCTCAGCACTACATTCCACTTATTCTAAAATTGACCACAAAAATTGGAAGTAAAACACTCCCTAGCAAATGTAAAACAACAGAAATCACAAGAAACTATCTCTCAGACCACAGTGCAATCAAATTAGAAATCAGAATTAAGAAACTCACTCAAAACCGCCCAACTACATGAAAACTGAACAACCTGCTCCTGAATGACTACTAGGTAAATAATGAAATGAAGGCAGAAATAAAGATAGGCTTTGAAACAAATGAGAACAAAGACATAACATACCAGAATTTGTGGGACACAGTTAAAGCAGTATGTAGAGGGAAGTTTACAGCACTAAATGCCCACAAAAGAAAGAGGAAAGATCTAAAATCAACACCATAACATCACAATTAAAAGAATTAACGAAGCAAGAGCAAATTCAAAAGCTAGCAGAAGGCAAGAAGTAACTAAGATCAGAGCAGAATTGAAGGAGATAGGGACACAGAAAACCCTTCAAAAAATCAATGAACCCAAGAGCCAGTGTTTTGAAAAGATCAGCAAAATACGTAGACCACTAGGAAGAATAAAGAAGAAAAGAGAGAAGAATCAAATAAATGGAATAAAAAGTGATAAAGGGGATATCATCATGAATCCCACAGAAATACAAACTACTATCAGAGAATAATATAAACACCTCTTCACAAATAAACTAGAAAATCTAGAAGAAATGGATAAATTCCTGGAAACATACCCCCTCTGAAGACTAAACCAGGAAAAAGTTGAATCTCTGAATAGACCAATAACAGGTTCTGAAATTCAGGCAATTATTAATAGCCTACCAACCAAAAAAAGTCCAGGACCACAAAGATTTACAGAATTCTATCAGAGGTCCAAAGAGGAGCTGAAACTATTCCAATCGATAGAAAAAGAGGGAATCCTCCCTAACTTATTTTATGAGGCCAGGATGATCCTGATACCAAAGCCTGTCAAACACAACAGAAAAAGAGAATTTTAGACCAATATCCCTGATGAACATCAATGCAAAAATTCTCAATAAAATACTGGCAAACTGAACTGAGCAGCACATCAAAAAGCTTATCCATCACAATCAAGTTGGCTTCATCCCTGGGATGCAAGGTTGGTTCAACATACACAAATCAGTAAACATAATCCATCACATAAACAGAACCCATGAAAAAAGCCACATGATTATCTCAATGGATGCAGAAAAGGCCTTCAACAAAATTCAACAGAACTTCATGCTAAAATCTCTCAATAAACTAGGCATTGATGGAACATATATCAAAATAATAAGAGCTATTTATGATAAACCCACAGCCAATATCATACTGAATGGGCAAAAATTGGAAGAATTCCCTTTGAAAACCATCACAAGACAGTGATGCCCTCTCTCACCACTCCTATTCAACATAGTGTTGGAAGTTCCAGCCAGGGCAATTAGGCAAGAGAAAGAAATAAAGGGTATTCATTTAGGAAAAGAGGAAGTCAAATTATCTCTGTTTGCAGATGATATGATTATATATTTAGAAAACCCCATCATCTCAGCTCAAAATCTCCTTAAGCTGATAAACAACTTCAGCAAAGTCTCAGGATACAAAATCAATGTGTAAAAATCACAAGCTTTCCTATACACCAATAACATAAAAACAGACAGCCAAATGATGAGTGAACTCCCATTCACAATTGCTTCAAAGAGAATAAAATACCTAGGAATCCAACTTATAAGGGATGTGCAGGACCTCTTCAAGGAGAACTACAAACAACTACTCAATGAAATAAAAGAGGACACATACAAATGGAAGAACATTCCAGGCTCATGGATAGGAAGAATCAATGTCATGAAATGGCCATACTGCCCAAGGTAATTTATAGATTCAATGCCATCCCCATCAAGCTACCAATGACTTTTTTCACAGAACTGGAAAAAACTACTTTAAAGTTCATATGGAACCATAAAAGAACTTGCATTGCCAAGACAATCCTAAGCCAAAAGAACAAAGCATGAGGCATCATGCTACCTGACTTCAAACTATACTATAAGGCTACAGTAATCAAAACAGCATGGTACTGGTACCAAAACAGAGATATAGACCAATGGAACAGAACAGAGACCTCAGAAATAATGCCACATATCTACAACTATCTGATCTTGCCATATGTAGAAAGCTGAAACTTGATCCCTTCCTTACACCTTATACAAAAATTAATTCAAGATGGATTAAATACTTCAATGTTAGACCTAAAATCATAAAAACCCTAGAAGACAACCTAGGCAATACCATTCAGGACAAAGTATGGGCAGAATTCATGACTAAAACACCAAAAGCAATGGCAATAAAAGCTAAAATAGACAAATGGGATCTAATTGAAGAGCTTCTGCATGGTGAAAGAAACTACTATCAGAGTGAACAGGCAACCTACAGAATGAGAGAAACTTTTTGCAATCTTCCCATCTGAAAGAATCTACAAAGAACTTAAACAAATTTACAAGAAAAAAACAACCCCATCAAAATGTGGGCAAAGGATATGAATAGGCACTTCTCAAAAGAAGACATTTATGAAGCCAATAGACACATGAAAAAATGCTCATCATCACTGTTCATTAGAGAAATGTAAATCAAAACCACAATAAGATACCATCTCAGGCCAGTTAGAATGGTGACCATTAAAAAGTCAGGAAACAACAGATGCTGGAGAGGATATGGAGAAATAGAAATGTTTTTACACTGTTGGTGGGAGTGTAAATTAGTTCAACCATTGTGGAAGACAGTGTGGCAATTCCTCAAGGATCTAGAGCTAGAAATACCATTTGACTCAGTGATCCCATTATTCAGTATATACTCAGAAGATTATAATTCATGCTACTATGAAGACACATGCACACATATGTTTATTGAGCACTATTCACAATATCAAATACCTGAACCAACCCAAATGTCCATCAGTGATAGACTGGATTAAGAAAATGTGGCACTTATACGCCATGGAATACTGTGCAGCCATATAAAAGGATGAGTTCATGTCCTTTGTAGGGACTTAGATGAAGCTGGAAACCATCATTCTCAGAAAACTGTTACAAGGACAGAAAACCAAACATCTCATGTTCTCAGCCATAGGTGGGAATTGAACATGAGAACACTTGGAAACAGGGTAGGGAAAATCACACACAAGGCCTGTTGGGGGTGGGGGGCTAGGGGACGGAGAGCATTAGGAGAAATACCTAATGTAAATGACAAGTTGATGGGTGCAGCAAACCAACATGGCACATATATACCTATGTTACAAACCTGCATGTTGTGCACATGTACCCTAGAACTTAAAGTATAATTTTAAAAAAGAAAAAAAATCATGCAAACAAGCAGAAAAAAAGTCAAATTAAACATAAATTTGAGAACAATTAGAAAAAAACAGTGTACTGAAATGAGTAGCAACCATAAAAGTAATTCCAGTAATACAACAAAACAGCATTCTATGAAAACCCCAAAATATCACACTTTCTCTTCAGCAATGAATCCAAGTCATAATAAAGTTAAATACCAGATAAGGGGTTCAGCAGGTAAGTTATTAAGCTACTCCAGGAGATATCAGAGAAAGATGAAAGGCAAACCATCATAAAGAAATGTAAAAAGCAGTTCAGGGTGTAAACAAAAAGTTTTCTATGATATAGATATCATCGTCATATCATAATTGAGTAAAACTTCCCTGGCTTGTCTAGAGATAACCAAATCCAAGAAGCATACGGGACTCCTGACAAATTTATTGCAAAAGGATCACCAAGGAATTTAGTCTTAAGGATATTTAAATCCAACAACAGGTAATTTCCAAAAGAAAAAAAAAAAAATCAGAGTAACTGCCGGCTTCTCAGCAGGAAACTTATAGCAAGAAGGGACTGGGGTCTTATGTTCAACTTCCTTAAAAAGAAAAACTATCAGCCAAGAATTTTATACTTTGTGAAATTAAGTTTTATAATTGAACTATAAAAAGTCATTTTCATGCAAATACACATCAAGAGAATTTGTCATTTCCACAGCAGCAGTGCCAACTGGAAATGATAAAGTAAGTTTTAACCTTGAAGCAAAACCCTAATATGCACAAAAATAGAAAGTCTTAAAAGCTTAAAACTCACAGGGCCTGAAAAACAATAACACAATAATAAACAACCTACGTTAACAATTAACACAATAAGACAACAGTACTTCACATCTCAATATTAACACACTGAATGTAAATGACCTACGCACTTTACTTAAAGATACAGAATGGAAGAATGAACAAAAAAATTTCAATCCAAATATCTTATGTCTTAAAAAGACTTACCTACCATGAAAGAATTCATGTAAACTCTAGGTTAAAAAAAAAAAGAAAGGAAAGAAATCCCATGCAAATGGAAACCAAAAGAAAACAAAGGTAGCTATTCCTTTTTTGTTTGTTTGTTTTTGTTTTGAGATGGAGTCTCGCTTTTTCACCCAGTCTGGAGTACAAAGGAGCGGTCTTGGCTCACTACAATGTTCGCCTCCTGGGTTCAAGCAATTCTCCTGCCTTATACTTCCCAGTAGCTGGGATTACAGGCATGTGCCACCATATCTCACTTTTTTCTTTTATATTTAGTAGAGATGGGGTTTCACCTGGTTGGCCAGGCTGGTCTGAAACTTCTGACCTCAAATAATCCACTCACCTTGTAGCTATTCTTATATCAGAGAAAACAGACTGCAAAATAACAACAGAAAAAAAAAGTTAAAGTTGGTCATTATATAATAATAAAAAGATCAATCCAACAAGAAGCAATTAAAATCCAAATTTACATACATCTAACACTGAGCTCCGAAATTCATAAAACAATTACTACTAGACCTAGGAATTGAGAAAGAAAGCAACCTAATAATAGTGGAGACTTTGATACACTTCTGACAGCACTAGACAGATCTTTGAGAAAGAAAGTCAACAGAGAAACAATAAGCTTAAATGACTCACTAGAACATGTGGATGTAACAAATATTCATAAAAAATTCTACCCAAGAAATATTTAATAAAAATTATATCAAATATCTTCTCACATCACAGTGGAGAAAAGTAGAAATCAACTCTAAAAGAAACACTCATAACTACATAAATAAATTAAAATTAAATAATCTGCTCCTGAATGGTATCTAGGTTAACAATCAAATCAAAATAAAAGTTAAAAAATCCTTTGAATTGAATAATGATAATGACACAAGTTACCAAAAAGTGTGGGATACAGTGAAATCAGTGCTTTACAAAAAAAGGTTATAGCACTGAATGTCTATGTAGAAAAGCCTGAAGGGGTCAAGGGCAGAAACTGACAACCTCCTGTCATACCTCAATGAACTAGAGAAACAAGAACAAACTAAACCCAAAGCTAGAAGAAGAAAACAAATAACAAATATCAGAACAGAATAAATGAAATTCAAACAAAAGAAACAACACAAAAGATCAATGAAACAAAAAGCTGTTTTTCTTTGGGAAAAAAAGTTATACTTTTAGCTAGATTAAACAAGAGAGAATATGCAAATAAGCTCAATTAGAAATGAAAACAGAGACACTTAAACCAACACAACCGAAATTCAAAAGATCATTCAGTACTATTATAAAAACCTTTATGAGCAAAAACTCTAAAGCCAAGGAAACCACCTTTGCAAAATTGTAACTGAGAAAATTATGACAGTGAACCCCCTGTGATTCTGCCTCCAACTTGACCAGTAAGAAATCCCTGCCTCCCAAGCCCCTATCCACAAAGTTATCATTAAAAACTCTGATATCCAAATGTTTGAGAAAAGTGAATTGAGTAATTATAAAACTCTGGTTTCCCACATAGCCAGCTCTGCATGAATTACTCTTTTATTATTGCAATTCCCCTGTCTTGATAAATCAGCTCTGTCTAGGTATTTGGCAAAGCGACCCCATTGTGCAGTTACAAATTTGGTGCATTGTTCAGGAAAAACCTTTGTGGCTACCTGCCCATGGTTTGGTGGCCTCACTCCAGCAATGGATCTAAAAGCTAGCCCAAGTGGCTACCTAGTTCTCTTGGGCTGGGCGGTGGCTCTGGTACTGTCTCTACTGGTGGGGCACCACTGATGCAATGTTCATTGATTTAATTGAAATGGGAGAGTCATGGGGAGACCTCTCTTAACTGTAGCCCTGTCACAGGGTGTTTTTCTGTAGCCCCATGGTGGGGTGTCTATTTCTAGCTCCATTACATGATGTCTGGATTGGTGACTATCCTAGGCACTGCCAATCCCTCCTTTCTTTTTCCCAACTGGTTCTGTAGCCCCATGGTGGGGTTTATGTCTGTAGTCCCATTGTAAAGTGTCTGGCTTGGTGAGTATCCTAGGTGCTGCCAACAACTCCTTTCTTCTCTCCACTGGTTCTGTAGCCCCACTGTGCAGGCCAGTAATAACATTTCATATTGGCTGAGTGTTTAAGTTAAATATGAAAAGCTAAAAAACACCACTGCACTTATATAAAGGCTGATGTAACCAAATCCCACCAAGAGCTTTGCCTAGGCCTTTCCTGGGCTTGAAAGCATAACAAAATAATGAAGGAATTCTCAACAGCACCCATTTAGAATTAAACAAGTCTTATTGTGGGTCTGAAGAAATTCCCCAGGCCTCCACAAACAAGTCTATTGGGGGTCTGAAGGAATTCCCCAAACCTCCATGATTCAGCAGGAGGCAAGATAAGGTAATTACTCCAGCACCTAGACCAATTTAGATTAAGTAAGCTTACTGAGGCTCTAGAAAAAGGTCTTTGACACTCAGACTTTAGTTATAGAATAAAACAGTTAATCACTTATATCTTTAGAGGAATGCACACTGACATGTAGACATACAGCTTAGAAGATATATGAACTCTAGAAAACTTTGTAATTTTGAGTTGATCTGGTGATAATTTCCAGGCTTTCTCCCTGTAACCAGTTACAGAAATAAAAACTCTCCTTCTCCTCAGTTTCTCTGCATCTTGTTATTGGGCCATGAGAAATAGCAGTCCAACCCTCTCTTTGGTCTGGGAACAAGTTTGGCATGCCCGCAAGGAATAAGACAATGCTGAATTCATTGACTGAAAGGTTGTGACAATAGGGACCCTCCAGAGAGCTGTTCCATGCACAAGTGTGCACATTCCTTTCACTACCATGGAAGAATGGAGATCAGGAACAAACGTGCTAAAAGATTGAGCTAACCAGATTGTATGCCATGAAGCTATTGAGTATGCTAATCTTTGGTTTGTTTTTTAGAATCAAGGAAAGTTTTCTTTTGAGCTACTAACAGCTTTTAACAATTAAGCAAAATCTATCCCTATGAACAAAATTTGGAGCATATTTGTTTCTCTCTACCTGATTCTTCAGACTTTGGAAACTATTTGTGAGTATTCTTAACTTATGGCAGTAAAGTTATTTGTGTAAGAGCAATACGAGTCTGTTCTGTTTTGTTAACAGGACACAATTGGAGACACAGCTTATTTTACCAAATATTTGATTGGAATGGGATGCTCTTTTTTAAAGAATCAAACTTGCCTTATGGAGCCAATAAAGTCTCATATTTTGTGTACACAGTCCCTGTATACAGGGATTCTGATCTGTGTTAAATAAAGGAAGTCACTTTCTGACAGGCAGGAACCCCATGTCATCTTGGAACCTCAAAAGGAGAGGAATTCACCCAACTCATAGGTAGTTGATGGTAGAAATCCATGGCTGGGCTCAGCTTTGAAAAGGTCTTATCTCATATTCTTTCTATGGAACAAAGTTCCATCAATGCTAGTTTAAAAGGCCTACATAAAAAACAACTATCCTTGCTGCACTTTATTAAAATAATCTGACCAAGTATAATAAAGTAAATATGTCCTATCATGACTTCTCTTTAATAAAAATGGGAAACTGGAGAGAGAAGAATGTTTCCAAAACTATATTATATCCATTGTTAAATTCTAGTCTTGCCTGGTGTTTTTTAATTTTTATTATTTTCTGCAGTTTGAGTTAAATTCCAAAATAATATTTTCAATTTTTTTCCTTTTTCTTTTACCCCATTTTGTCCTAATTGGAAATCACTAAAACCTAACCTGTGCTTTCTTAATGCTCTGTAAACTGAAGACTAGATGTTTCAGCAGATGCTTCCTCTAGCTCCTTGAAACAGAGAGTGCTACTGGAAACAAACCACCCTCTTATACTCCAGCACTGGGTTGGGTGTCCCATAATGATGACCCCCATTTCAGCAGGAAGTAGCCAAAAAGATTATTATGCCCCATCTCCCTGTGTAGAAACATAATAGAAACCATGCGCCAATTGATGGTGGGGATTGTGGTAGACCAGGTCTCTGAAACAACTGTTTCAGTACTGACTGAGTGATTAAGTTAAATATTAAAAGCTTAAAAAAAAGCCAGTGACTTTATACAAAGGCTGGGATGTAAAAAAAAAAAAAAAAAAAAAAAAAAAAAAAAAAAAAAAAAAAAAACACCAAGAGTTTTGACTAGGCCATTCCTGGACCTGAAAGCATGACAAAATAATGAAGGGATTCCTAACAGGACCCATTTAGAACTAAACAAGTTTTATTGTAGGTTTGAGGAAACTCCCCACACCTCCACAGACAAATTTATTGGGGGTTGAAGGAACTCCCCAAACCTCCATGATTTAGCAAGAGACAAAATAAGGATAATCAGCTTAGCACTTAGACCAATTTAGATTAAGTAAATTTACTGAGGTTCCAGAAGAAGGTCTTCAAGACTCAGACCTTAGTTATAAATTTAAAAAAGCTAATCACTTATATGTTTAGATGAATGTACACTTACATATAGACATATAGCTTAGAAAATATATAAGCTCTGGAAAACCTTCTAATTTTGAGTTGTTCTGATAATAATTTCCAGGCCTTCTTCCTGTAACCACTCACAGAAATAAAAACTCTCTTCCTCCCCAGCTAATCTGCATCTCATAATTGAACTGTGGTAAATAGTTGCTCAATCCCTCACAGTTTGGTTCAGAAACACTATGATGGGGTGTCTGTCTGTGGCCCCATTGTGGGTGCCTAGATTTATGAGTGTCCTAGGTGCTGCCAATGCTACCTTCCTTTTCCTATTTCTCTAGCCCTATGGTGTGGTATCTGTAGCTTCACTATGGGGTGTCAGTTTGTAGCTCCACTATGGGATGTCTTTGTCTGCAGACCCATTGCATCGTGTCTCCTCAGCTGCTAGAGTGAGGGGTTGATCTTGGCTGGCTCTTTTTAACTAGCAGGAAGAGTCTTTGTTTGGGAGATTTCTCATTCAGAAAGACTTCAAATAGATTTCTCAGATGGAGAATAGGAGAAAAGTTTGTAAGGATACTCTTGGAGGTTTTGGTTAGAGATCATCTGATTTGGAAGGCCTTCTGTTTGCCTCATTGTTAGGTACAGTAAGTTCCTCTTCAAAGAGTCAGCTTGTTCAACTTACTTCTTTGTTTTCTGTTTTCAAAGCCTAGTTTCTTCATTCTTTGTCCCTCCTTGCCCCTAGTTATGGTAAACAACATTCCCACCAGCTCTAATCAATAACTCACATCTCTTCCCCTGGTTGCCCACTCTGCAGCTATTCTTCCTGCTGAAACCACTTGTTCTGCCACTCACATCCCCCTTCCCTTCCTTATTTGGGAAAGTATTCACAAATAGCCAGTTGGGTCAGCTTAGATTGTGCGATCTGACACCAGCCCATGTGGGAGTGACAAATGGGTAGGGACTGCTTTAGGAATAACAACCCTTTTCGTCCTTTGTTTAGTGTGCTCTTGTAACTGTGACTGATGCAGGCAGCACCCTTCTGCAGAAGTAAATTGTCTTGCTGAGAAAACTTTTTGCCTGAGTGCTAGTTCTTCTTTGCAGCATTGAGTACTTGTTTCTAACAATCTGGGGGCTCAATGAGGATTCCCATTCTCCACCAGAGAAAGGGTCACCTCTCATCAGGAGATACATCCTGCTGCCTTATTGTGGTGCCCTCAAGGTGACAGATTGGGACCCACTCAGTGCAATGAATAAACCTAGACTCTCAGCAATATGGAAAGAAACAGGCCAACAACTTGGAAGAAAGAATCCTCACATACCATGGCAACCAGGTAAATCTGTGCACAGACCAAGGTAACAAGCATCACAAAAGTGACAAAGTCCTTCCTTGGTGGTCAGGATATCTTGGAAGTTGAAAGTGTGTGATTCATATTCAAGTACACTGAGTGCAGAGTGAGTGAGTGCAATCTGAGATTTGGCTATGGTGCCCCTTTGGGGGTCCTATCAGGGGTTTATACTGACCTGCCAATGTTAAAAGGGACCTAAATTCACTTTGGGGAAGTGGCCAGAAAGGAAGAAGCAGAAGGAGAAGAGTGCAAGAAACCTCCAGTTGTGGGGGTTGAGCCTCCAGGATAAGAAAGAAAGAAATCTCCAGTAGGGGGGATTGAGCCTAACACAAACCTTTGGTAATAGACAAGGCAAGACATTTCCAATAGGGGAGATTGAGTGTCACCTCAAAACTATTAAGATGGGAAATACCCCAGGTAAGATAGAGGGTAAAAAAGGATAAAGCTAGCAGCAATAACATTCCCCCTGAAAGTTCCCAATAATTTATGCTAAAATATTGGAAAGACAACGAAAGGACTAAGCACAAGAGAAAGCAACAGATGATAAATATTGTTATGTCATTTGAACCCAGGAACCAATCTTCGAACCCTCAGTTTTCTGGCCAAAGTTGGAGTCAAATGAGGATTGGATTTGTCAGCTTTTAATAGAACATATGATGACAAAACCTTCATCTCCCAGGAGGAGATAAATTATGCCCTATGTTGGTGGCAAGGACCTGTCCTCCTTTACCCTCTAAAAACTGGAGGGAGAAAGTCAAAGACTAACTCCTCTGAAAAAGATAAAGTCCCTATTCCTAGACAGCCCAGCAACACACGGGACCCCCTAGACAAACTTGCCCAATCCAATGCTCCTAACTCTAATTTACCTCCCCCTCAAGCAGAGGCAGTTTTCTCAGATGCTTCTCCTACTCACATTGTCCCACCTCCTTGTACCCCTGCCTCTTGGTAATCATCCCAAGAGCCTCTTCACTACCAGCCTAAGTACGCTTCTCTGAAAGGACTTCAACGTGAGATAGAGCAATGTAAAAAACGGTATTCAGAACTCCCGATTCCCCTCTACCTCAGGAGAATCAGCTCCAGCCATCTTTTCCTTAAGAGAGGTGCCCCTAGGAGGAGAAGGCATTAGTTTTATTAATGCTCCTTTAACCAGCATGAAGATCCAAAACCTAAGAGAACTCAAGCCACTATTAGACAACCTTTATGGGTGTTACCAGACCAAAGAGAAATGTTATCCAAAACCCTCATGAGAGAAGTTCTTTCTCATTTGCATCAAGGGACTCACCGGGGACCTCAAGCTATGGATGATGCAGCCCTCAGGGTTCATGGATGTACAGGAATTTATACTTTAGCAAGACAATTTACAAATAGCTGCCTGGTACGTAAAAAGACTAATAAGCAGACCCTCAGAAAACTATCTCCTGGAAGGAGAAATCCAGGATTAAGTCTGTTCCAAAGTGTCCAATATGATTACACTGAAATGCCCCCAATCGGCCACTTAAAATATTTATTAATGATAGTAGATCGCCTTCCTCATTGAGCAGAAGCTATTCCCTTTTCAAATGCAACTGCTAATAATGTAGTCAAGGCATTAGTTGAAAATATTATACCCAGGTTTGGATTAATAGAAAATATCAATTCAGATAATGGGACTCATTTCACTGCTTATGTCACTAAAAAACTAGCACAAATACTAGATATAACCTGGAACTGCCATACCCCCTGGGACCTACCTTCAACAGGACAAGTAGAAAGAATGAACTACACTTTCAAAAACTGCCTAACTAAATCAGTCCTAAAAACTCAGTTGCCATGGACTACATGCCTCCCCCTCACCATGTTAAAAATCTGAACTGTCCCGCAGAAAGATACTGGCTTAACCCCTTATGAAATGCTGTATGGGTTCCCTTATTTACACTCCATTGCTGACATCCCTATGTTCAAAATGGAAGATCAGTTCCTCAAAAACTATATACTTGGTATATCCCCCACTTTCTCTTCCCTTAGGACCAAAGGCCTCTTAGCACAGATGCCACCCAGTTCACCACACCAGCCCAGAGACTATGTTCTCTTCAAAGGTTAGAAAGATGGGAAGCTCGATCCCACCTAGGAAGGACAGTATTTGGTGCTTCTAATGACCAAGTTAGCTGTCCATACTGCTAAAAGGGGATGGATTCATCACACTAGGATCAAAAGAACACGACGCCCTCCAGAATCATGGACAATTATTCCAGGGCCAACTCCAACCAAGTTAAAGTTAAAACAGGTTTGATCTTCTTATGTTATATTTCTTTATCTTCCCCTGCTATTGCTAGTCCTCTCCTTATTAACGTAACCAGGTCAAGTTGACCCCAAACTATTACCTTTGATGCTTGTCTTATTATACCCTGTGAAGATCTCCAAAGTCAAAGGCAACTCTTAGCCTCACAGAAGTATCTCTTCCCCTTTAAGACAAAAGGCTCTCCCTCTCAAGACCCTTGTTCCTTAACAAATGCAGGAAAACATATCTGCAATAGGGAAAATGAAATTATGTGAACAACCAAATATCAAGACTGGACCTCATCAACAGATGGTTGTATGTCTTTAAAACCATACATTCACTTTGCTAAAGGAAGCACCCCACCCCCAATTGCCAGTATAACTAATCTAATCCAGTGCAAATTTCTGTCTTACTCCCACTTCTCCTACTTAAGTCACTTATACAGCATGGGAGCTGAAATGTCAGGGACATATCTTAATGGATCTTTCAAGATATATTATATTACTCCTTCGCCTCCTACACTTCCTTCTACACTATCCCCCAAGGAAACTAGTATTCTTCCTCTACATAATGATAAAATCAAAGTGGCTATTGTAGAACTTAAGGATTTAAAACAAACTGTAGCCTTTGAAATAGGATATCAAGATGCAAATGATTGGTTGGAATGGATTAAATATTCCGTTTGAACTCTAAACAAAAGCTATTGTTATGCTTGTGCATACCGTAGACCAGAGGCGCAGGTCATCCCCTCTCCACTGGGATGGTCATCCAGCTGACCAGGCATGTAGCTCTTTTCCAAGATCCCACAGCCTAGGGCAATAAATCCTGCCAAAGTCTCTCTCTGCTACTCCATGAAGTCCAACACCCTGTGGGTCAGCCCCCAAGGGCCATTCAGCCTCCGTCTTCTGACACCAATTTTACCTCATATCTCTCACAACAAGGGGTAAATTTGGCATTTCTTGGAAACCTAAAGGGTTCCAGTGAAACTACAGCCCTTCCAAGAGCCTACCAATCAGTCTGCCCTTGTTCATCCTTGAGCAGCTATATGGTGATATTGTGGTGGACCCTTACTGGACACTCTGCAAGTAACTGG
Organism: Homo sapiens; assembly: GCF_000001405.40. NCBI lineage: Eukaryota > Metazoa > Chordata > Mammalia > Primates > Hominidae > Homo > Homo sapiens. The sequence continues at coordinate 19,451,177 of NC_000024.10, forward strand.
AGTGGCACTTGTGCCCTAGTCCAATTGGCCATCCCTTTCACCCTAGCATACTGTCAACATGATAAAAAAAAAAATTGTAAAAGAAGAAATGCCCCTCATGGATCTTTTGACTCTCTTGTTTATATAGATGCTATTGGAATCTCATGAGGGGTACCAAATGAATTTAATGCCTGAAATCAAATAGCTGCAGGATTTGAATCTGTGCTGTTTTTGATGGTCAACTCTAAACAAAAATGTAGATTGGATAAATTACATTTATTATCATCAGCAAAGTTTTGTCAATTACACAAGACATGCCATCAAAGAGACTGCTAAACAATTAGGCCTCACCAGCTAAATGGCCTGGGAAAATAGAATGGCCCTTGACATGATGTTAGCCAAAAAAAGGGGAGTCTGTGTCATGACTGGAGTCCAACATTGTACCTTTATTCCTAATAACACAGTCACCAATGGGACAACTACAAAACTTTGCAGGGCCTGACCTCCTCTTTATTCAATGAGTTGGCAAATAATTCTGGAACAAATGACCCCTCTACAAGTTTAATGGAAACATGGTTTGGGTAATGGAAAGAATTAATGTCCTTAATATGTACTTGTCTTGCAATTGTTGTAGGTGTCATTATTCTTGTTGGATGCTGTATCATACGATGCATTCATGGATTAGTACAAAGACTCATAGAGACAGCAATTACCAAAACCTCTCTTATCGCTCCTCTACCTTATTCAGATAAGCTTTTCCTTTTAGAAAACCAAGCAGAACAGCAAAGCCAAGACATGGTAAAAAGGTTGGAAGAGGAATTATAAAAATTAAGAGAGGGAAATTGTTAGGTATAGTAAGTTCCTCTTCAAAGAGTCATCTCGTTCTACTTTCTTGTTCTTTGTTTTCTATTTTTTTGTTCTTTGTTTTCTATTTTCGAAGCCTAGCTTTCTCATACTTTGTGCTTGTTTGTCCCTAGTTAATGGTAAACAACCTTCCCACCAGTTCTAAAAAATAATTGACATCTCTTCCCTTGGTTACCTGCTCTGCAGCTATTCTTCCCTCCAAAATGTCCTGCCATTGTAAACCACACCACCTTCCCTTCCTTATTTTGTAAAGTATTCACAAATAGCCAATAGGGTCAGCTTAGATTGTGTGGTCCAACCCCAGCCCAGGGGGGAGTGACACAGAGGCACAGACTGCGGGAGGGATAAAAGCCCTTTCCCTCCATTGTTTGGTATGTTCTTGCGATCATGACTGATACAGGCAGCAGCCCTCTGCAGAGGTAAATTGCCTTGCTGAGAAAACTTTTTGCCTAAGTACTAGTTCTATTTTGTGGTCAAGCACTTGTTTCTAACATCATCTTTATGTGTGTTTGTATATGTGGTGAAATAACTCAGAAGGAATTGCTGAAGTACAGCAGGCCTAACTCAGAGAGCCCTCCATATTTGTCTGGTTATATTCAGCGAGCCTTGAAGAAAGTTCAACAGCCTGTCTTTGGGTGACTATCTGCTCTTTACCTTTCCCAGAGACCCCATCATAAATTTTCACTCTGAAACCATCCTTCCCCACCTGGAGTAGATCAAAGACAACAAGTACCAAGGGGAAAAAGTTTGAGCTTTGCCAGGTTGATATTGGGTGCTGAACGAAGTGGCTAGTGTCTGTTTTGTTATGTGTGTTTTGCTGGGATAAAAAAAAAAATGTTAATTCAGTTCTCCACACAGCCTGTTGGGCAGCATCTTGCAAATTAAGAATTTTGCCTATGGTTCCATAAAATAGAAAAAGTTCCTTTTCTCTTGTAAAGTGGCTTGAACCTCACAGCTATGGCACAAGCAACAGGGTCATCAGAAGCTGCCCTGTTCTTCTGGAAACTGCAGAGAAAGGGAAACTGGAAATCTGGTATGCCAGCAAAAAGGGTAAGAAATTCTTACCAGCCAAGTTTCTGTACTTTCTCTCTGTCTATCTGTGTTATGGTAAATATCACTATTCATCTCTCTTCAAGGGTCTGATCAATAGAAAAATGATTTATAAGATTCGTCTTAGTGTATAGCAAATGTAGTGTACTTTGTGCTGAAAATTTGTCTTTCTGTGTTCTGTAATGGGGAGAGGCATATCATGGAATGAAATGTGGATTTAGCATCCCTATAAGCCTGCTTTTTAAGCCAGTTCAGCAGGCTGATCAGGTACAAACTTTGCTATGGGTCCCTGAAACCAATATTGTATGAAATTTCTCTATCTTGTTTTGTCTCCTTAAGAGCTTAAACTTGTGACCCTGTGGGGATACTTTAATTTCCACCATCCAGAGGACAGGAATTTCCACCATCCAGAGGACAGGAATTTTGGGGCCCATGTGATAACACTAATTTTTTTCCCCTAAGCAGTTAAAAAGCCTTTGCAAGCTTGAAATTGGCTTCTCTAGGTTCCTAGGAAGAGCAGTAGAAACTGTTCAATGCTACAGCATTCATTTACGAATCAGTAGCAATCCTAAGGAAAAAGAACAAATCTGGAGCCTTTGCATTGCTGGACTATAGGTACCAAAACAGTACAATACTGGTATAAAAATTGGCATGCAGATTAATGGAATACAAGAGAAACACAGAAATAAAGCCAAATATGTACTGCAAACTGATCTTCAGCAAAATGTACAATAACATAGTTTGGGGAATGAATATCCTACGTAATAAATGGTGATGGGAGGCCAGGCGCGGTGGCTTATGACTGTATTCCCAGCACTTTGGGAGGCAGAGGCGGGTGGATCATGAGGTCAGGAGATCGAGACCATCCTGGCTAACAAGGTGAAACCCCGTCTCTACTGAAAATGTAAAAAATTAGCCAGGCGTGGTGGCAGGCAACTGTAGTCCCAGTTACTCAGGAGGCTGAGGCAGGAGAATGACGTGAACCCAGGAAGTGGAGCTTGCAGTAAGCTGAGATCACACCACTGCACTCTAGCCTGGGTAGCAGAGCAAGAAGCCACATGTAGAAGAATGAAACTGGATCTGTATCTCCCAACTAATATGAAAATAAACACAAGATAGATGAAATACTTAAATCTAAGACCAGAAACTATAAAAATTCTCGGGACAATGTTGGAAAAACTCTTCTAGACATTAACCTAGACAAAGAATGTATGACTAAGATCCCAAAACCAAACGCAAAAAGAATGAAGTAAACAAAATGGTTCTAATTAAACTATAAATCTTCTGCATGGTAAAAGAAATAATCAGCAAACATCCCATAGGAGAAAATGTTTGCAGGCTACCTATCTAACAGTAAGAGTATCCAAAATCAACAAGGAACTCAAACAAATCAGTAAGAAAAAAGCAAATACTCCCATCAAAATGTGGGCAAAGTACATGAACAGACATTTCTCAAAAGAAGAAACATAAATGGCCAACAAATATTAATGTACAAAAAAATGTTCAACATACCTAATCATCAGAGAAACACAAATTAAAACCACAATGAGATACCACCTTACTCCTGCAAGAATGACCATTATTGAAAAGCCAACAAACAATAGGTATTGGCATGGATGGGGGAAAAGGCAACACTTATACTTTGCCAAAGGGAATGTAAATTAGTACAACCTCTATGGAAAGCAGTGTGGAGATTCCTTAAGGAAACAGAAGTAGAACTAACATTTGATCTAGCAATCACACTATTATCTGTCTACCCAAAGAAAAAAGAAGTTGTTATATAAAAACAACATTTGCACATGTATGTTTATAGCAGCATAATTCACACTTGCAAAGATCAGAGATCAACATATATGCTACCCATTGACTGATGCCTGGATAAAGAAAATATGGTGTGTATACACAATGGAATACTATTCAGCCATAAAAAGGAACAAAATAATGTCTTTCACAGCAACTTGGAGCTGAAGGCCATTATTCTAAGTGAAATAACACAGGAGTGAAAAACCAAAAACTGTATGTTGTCACTTACATGTGGGAGTTAAGCTATGAGTACAGAAGTCATGCAGAGTGATACAGTGAACTTGAGATGCAGAAGGTAAAGAGTGAGATGGGGCCAGTGATAAAAGAACCACACATTAGGTACTATATATACTACTCAAGTAACAGATGCACTAAAATCTCAGAATTCATCACTATATTATTCACCCATGTAACAAAAAAAACACTTGTAACCCCAAAAGCTATTGAAATAAAAAGTTTTAAATAACAGAAATTAAGCCACCAAGGAAATTTGTCAACTTAAAAAAAATGTAACAACATGTTTTAGGATCACATAGGACACAGACAGTTCAACATTTTCCTTTCCTCAACAGTTTTATTGCATCTTCAGAAAATTTCTGTAAAAGTGTTACAGAAGCATAAATCTAACAAAGTTGAAAGAAATTATAAGCACAGAATTAAAATATTTACATTTTCAAGCAAACTCAACTGTCCTTAATTTTCAATATTTTATAGTGAACAGAAAAACAGGCTGGGCATGGCTGCTCATGTCTGTAATCCCAGCACTTTGGGAGGTAGAGGCAGGCGGATCACTTGAGCCCAGGTGGTTTAGAACAGCCTGGGCAACATGGCTAAACACTGTCTCTACAAAAAAAAAAAAAAAAAAAAAAATTAACGAAGCATGTTTACACAGGCCTATAGTCCTAGCTTCTCCAGAGGCTGATTGTGGGAGGACCACTGAGCCCAGGGATGTAGAGGCTGCAGTGAGTTCTGACTGTGCCTCTGCACTCCAGCCTGGATAACAGTGAGACATTGCCTCAAAAAAAAAAAAAAAGAAAGAAAGAAAGAAAGAAAAGAAAAAAGGAGAAGAAGAAGGAGGAGGAGGAAAATAAATTAAAGTTTCTTCATTAGAAGATCATAAAATATTTGAGATTGGTTCATAGAAACTAATTTACAACCTTTAAGTTAGGTTATAAATCTCATACAATTAGTTGTGTTTCAGTGTAATTTTAAGTTGAAATATACCCAATAGCATATACCTGGCATAAGAAGATACGCAGCAAACAAAACAAAGAAGTTACAATATCAAATGCTTTTACCAAATTTATTCTCCCAAACACTCAATTTTGATGACATTATTTATAAATGTCAATGATCTCTGTCATCAGAGCTTTGTGTGGAAAAAAGTCAATAGGTAGGTAGGTGAGGCTCTTTTTCCTCATTATATTTTCCTTTTAAAAGACGTTCCAAATGAAAACAAATTTATTCAAAGCAGTTTCTATACATTGAAAATTAAAGAAACATTTCAGCAATTTCATAACAAAAGTTTAAAATAAAAAGACATCTTTCTAAATCTTCTAGCTAGAGGGTTTATCTTATATAAAGCTGAAATATTTTCATATGTAATAATGTCCCTCCTCCACAGAAGTAGTTGTACTTTGATAAATATAAACAAGGATGAACACTAGAACACACAGTATACAGTGGGATTTGACTTCTCATCAGTGGTCCTTCTCCAAGGCCACATCCCTGGGATTTAAGCATTCCAGAGAGGAGCCAAGGAGAATCTGGAGTTCATTTGTACATTCTAGTAAATCTAGTAGTTTGTTGCTTTCCAGATTGAAGGCTTCCAAGTCTTTGGAGGAAGAGAACAAGATACTTGCTGAAACCTGTCTGTAAAACTCTGCCTCTGCAATTGGGACAATTTTCAGATGTGGAAAACTCCAGCGAAATATGCAGGATGACATTTTCACTTTCTTAAGTACATCTGAAAGCAATAACCAGTTTTGTGGTCTGCAAAATAAAAAGAAAAGGTAGTCCCAATTTCTGGCAAAAATAAAATTTCCCCCAACCATTAATTATCATATTGAAAAAGCTACCTTATAGGCATAACAGGAGTCACTTACTTTCACTTCAACACCCCTGCCATTTCTCACCATGCCCACTCATAGACCAACATTCTTCTTTCAAGGTAAGGGTAAGTACCTACTTCTGATGAGGGTAACTCTGGATTCATCTGGTTATCAGACATTTGTAGAAGAACAAACTGAATTATATAAAGCAAGGGAAACACCTTAGTGAGATTTATTATAACAGTTCCTCCACTGCTCTCATTGCTGATGAAAAAATTAAACTCCTGTTGACTCAGCTCTCACCATAATTTGGGTAATGACTCTTAATATGTCTCACTAGGCTTACTGAGATAAGTGAGTCTGTACCCCAACCCAAAAGGATGACTATAAACACCTCTTTGATCTTCCCTCTCCCCCAAGTCCATTCCTTTCACACACTCTGCAACACAACTTTACTATTTCTATTTATAATAAACTTCTAATCAAAACCACAATATTATCTTCTCTTAGTTAGGATGCCTATTATCAAAAGACAAAAATATGTTGGTGAGAATGCAGAGAAAAGAGAATGTGTCTATGCTGTTGGTGAATTCCTCAAAAATGAAAAATAAAATTAACATGTGATTCCGCAATCTCATGGCTAGGTATATATCCCAAAGAAATCAAATCAGTATATCAGTAAGGTATCTGCACTCTCATGTCTACTGCAGCACTATTCACAATAGCCATGATATGGAATCAACCTAAGTGTCCATCAACAGACAAGTGGATTTTAAAATGGAATATATTTACATAATGGAGTGCTAGTCCACCACAAAATGACTTGAATCTTGATATTTGCAACACAGGTGGACTTGGAGGTCATTCTATTAAATGAAATAAACCAGGCACAGAAAGTTCTACCTATAGGTAGGAAATAAAAAATGTTAACCTCATAGAGGTATGGAGTAGAAGGGTGAGTACTAGAAGCTAGGCAGTGTAGGTGGGAGAGGGAATTAAGAGGAGATGATTAAATGGCTATTAAAATACAGTTAGAGAGAAGGAATAACATCCAGTATTTGATAGCACAGTAGGAAAATTATAGTTAACTATAATGTATAGTCTGTTTCTAGAAGAGAAGGTTTTAATATTTCTAATACAAAGACATAATACATGTTTGAAGTGATGGGTATCCCAAGTGCCCTCATTTGATGCTTACATATTGTATGCATGTATCAAAATATCACATGAACCCTCAAATGTAAGAATCCATGGCATACTAACAAAAAATAAAGTGAAATAAAACTGTCACTGTTTACAATGGAATACACATAACTCCAGAGCCTGAGGATACTATTGTTTACTAAGCACCAATGTTAAAATGTTAACAAAGTTCTCTTGATAAGATATTGGTCACCAGGGCACAGTGGCTCACAAATAGTGTAAGACTGTATCTTACTAAATATGACCATACACAAAGATCTCGAGTGACACTGATGATTTTCCTAATTCTACATGAGAAGGGAGATTAACGGCTTTGTACAGTACACATTATATTCCCAAGAAGCCCTTGTAATGATCTGTTGAAGGATTCCTAGGACTCCTTCCCAAAGAATTTAGTAAAAGAAACTTCTGTGCTTTGGGTTCTGGGGCCTTACTTACATTGGTGGTGTTCTGATGAGGATAATTTATACTATACTGTACTGTACTATACTATACTATACTATACTATACTATACTATACTATACTATACTATACTATACTATACCATACTATACCATACTATACTATACTATACCATACCATACTATACTATACTATACCATACTATACTATACTATACAACCAATTAATTAGCTGAGTATAATAAATCTTTAAAAAAAACCTATTTGCTACATCATGTAAAACTCTTGGGCATTTAGCACCCACTCACCCTCATCTACTTAAAAAGAGCTTTAAGTCCTGCTACTACCCACAAATCAGCTCAGCTAATTTTCAGTGACATAGCAGCCATGCTCACCCCTGCAAAGATGAAACTTGAATGTTTTAACAAGGTAAGAGGGGGTATCTGAAAATTTAAATTCAAACACATCACTGCAAGCCTCATTGTCATCATCCTGGTCCTCTGGTCCTGGGGGGTCTGCCAAAACATTGGATTCCCCTCCATTATCTGGTTCTAATGGAGAAAAGAAACAGACAAAGATGTTAGCAATAGCAGGATTTCAGCTGTCATCCAATGAAGAACTCTAAATAAAAATATAAAAATAGATTCTTTTCCAACAGAGTCTGTTTTATAGCATGCACAACCTATCCCCCGTCAACCACACCAAAGAAAAATGTCCTCTTCCTATTTTCCACTCAACTAAAAACAATAATATTGCTCACCACAGACAGAGCTGCCGTAGAACTCCCAAGAGCTATTCAGCTTACTGTCACTGCAACCCTGTAGGTCATTTAAGTAATCTGGAGAGAGAGGGGAAAAAAAAGATCAACTTTTTAAAAAATGTTAAAATTAGTAATTCCAGCAAAGTTGCAGGATACTAAATCAACACACACAAAAAAACCAGTTACATTCCATACTAGTGTATGGAAGTAATCCATTTCCATACTGGTGTATAGAAATGTAGTCTAGTAATGCCTGGGGCTTGCATGATTAGTTCTTCACTCACTGAGCTACATAGACTATTCTAAATAACCTCTTCTGTGGGAAGTTTGAGGTTTCCATTATCCAGAATCAAGATGTAAAAATGTGAGTCATTATTTGTTTAAAAATGCTTGGTAGGAAATCCAAATAATTTGGGGAAATCTTTTACAGCATTAGGGTAAAAATAGATCAAAGGAAATATAGAATCAACGGCTAATCACCAAAATAATTAGCTTCACTAGACTACTATATTCCACAATACAGAAAAGCCACATTGCTGCTGTTTTAAAGTCTCAAGCTTTTTAATTTGTACCTAGTAAAACTCAAATCTCAATAACCTGGTCTCCCTCTAATATTTGAATAAAGAACATATCTTGAACTTTGTTATTCCTGTTCCGTAAAGTGACCCACCTGTTAGAAACATTTCCATAACTTTGCTGTGGGTCATTTTCATAATGGTTCTGCCTGAGTAGGTGGCCAAAGTGGGGCCAGCGCCATAGGAAAGGAGGAGGCGGACAATTTCCAAACAATCATTTTCAACTGCACCATGGAGAGGCCTAGTAAGAGATGTGCGGTGGGATTAAACTCATGCACACTTGCTCATTTCTTGACTTTTCTTTAACAATAGGCAAAATTGGATACATGTGTACCATGTAAGCCTCGTAGACACAATATTCAACTCATGAGGAATGTAACTGCCATGTACAGATAGTGAAATTGAGACACAGTTACTGACCCATGATCAAATGACAAATTATTGTTATTATACACTTAATCCTTTTAACAGGACTCATGAAGGGACTATTTCAGCACTAACTCTCAAATGAAAAATCTATCTTAATCTGAGGCCTGAAAAACTGAAGACAGAATAAGTATTTAAAAAGTTTTGAAGGAAGTATGGACAGGATGTAAAAAGATAACTCAAAAAAAAGTTTACCATTATGAAACCTAATACAACAAACAACTGTTAAACAATTTAAAAAATGACTGTTTGTTTATATAAAGAACCTGGGTGCAAAGATAAATGGTGAGTTTAGACTCTCCTAAAAGCCTGCCCTGGCACCTTTCACAGATCTGTGATCAAACTTGTGGCTCAGAACCAGAGTTGTCAGGATCAGGATGAGATCTGAAAAAGTACAAAGTTCTCCCACCCATGTCTATTGGAAGGTGGAACACTGCCCACAGTGCCCTCCTGATGGAATGCTGTTTGGAATCTGTGAAAAAACAAAATACGTTTTAGGTTTTTTTTTCTTTTTTTTTTTAACTATTAGCAAACCCTAATACCCAACCCTCAAGCAGCCACCACATTTACACCACCAGAGGATTCCACAACTGACAAATCTTGGTTTCTCACCAATAAACTAAGGTCAAAGGCAGGATGAAGGCCAGATCTGGGGATGTGGATGGTGATAACAGGTCCTTCTGAACCAGCTGTGGGATATTTGTACTCTCAGGACTTAAAACTCAAATATACATTTTGAATATAGTCACAATAAAGAGTCCAGAGTCTTATAAGGCAGTATCACTAATTATTTGTCACTAATTATTGACATTTTCAGGGGCTTTTGCCCCTGGGAACATTAAAGAACAGTCCAACATTCCATGCTCTCACCACTTACCAACTGAGGGAAAGATATAAACATACATATACAGGAATAGGAAGAAATAAGGCTCCAAATGCTATCCAATGGACAAGAAAAGCCCTGAAAGTGAAGGCTGAAGGCAATGAGGAGTTTGAGCTTGGTCTCACTGGGAGACCATACATGAGGTATGAAGAAAGATTGTGAAGCTTCACAAGACCTCATGAAGCAGAAAACTTCTTCAGTTGGGCGATGAAGAAAAGTGCCAATTCAAGGAAAAAGTGATCAAAATAATAATATCACTACCCTATCCCAACCAAATGCTATTTGTATTCTTACTTTTGAGTACAAGAATGACTTGGTCACTGACTTTTGGAAAGAAAAAAAATTAAAAAGAAAATTAGAGAAAAAATGGTTGTTTTTTTTGAAAACAACACTACTATAAAACCACAACAAGAAAACTAACGTGACCCTAACACTGAAATAAACCATATCTGGTGCAGGAAAACACACACACACACACACACACACACACACACACACACATCACAGACATACACATATACATATATACACCATAACTTAAAAATCAGAATCAATCCTACAAGGGTAACCACAAGAGTTTTGTTTGTTTGTTTATTTTGAGACTGTGTCTCAACTCTGTCTGCCAGGCTGGAGTGCAATGGCACAATCATGGTTCACTGCAGCCTCAACCTCACTGGGCTAGGGTGATCCTCTCACATGTCTCCTGAGTAGCTGAGTAGCTGAGATTACAGGCATGTGCCACCATTCCCAGTTGTTTTTTTTTTTTTTTTTTTTTTTTTGTAGAAACAGGGTTTCACCATGTCATCCAAGCTGGTCTCAAACTCCTAGGCTCAAGTGATCCTGCTGCTTTGGCCTCTCAAGCTGCTGGGATTACAGGCATGAGCCACCGCATCCAGCCCCATGTGTAGTTCTTTTTTCAGTATTATCATTCCAACAATGTAGAGATTATAGTAATAACATGGTAGAGTAGCAGTGTTGAAGAAGAGTAACTAAAATGAGGCTGAACATTTACGAAGGATATATCCTAACTCTTGTTAAATTTGAAACACTAATTTTTTTATTTGTGGAAAAAATATATGTAATGTACATTTATCATCTTAACCATTTTTAAGTGTTCAGTTCATGGTCATTAACTCTTTCACATTATTGTGCAACCATCACCATCATTCATCTAAAGGACTTTCAACAGGCTCTGTACCCATTAAACAGTAACCCCATTAACCTTTCCTACAAACCCAGGCACCCACCATTCTACTGTCAGTGTCTATGATTTTGACTTCTCTTAGCATGTCACGAGTGGAATAATAAAGTATTTGTCATTTTACAACATGCATATTTCACTTAGCATAAATGAACGTCCTCAAGGTTCATCCATGTTACAGCATATGTCAGAAATTCCTTCCTTTTAAAAAGAAATAATATTCGGGCTGGGTATGGTGGCTCACTCCCATAATCCCAGCACTTTGGGAAGCCGAGGTGGGCAGATCATGAGGTCAGGGGTTCGAGACCAGCCGGACCAACATGGTGAAACCTCGTCTGTCCTAAAAATACAAAAATTAGCTAGGCATGGTGGTGTGTGCCTGTAGTCCCACTACTTGGGAGGCTGAGGCAGGAGAATCACTTGAACCCAGGAGGCAGAAGATGCAGTGAGCTGAGATCGTGCCACTGTACTCTGGCCTGGACAGCTCTGTGCAATTGAACAATGAGAACACATGGGCACAGGAAGGGGAACATCACACTCTGGGGACTGCTGTGGAGTGGGGGGACGGGGGAGGGATAGCATTGGGAGATATACCTAATGCTAGATGATGAGTTAGTGGGTGCAGCGCACCAGCATGGCACATGTATACGTATGTAACTAACCTGCACAATGTGCACATGTACCCTAAAACTTAAAGTATAATAATAAAAAATAAAAAAAAGAAAAACAATTTAAGAAAATTTTAAGTAAAGTTTATAATGTTTTTGTTATTGAATTTTATGTAATTAATTTGTTTTGACTTTGACTAGTAGTTTATAAATTTATTAGTTTTTTTTATTAGAGTTTTGAAAGTTTTTATTTGGCTTTTTGAACAAGTTATTAGAAAGTTGTGTTTAAGACAACCATTTGTTGGGCTTAGCACAGTGGGTCATGCCTGTAATGCCAGCACTTTGGGAGGCTGAGGCAGGTGGATCACTTGTGGCCAGGAATTCAAGACCAGTGTGGGGAATATGCAGAGATCCCCATCTCTACAAAAATACAAAAAACAGTCAGGAATGGTGGCACACACCTGTAGTCCCCACTATTCAGGAGACAGAGGTGAGAGGATCACTTGAGCCCAGGAGGCTGGAGGCTGCAATGAGCTGAGATCATGCCACTCCACTCCAGCCTGGGACACAGAGTGAGATCCTACCTCAAAAGAAAAAAGATAATATTTGCTGTATTTATATTAATGGCAAATAAAACAAAAATTTCTTTGCCTGCTTCTTTCCTGCCAGACCACTAATTTCTAACAAGACACCAATAACACACACTGGGGAAAGGACACCCAGTTTACTAAATGGGGCTGGGGAAACTGGATGTCCATATGAAGAATGAAACTAGATCACAAAACCTCAACAGATAACAATATCAACTCAAATAACAGACTTAAATTTAAGACCCAAAATATAAATGTACTAGAAAAAAGCAGGAAATGCTTCAGGACATTGGTCTAGGCCAAGATTTTATGTCTAAGACTTCAAAAGCATGGATAACACAAACAAAAATAGGGAAATTGAACTCTGCAAAACAAACAATCAACAGGAGTGAAGAGACAATCTATAAAATGGCACAATATATTTGCAAACTGTTCATCCAATAAGGGACTAATATATAAGGAACTAAGCTCAACAGCAAAAAAAAAATGACATTAAAAGGTAGGCAAAGGATCTGAATAGGCAGTTCTCAAATGAAGACATATAAATGGCCATCATATATATGTAAAAATGTTCAACATCACTAATCATCACAGAAATACAATTCAAAACCACTGTGAGTTACCATATTACACTAGTCAGAATGGATATTACTAAACAAGACAAAAAAATAAATTCTGCCAAGGATTTGGAGAAAAGGTTGATTTACAAACTCTTGGGATGTAAATTAGTACAGCCAATATGGAAAACAATATGGAGGTCTCTTTAAAAACTAAAATTAGAACCACAATATAATCCAGCAATCTGACTAGACAGTCTCTATCAAAGAAAAATAAAAAAGTAAATCCCGATAGGTAAACATGGAATTGGCCTAAATGCCGACAGTGAATGAAAGGACAAAGAAAATGTGGTATACATACACAACAGAATATTTTAAGCCATATAAATGAATGAAATGCTGTCACTTGCAACAACCTGGATGGAATTGAAGGTCATTATGTGAAGTAAAATAAGTCAAGCATAGCAAAAGAAATATCACCTATTCTCACTCATATGTAGGAAAAGTTGATGTCATGAAGGTAGAGTGTAAGATGATAGTCTCCAGAAGCTTGGAAGTGGGTGTAGGTGTGGGCAAGATAAACAGGGGTTGGTTAATTTACGGTACAAATATACAGGCATATCAAAAGAATATGATCTAATGTTTAATACCAGAAAAGGGAGACTACAATTAACAAGAGTATGGTATATTTCAAAATATCTAGAAGATAAGGTATGAAATATTCCCAAAACAAAAATAGTAAATGTTTGAAGTAACGCATATCCTAAATAGCCTGACTGGATCATTACAAATTGTATGGATGTATCAAAATATCACATATAGGCAGGGAACGGTGGCTTGTGCTTGTAATCCCAGCACTTTGAGAGGCTGAGACAGGCAGATCACTTGAAGTCATGAGTTCGAGAGCAGCCTGGGCAACATGGCGAAATCGTGTATCTACAAAAAAACAAAAATTAGCTGGGTGTGGTGGTACATGCCTGTGGTCCCAGCTACTCAGGAATCTGAAGTAGAAGGATCACTTGAGCCCAGGAGGCAGAGGTTGTAATAAGCTGAGATCGCACCACTGCACTCTAGCCTAGGTGACAGAGCAAGACCTTGCCTAAAACAAAAAAAAAGAAAAAAAAACAGAAAAGAAAGAAATCATCACATATGTGATATACATACACGATAGAATATATACCCCAGAAATATGTACAATTATTATGTGTCAAAAAGAGTTCTTTAACTAAAAACTTGTGATCTATTTAAATTACATGTTGCAAATTCACTTAATATCTGAAAAAGTTACTATTTTTCTAACCATCCAAGTTGCAGTCTAGAAACTTTAATTATCCAAATACCAGAAATCTAAAGCAACGATGACAGCCATCCTTACATAAACAATCTCAAAATCACCTGTGCCATCAAAGGCTTTGGGGCCTAAAGATGTATAGATGTGGAATTTGTTGAAGCTGTTGATTGGTACAGGCGTCACATCCATCAGTTCTATAAAAACAACCAAAACTGAAACTGTTCCTAGGTTATTACCTATCCAAGCCATTTAACACTTCTGGGAGTTAGTTTCCTCATATGAAAACAGTGATAATAGCTGGCAAAGATGATGACAGAGTAAAATGAGTTAGTTCAGATCATGTGAGCTTAGAAAGAGCACACAGCCCAGTGCTCAGTTGACATAAGTCAACACTGTCATCATGCATCTTGGGAGGAGTATGGGTGTAGGGGGCAGGAGTGAGAGGGTGATGAAGGAGCAGTGACTTGGGGAGAAACCCTAAGTCTGAATTCTTCCTCCAGTACTCAGCCCCAGGGCCACCTTAACCCTCTCTCAGAAAGAGACCACTCAGGTCTGCTCCACACCCTCACATTTGAACACCTGTGCCCAACCTGCATTGCCACTTCCTGCCTGCTCTCCACACAGGGCCACCATAGCACAAGCAACACCATATAGAGCTAATAACATCTCTTCCTCTTGCTAATCAGAATCCAAAAGGGCCCATTAAATTTCCCCAAGTCACCAAGCCCTGAATTTTTTCAAGTTTTATAGCAGAAATAAGTAAACCAGACTGGAGGAAGCTGGAGCAACCTGCCTGACTGCTTGCCCGTTTGCACACTGTGACTGCAAAAGCCACCAAATAGCAGGGAGACTGGGGCTAACACAGACATGCTAGTCCCCTGATGTGAAGGGGCTAAGCTCTGCTCTCCAAGTCCCCTGATGTGAAGGGGCTGAGCTCTGCTCTTCAAGTACCTCCCACTATCCCATCCCAGCTAGCAAGCCCTGCTTTCCAGCTGGAAGCAGCAGCTGCTCTAGGAGTGCTCACCAGGACACTCACCTCATAGCCAAGCCATGCTGCCTGCTGCAGGAGAGTCTCACCAGCATGCCTATCGACAATAATTCTCCTTGCTCTCAGCTGCACTGGGCGAGATTGGTTGGTTTCCTGAGGGGAACATGAGTGTGGCAGCTTCATGGACTGGGAAGCTGGTAGCAACTCTTGCAAGCAGTTGAAGGGCTTCATCTCCTGCTTGGATGAAGTCAGATCATAGTTGGAACTGGGTTCAAGTTGCTTTCTGAATCTTGGGACAGTTGACTAAGACAAAACGAATTAGTATACACAGTTAAGATTAAGACTACATCCTTTCCACATCCACTGCTTCCCCTCCTCCTTCCTGTAAGACAAACCTGCATGGGGAAGGCAGTTTCCTTTCCTTCCTGGGAGGTGGAATATCAAAGGAAAAGTGTTACAGACTGGGGTATGAACTTAAATTTTAATAGTTTCCAATTTTATCACCATCAAGGAAGACTTCCCCTCTAAGACAGGGAAGTTAGGAGTCCAGTAAAAGAAAGGCTTTACATCCTTGAGAAAAGCAGGTAGGTGGGGAATGTTGGGGTGAGGGGAAATAGCCTCTATATAAGCCCAAGGAGAAAACAAGTGCCAAGAGGTATCTTGCCATCAGCATTCTCAACGTAGCACTTCCCTGTTAGCAGGAACCCCTGCCTCAGGTCCTGAGATATCAAGTGCTTGGTTTTGCATTGTCTCTTCCCAGATGGCTTCTCACTGTTATTGGTGTATTTCTGCAGCAGGGAGGCAGCAGGGCACTCCTCTTCCTTGTCTGTGCACAGCATGTCTGTCTTAATGCTCTCATTAACTTTCTGCTGCTTATCAGGCAGCCTCAACAATGGTATGCAGCTTGAGTGAGTCGGCTTTTGGCTGCTTGCATTGTTGGATAAAACCTTATTCTTCGGTGGAGGGCCTGAGAACAGAGACAAGGCTAAATATAGATGGTGCAGCATGGTGGCAGAATAGCTAACAGGAAAGAGACATGGGGAAAAGGGCAAAAAAAAGGAGTCATTACATAGTTGTAGCCCATGCAGAAAGAAAATCCCACTGTTTTTTTTTATTATTATTATACTTTAAGTTTTAGGGTACATGTGCACAACGTGAGGATTGTTACATATGTATACATGTGCCATGTTGGTGTGCTGCACCCATTAACTCGTCATTTACATTATGTATATCTCCTAATGCTATCCCTCCCCACTCCCCCCACGCCACAACAGTCCCCGGTGTGTGATGTTCCCCTTCCTGTGTCCATGTGTTCTCATTGTTCAATTCCCACCTATGAGTGGGAACATGCGGTGTTTGGTTTTTTGTCCTTGTGATAGTTTGCTGAGAATGATGGTTTCCAGCTTCATCCATGCCCCTACAAAGGACATGAACTCATCATTTTTTATGGCTGCATAGTATTCCATGGTGTATATGTGCCACATTTTCTTAATCCAGTCTATCATTGTTGGGCATTTGGGTTGGTTCCAAGTCTTTGCTATTGTGAATAGTGCTGCAATAAGCATATGTGTGCATGTGTCTTTATAGCAGCATGTTTTATACTCCTTTGGGTATATATACAGTAATGGGATGGCTCGGTCAAATGGTATTTGTAGTTCTAGATCCCTGAGAAATCGCCACACTGACTTCCACAATTGTTGAACTAGTTTACAGTCCCAACAACAGTGTAAAAGTGTACCTATTTCTCCACATCCTCTCCAGCACCTGTTGTTTCCTGACTTTTTAATGATTGCCATTCTAACTGGTGTGAGATGGTATCTCATTGTGGTTTTGATTTGCATTTCTCTGATGGCCAGTGATGATTAGCATTTTTTCATGTGTCTTTTGGCTTCATAAACATCTTCTTTTGAGAACTGTCTGTTAACATCCTTCGCCCACTTGTTGATGGGGTTGTTTGCTTTTTTCTTGTAAATTTGTTGGAGTTCTTTGTAGATTGTGGATATTAACCCTTTGTTAGATGAGTAGATTGCAAAAATTTTCTCCCATTCTGTAGGTTGCCTGTTGACTCTGATGATAGTTTTTTTTTGCTGTGGAGAAGCTCTTTAATTTAATTAGATCCCATTTGTCAGTTTTGGCTTTTGTTGCCATTGTTTCTGGTGTTTTAGGCATGAAGTCCTTGCCCATGCCTATGTCCTGAATGGTATTGCCTAGGTTTTCTTCTAGGGTTTTTATGATTTTAGGTCTAACATTTAAGTCTTTATTCCATCTTGAATTAATTTTTGTATAAGGTGTAAGGAAGCGGTCCAGTTTCAGCTTTCTACATATGGCTGGCCAGTTTTCCCAGCACCGTTTATTAAATAGGGAATCCTTTCCCCATTGCTTGTTTTTGTCATGTTTTTCAAAGATCAGATGGTTGTAGATGTGTGGCATTATTTCTGAGGTCTCTGTTCTGTTCCATTGGTCTATATCTCCATTTTGGTACCTGTACCATGCTGTTTTGGTTACTGTAGCCTTGTAGTATAGTTTGAAGTCAGGTAGTGTGATGCCTCCAGCTTTGTTCTTTTGGCTTAGGATTGACTTGGCAATGTGGGTTCTTTTTTGGTTCCATATGAACTTTAAAGTAGTTTTTTCCAATTCTGTGAAGAAAGTCATTGGTAGCTTGATGGGGATGGCATTGAAACTCTAAACTGCCTTAGGCAATATGGCCATTTTAATGATATTGATTCTTCCTATCCAAGAGCATGGAATGTTCTTCCACTTGTTTGTATCCTCTTTTATTTCATTGAGCAGTGGTTTGTAGTTCTCCTTGAAGAGATCCTTCACATCCCTTGTAAGTTGGATTCCTAGGTATTTTATTCTCTTTGAAGCAATTGTGAATGGGAGTTCACTCATGATTTGGCTGTCTGTTTTTCTGTTATTGGTGTATAAGAATGCTTATGATTTCTGCACATTGATTTTGTATTCTGAGACTTTGCTGAAGTTGCTTATCAGCTTAAGGAGATTGTGGGCTGAGACAATGGGGTTTTCTAGATATACAATCATGTCATCTGTAAACAGGGACAATTTGACTTCCTCTTTTCCTAATTGAATACCCTTTATTTCCTTCTCCTGGCTGATTGCCCTGGACAGAACTTCCAACAATATGTTGAATAGGAGTTGTGAGAGAGGGCATCCCTGTCTTGTACCAGTTTTCAAAGCGGATGCTTCCAGTTTTTGCCCATTCAGTATGATATTGGTTGTGGGTTTGTCACAGATAGCTCTTATTATTTAGAGATATGTCCCATCAATACCTAATTTATTGAGAGTTTTTAGCATGAAGGGCTGTTGATTTTGTCAAAGGCCTTTTCTGCATCTATTGAAATAATCATGTGGTCTTTTTCGTTGCTTTTTTTTATATGATGGATTGTGTTTATTGATTTGTGTATGTTGAACCAGGCTTGCATCCCAGGATGAAGCCCACTTTATCATGGTGGATAAGCTTTTTGATGTGTTGCTGGATTCAGTTTGCCAGTATTTTATTGAGGATTTTTGCATCGATGTTCATATGTTCATCAGGGATATAGGTCTAAAATTCTCTTTTTTTTGTTGTGTCTCTGACTGGCTTTGGTATCAGGATGGTGCTGGCCTCCTAAAATGAGTTAGGGAGGATTCCCTCTTTTTCTATTAATTGAAATAGTTTCAGAAGTAATGGTACCAGCTCCTCCTTGTACCTCTGGTAGAATTTGGCTGTGAATCCATCTGGTCCTGGATTTTTTTGGTTGGTAAGCTATTAATTATTGCCTCAATTTCAGAGCCTGTTATTGGTCTATTCAGGGATTCAACTTCTTCCTGGTTTAGTCTTGGGAGGGTGCATGTGTCCAGGAATTTATCCATTTCTTCTAGATTTTCTAGTTTATTTGCATAGAGGTGTTTATAGTATTCTCTGATGGTAGTTTGTATTTCTGTGGGATTGGTGGTGAAATCTCCTTTATCATTTTTTATTCCATCTATTAGATTCTTCTCTCTTTTCTTCTTTATTAGTCTTCCTAGTGGTCTATCAATTTTGTTGATCTTTTCAAAAAACCAGCTCCTGGATTCATTGATTTTTTTGAAGGTTTTTTTGTGTCTCTATCTCCTTCACTTCTGCTCTGATCTTAGTTATTTCTTACCTTCTGCTAGCTTTTGAATGTGTTTGCTCTTGCTTCTCTAGTTCTTTTAACTGTGACATAAGGGTGTCAATTTTAGATCTTTCTTGCTTTGTCTTGTGGGCATTTAGTGCTATAAATTTCCCTCTACCCACTGATTTAAATGTGTCCCAGAGATTTTGGTATGTTGTATCTTTGTTCTCATTGGTTTCAAAGAACATCTTTATTTCTGCCTTCATTTCATTATGTACCCAGTAGTCATTCAGGAGCAGGTTGTTCAGTTTCCGTGTAGTTGAGCAGTTTTTATTGAGTTTCTTAATCCTGAGTTCTAGTTCTAGTTTAATTGCACTGTGGTCTGAGAGATAGTTTGTTATGATTTCTGTTATTTTACATTTGCTGAGGAGTGCTTTACTTTCAACTATGTGGTCAATTTTGGAATAAGTGTGGTGTGGTGCTCAGAAGAATGTATATTCTGTCAATTTGTGGGGAAGAGTTCTGCAGATGTCTATTAGGTCCGCTAGGTGCAGAGCTGCGTTCAGTTCCTGGATATCCTTGGTAACTTTCTGTCTCATTGATCTCATTTTCTAATGTTGACAGTGGGGTGTTAAAGTCTCCCATTATTATTGTGTAGGGGTCTAAGTCTCTTTGTAGGTCTCTAAGGACTTGCTTTATGAATCTGGGTGCTCCTGTATTGGGTGCATATATATTTAGGACAGTTAGCTCTTCTTGTTGAATTGATCCATTTAGCATTATGTAATGGCCTTCTTTGTCTCTTTAGATCTTTGTTGGTTTAAAGTCTGTTTTGTCAGAGACTAAGATTGCAACCCTTGCCTTTTTTTCTTTTCCATTTGCTTGGTACATCTTCCTCCATACCTTTATTTTGAGCCCATGTGTGTCACTGCACATGAGATGGGTTTCCTGAATACAGCACAGTGATGGGTCTTGACTCTTTATCCAATTTGCCAGTCTGTGTCTTTTAATTGGAGCATTTAGCCCATTTAAATTTAAGGTTAATATTGTTATGTGTGAATTTGATCCTGTCGTTGTGATGTTAGCTGGTTATTTTGCTTGTTAGTTGATGCAGTTTCTTCCTAGCCTTGATGGTCTTCACAATTTGTCATGTTTTTATAGTGGCTGATACCAGTTGTTCCTTTCCATGTTTAGTGCTTGCTTCAGGAGCTCTTTTAGGGCAGGTCTGGTGGTGACAAAATCTCTCAGCATTTGCTTATATGTAAAGGATGTTATTTCTCCTTCCTTATGAAGCTTAGTTTGGCTGGATATGAAATTCTGGGTTGAAAATTCTTTTCTTTAAGAATGTTGAAAATTGGCCCCCACTCTCTTCTGGCTTGTAGAGTTTCTGCTGAAAGATCAGCTGTTAGTCTGATGGGTTTCCCTTTGTGGGTAACCCAACCTTTCTCTCTGGCTGCCCTTAACATATTTTCCTTCATTTCAACTTTGGTGAATCTGACAATTATGTGTCTTCGAGTTGCTCTTCTCAAGGAGTATCTTTGTGGCATTCTCTATATTTCCTGAATTTGAATGTTGGCCTGCCTTGCTAGATTGGGGAAGTTCTCCTGGATAATATCATGCAGAGTGTTTTCCAACTTGGTTCCATTCTCCCCATCACTTTCAGGTACACCAATCAAATGTAGATTTGGTCTTTTCACATAGTCCCATATTTCTTGGAGGCTTTGTTCATTTCTTTTTATTCTTTTTTCTCTAAACTTCTCTTCTCACTTCATTTCATTCATTTGATCTTCCATCACTGATACCCTTTCTTCCAGTTGATCGAGTCAGCTACTGAGGCTTGTGCATTCATCACGTAGTTCTCGTGCCATAGTTTTCATCTCCAACAGGTTCTTTAAGGACTTCTCTGCATTGGTTGATCTAGTTAGCCATTTGTCTAATCTTTTTTGAAGGTTTTTAACTTCTTTATCATGGGTTCGAACTTCCTCCTTTAGCTCGGCAAAGTTTGATCATCTGAAGTCTTCTTCTCTCAACTCATCAGAATCATTCTCCGTCCAGCTTTGTTCCATTGCTGGTAAGGAGCTGCCTTCCTTTGGAGGGGAGAGGTGCTCTGATCTTTAGAATTTTCAGTTTTTCTGCTCTGTTTTTTCCCCATCTTTGTGGTTTTATCTACCTTTGGTCTTGGTGACAGTGACATACAGATGGAGTTTTTGTGTGGATGTCCTTTCTGTTTGTTAGTTTTCCTTCTAACAGTCAGGACCCTCAGCTATAGGTCTGTTGGAGTTTGCCAGAGGCCCATTCCAGACCCTGTTTGCCTGGGTATCAGCAGTGGAGGCTGCAGAGCAGTGAATACTGGTGAATAGCAAATGTTGCTGTCTGATCATTCCTCTGGAAGTTTTGTTTCAGAGGGGTACCCACCCATGTGAGGTGTCAGTCTGTCTCTACTAGGGGGTGCCTCCCAGTTAGGCTACTCAGGGGTCAGGGACCCACTTGAGGAGGCAGTCTGTCCATTCACAGATCTCAAGCTGCATGCTAGGAGAAACACTACTGTCTTCCAAACTGTCAGACAGGGACATTTAAGTCTGCAGAGGTTTCTGCTGCCTTTTGTTTGGCTATGCCCTGCCCCTGGAGGTGGAGTCTACAGAGGCAGGCAGGCCTCTTTGAGGTACAGTGGGCTCCACCCAGTTTGAGCTTCCCGCTGCTTTGTTTACCTATCAAGCCTTGGCAATGGCGGGCACCCATCCCCTAGCCTCGCTGCTGCCTTGCAGTTTGATCTCAGACTGCTGTGCTAGCAATGAGCGAGGTTCCGTTGGCATAGGACCCTCTGAGCCAGGTGTGGGATATAACCTCTTGGTGTCCCATTTGCTAAGACCATTGGAAAAGTGCAGTATTCAGGTGGGAATGGCCCGATTTTCCAGGTGCCATCTGTCACCCCTTTCCTTCGCTAGAAAAGGGAATTCCCTGACCCCTTGTGCTTCCTGGGTGAGGCAATGCCTTGCCCTACTTTGGCTCATGCTCGGTGTGCTGCACCCACTGTCCTGCACCCACTGTCCAACAGTCCCCAGTGAGATGAACCCGGTACCTCAGTTGGAAATGCAGAAATCACCCATCTTCTGTGTCGCTCATGCTGGGAGCTGTAGACTGGAGCTGTTCCTATTCAGCCATCTTGGACAATATTTCGAAAATCCCACTGTTAACTCTTACTTTGGAGCAACTTCAATTTTAAAATTAAGTTTTCAGACATAATTATCCCTCATTTAAATGGAAAATAGGTTAACACATCAAACTGCAAGTAACAATTTTCTGCAAAGTGCTCAGACAAGAGAACAGAGCACTCTCGTACCAACTCTCTCTGTACATTCCACAAGGAAGTGGGTAGGGTAGTCAAGAAGTGGCCTCTGCATACCTTCTTCGTTGTCACTGGGTTTAAGAAATTCTTCCAACCAGCTTCTGTTGCCTTTGACCTCTGCCCTTTTCTTGCTGAGTTTCTCTTTCATGATATCACAATCCCAGGCAGTGACCTCAGGCTGGACTGTCTGGGTCACTTCCTTCCTGCCTTGCAGACTAGGTTTGTTCTCTGCTGCCAACACCTGCTGCTCCTACTGTTCTCTAAGGTGCATCAAATGGTGTTTCTTAGGATGTAGCCCTGTAAATGTAATATACACCTTCAGGTTGGTCAGCTCACTATAATGTGGGTCTTCTAAGTAGACAGAGGAATTTGTTACTTCCCTCTAGGGCCAGGTATCTAATGAATAAATAACTAAAAATTAATCCAAATGCTGCCTTGAAAGAACAAATGACTTTATGCATCACCAGTAGTGTGAGGGGAGGAGAAGGGAAAGGAGTGTGGTTACTCTCTCTGATTTTGGGAGAGAACCTAATTATTTTTTACCCTCTCTGGGCTTGAGTGCCTGCATCTGGCTGTAAAGCAAGTAAGTTATGAGTGGAGTCTGTGGGGCTCCATGGTGGAAATCTCATGGAAGAGGAGTGGGAATAAAAACTCTTCACTGCTATGTGTCATGGCTTCCTTCCACTGATTCTGTTTATGGGGCTACATGCCACACATCAACAGGCCATGTCTGTCCACTGTGACTGTATGCACAGGCCCACTGAGAAGGCAGCTAAAGGTGACAAAACTCACCTATATAAACCTGTTTTTGCTTGTTTTTTAGGAAAGAGTCCTCTGGCAACTTCTCTGCAGTAGTCTCTGTCTGGTTGCTGTCACTTGAGACTTTGTGTTTCCTTTCCAGTTGGAGGATGGGGCTGTGCATCACATCCATAGCTACCTGGTCGGCAGCTGGCTCACCTACAGGCTGCCTTTCCATTAAATACTTCTCTACAGGAAGATCTTCATCCTTTAGGGCTTTAAAGGAATTGTGCTGTTTGTTTCCAGGACTATGCTTGCCTAGCAGGAGAGAAAACCAGAATACATAAGTGAATTCAAAAATCACCAAGAGAAGGCAGGATTCAGGGAACAGCTGAGACCATGCCAAGGTAATCTGCTATTGACAGATGCTTCTTTAGAAACTGGAGTTCTCACATTGTTAATATCAAGTTCTCATAAATAGACTTGTCCAAAGGAAGGATACACTGAAGATGAGCAGCAAGCAAAGCAGAAAGTTAGACATACACCACACTCATAATTCTCTCCTTCTATCTCTGTATATTAGGGGAATGAGACAAATAAGAAAGAAGATGAGACATCAATGCTATCTTTTTAAAAAAAAATATTACAGTCCTTTCTTTCAGCAGCATGATCCAATCAAGCCAGGACCGGCATAAATATCTCTACAGTAATACGTGCTGAGGTCATTATTTTGAAATAAAAGGCTGATGAGATGAAGACACAAAATATACCCAAAATGTCATCTACTGAAGTGGTAACACCAATATTCACTTGGACCAACAGCAGAGATCATGAAGAAGGAGGGAAGGGAGACAGCATGTCAAAAGAAACCTAAACCCTTAATGGGCAGAAGTAATCATCTCTTCCATAGGGCCCATGGTCCAGGACATGGCAGTTGCCTGCAAAATCAGCAGAGGGAAACAACTGCCAGAGGAAGGCTGAGAACCTGGGCAGACTTAAGGTGCTGCGAAGAGGGGTCTGGGAAAAGCCAAAGACAAGGTTTGACAGCACATGCACAAGTTCAGAGACAATTTAAAAAAACTCAGTCTGCTGGTTGCACAAATGTGCAAGGAAATGTGGAAGGAAAAGCTTTTCACTGAATCCAAGGAGCTTCCATTTCCTGTTCAACATAGGACCACCACAATGAGGACACTGGTCACACCAGCTGGGACTAATCAAATGTTTGTAGAACTACAGACAGCAATTTTGTATGGAAAATGTATGTAGAACTACAGACAGCAGTTTTGTGTGGAAATGAGGAATATGTCACCAGAAACTGGATGAAAGGCTACCCTTGCTAAAACAAGTTCAAGGAAGTTGGCAGAATTGCCTTCATGTCCAAGGATGTTGTGAAAGGCAGGACTTAAGAGCGATGAACTAGGATATCTAGAAGAACACTAAGTCTTAAAACATTCATGGTACTATATGGCTTCTTCTGGCAAACTACCAGCAAAATGAGAGAAAAGAGAAATGATTTAAAGACAAAATCTGTAATTAAAAAGAAAGCAAAATGAATATATTTGGCAAACTCTGTCTAGTCATGTAAAGAAAAACAAAGTGGTTTCAAAAGAATAAAAACAACATATAGCAAAGCTATCATTTGCTAAAGAGATAGTTCAGATATAAGGAAAACAGGTGCTATTCATCAAGGCAATGGGATAATGAGCCTGAAGGCATTTGAGAGATTTTGGAGGCAAGCTATGGCCTTGCAGGCAAGTACACCCCCTCAAGTATCTATTCCCTGCATTTTGTTGCAGTGATCTTTGGCTGCCCCAGCAATGGCTCAAGCTGGCCCAGATGTGCCTCATGTCACACTGCCAGAGGGGATAAGCCTTAAACTATAATAATATCCATATAGTTCTGACTCTACAGGTACACATAATCCCTGAGCCAGGGCCACGTTCACCTGCATTATAAAAGATGTTTTGGACAGCCTGGGGTTTCAGGCAGAGACATGGCATAGGGAGATAGCCAGGACAGAGTTCCCACTATAGTAATGCTTTGTGGAGCTGTGAGTCTGGAGTCAACTCCAAGAGCCCAGAACTGTAGAACAACCAGAGTGCAACTTCAGCCTGGAAGAGCTATAGGAATGTAACTCCAAACCATGAGAGTTTCTGGGTGGACTAAAGCCCAGCAAAATCATTCAGGCAGGAATGCCTAGGCCTTGAGGGCTGAACTCTTACCTCAGTGTACATGATGTAAGACATGAAATCAAAAGATATTATTGTCCAGCTTTATAACTCAGTGTTGGCTGGGCAGGGTGGCTCACGCCTGTAATCCCAACACTCTGGGAGGCTGAGACAGATGGATCACAAAGTCAAGAGATCGAGACCATTGTGGCCAACATGGTGAAACCCCATGTCTACTAAAAATGCAAAAAATTAGCTGGGAGTGGTGGCATATGCCTGTAGTCCTAGCTACACAGGAGGCTAAGGCAGGAGAATCACTTGAACCTGGGAGGCAGATGTTGCAGTGAGCTGAGATCATGCCACTGCACTCCAGCCTGGCAACAGAGTGAGACTCTGTCTAAAAAAAAAAAAAAAAAAAAAAAAACTCAGTGTTGTTGTTTTTCTCCCTCTTTTGTGTTTTGGGCTTACTTGGAACCAGTTACTCCTTTCTTCTTGCCTATTCTCCATTTTTAAATGGGAATGTCTTTCCCATGCCTGCTCCACCATGGCATTTTAGAAGCACATAACTTCACAGGCTCACAGTAGAAGAGAAATTTGTCTTATAGTAAATTAGGTCTTGTGTCCCATTCATATCTGATTAAGAAGAGATTCTAGATTTTGGACTTTTGAGTTGATGCTGGAATGAGTTAAGATTGTGGAGCTATTGGGACAGAATGAATACATTCTGCATATGAGAAGGACAGGAATTTTCAAGACTACAGATGGAATATTATGGTTTGAATGTTTCCCAATATTCAAGTGTTCGAAACCTAGTCCCCAATCCAACAGTGTTGAGAACTGGGACCTGCAAGAGGTAATTAAGTCATGACCATGGGACATTAATTAATGTCATTACTGTGAGAGTGAGTTAGTTATTGTGGAACTGAGTTCATAATTAAATTAAATGAGTTTAGTCCCCTTCTTCTCTTTCCCTTGGGCTCTCTTTCCCATCTGCCTTCCATCATGGGATGCAACTGGAAGATGGAGCTTGCCAGAGCAGTCCCTCATAATTCTTGGCCTCCAGAACTATGAGCAAATACATTTCTGTTAACTATAAATTACCCTGTTTGTACCAGTAGAAAACATACTAAGACATGAATTCTTCTAGTTAGATCATTCAACTTCTTTGATCCAATTAGCCTCCCCTGAATGTACCATGGGAGGGAGTGGGGATGTAGAGTGAAAACCTAAGTATTATCTTAGGAAATGCCATGTGCAAGTGGAAAAGTATACTTTTAAACTTTTAAAGTGTACTGTCTTCTCTCCTTAACTCCTTTAAGGTAGAAAACATGGTTTGAAAAAAGTGATTGCATGGTGTCACAATGCCTTTGAGAGTCACAATCAGGAAGCAGCTTAGCTAGTGTGGGACCCAACCCAGAATGAACTTCCCTTCCCACATCAAATATCAGATTAAGAAGCTCTTAACCTGAGTGTTTTAGATTCTACTTTTGTCCTTTATATCTGAACTACAGATCTCATATGGTCACCTATATCTCTAACACTCTCAACTTCGTATAAGGCATTTTTCTTGAGGAGATAGTTTTCCAATTAAGTTTTACCCCTACTGCAAAATTATCTCTCATCCACCTGACCTTTTGCCCAAACTGAGAGCATCTTTTACTGGAAGAGTTGTGATGAGTTATTTCACAGGATGAAGTCAGTGGGCAATGATTGGCTAGTAACCTCATCTCTCTGCTCAGTGAATGACACTACCTCTATAAGAGCCCTGGCTGACTCTTGTCTACTCCAAAATTTCCCATCTGGCAAAAGCTGCCCAGTGAGGGTAGGGAGGTTTCCCCTTCACATACCACCTTTTGCTCCCCTCTTCATGAGGAGACCAGCCAGAAAAGGATGGCCAGCCTGCTACACAACTGTGCCTTGGAAGGTTGTAACTCATCTCATGGGCATTCTCCCGACACCCCATGTAGTACCAGGAAACCCAGGGGACCATGACCTCATCCTGAACTATTATCAAGAACCCTCCATTGCTAAACGTGGGGTTCACTGCAATCACATTTACTCACATAGAGTTCCCCTACCTCTCAAAAGGATTTTTCCCCAAAACTGGTTCCATTCACCATTTCCCAAATCCTCCAAGTCATTAAAAAAAGGGACAATAATTTCAAAGAATTGAGGTATCTTCACTATTACCTCTTCGGTCAAAGATTCTCATTCCTCTGAATGAACCCCTGCCACTCCCCTCACAAGATATTACATGGCCTTACAAAAGCCAGTAATAATTCTGCCCACAGTGATGGCCCAAGATACACAGACTACCAGCTATACAGGTGAGAAGTTCTATGTTCCATTGCTGCACATCTTAACCTGGATGTTCTCAAATTAGACTATTTCAGTCATCACACACAGCATTAATCACATGGCAAAGGATATAAATTAAGAGATGTAGGGGTCCTAACCATTAGACTCTACCATAGCTGTTATTTTAAGCCCTTCTAAAAAGCAGAAAACCATGTGCCCTTGATAGATAAGAATGTAAGTCTGTTATCTGAGGTCTACCACCTGCTCCCTGCAACATGGTCTTATGAGACACAGCACATACATTCCATAATTTATCACAGCTGTGCCATAGTAGTACCTCATAGAAGTATCTCCATGGCAACATTTACAAGTCTCCACAGCAAAAATAAATTCTGCCACTGTTGGTGCCACAGATGCTGGGCCCTAACAAGATGGGAGGAGACTGAGACTTTTGAGGGTTTCCCATGATCCATTTCCTCTGCAGGCAACTGTATCAGCTCCAGCTGAGACTAACCTTGTTATAACTTATGCCCTCTCCATCACGGGCATCAACTTTCTCTGTATCTAATTCAAGATAATCTACAAAGCATTCAGGCATATTCTCCTGGAAGAGAAGTTCCTGAGCCAATAATTTCTGCCCAGGCATTGCGACCAAACACACCCCAGGTCTGCTTCAGTGAAGTGGCTGGCAGAAGAGAAGGAAACCCACATTATCGAAGGAAGGGCTAATATGTACATCTACTATGTATCAACAAAAATAAATCAATAATTAAAAACCTAAAAATTGTATTATACTGTTTCTAACTATAGGGCCAAGCCTCCTTTATAAAACGAGATGTGTCCTTGTCTAAAGGAAAATAATACTTCATAGATTATTAAAAGGAAATTATCTTTCACAGATAATTCATTCCTGATTGCCACAATGATTAAAAAGACAATCAGTCCTTCACTCCACAGATGGCAAAAACAGCCCATTTTTCTGAGAAGACACCAAACAGAAGTCAGAATCTTGTATGTGATTGCTTTATCTCACCTCCCTGGGCCCTGGGAACAGGATCACCCTGTTGCCACCAATGTGGTAATTGAGCCACAAAGCAAGTGGCTCAGCTGTACCTACATCTCTCACAGTTATTCTGGCTGGCAATATCCTCCTCCAGAAGACATTTTGGCTTTTTGTCCTGATTTCCTTTCCACCTCTCTGAGTCAGCTGTGCTGAATTTGTATGGCTTGGCGTCCTTGGTTTCTGAATGGAAAAAAAAAGAGGGATGAACATCAACACCTTATTATAAATGCTATTTCATTTGTCTTACACTAAAGAAAAATATGTCCAAACAAATGTTTGCCCAAAATTAACCATGGACATAAACTCTTTAACCATACTGTTTTCAAGGAGTTTATGTATCTAGACACACAAGCTATAAGCATGTATATCAGTGAACACATTTTTGTGCACATTCTCTTTTGGAAATAAAAACACAGCATACACACAAAACAGAAATAGCAGGAAAAAAATCTCACAAGGAATATAGGCTATAAACTACCTTTTGAATATTTGGAAATAAAATTTAACTTTAAAGGCTTATATAATATTATAATGACAATAATATGAAAAACATAAATTTGAAGAACTGAACCCATAATAAACACTAGGCAGACATAAAATACTGTCCTTTTTTAATTCTTCTAGTCATGTAATTAAAATGGGCACTCAGGGGGTCATTTAAATAACTTCATTTATTTTTATAAAGATAAAACAAATTCTTTTTAACATTCCAAAAAAAGTGGCCTATTCATCTTTGAAATAAAAGTAAAAATCTTAGAAAATTCCTATACAACATGTATCATAATTAACTATCAAGTTAAATATATGCTATATCCCATTCTGCCAAGAGGTACAGGAGTAAGCGAGAGAGAGCGAATGTGTGTGTGTGTGTGTGTGTGTGTGTGTGTGTAAGTTGCACGATCCTGCAGAACCACAGCTGCTACACATCTTCTCAAGCAAGTATCAAGTAAGGTATTCTGAGCAGCTAGATATATTGGTTATTTTATCAACAGAAAAATAAAATCAATTGATAGGTAAATGCCATGCATTTTTTAGAAATTATTCACAATAATTAAAACTTCTGTTACAGGCTGAGCATCTCTTATTGTAAATGCTTGGGACAATTATTTTAATTTTTTATCAGATTTTGGAATATGTACATATACATAATAAGGTATCTTGAATATGAGAACCAAGTCTATACAAAAAAATCATTTATGTTTCACATACACTTTACACACATAGCCTAAAAGTAATTTTATTCAGTATTTTTAACAATTTTGCATATGTAACAAAGTTTACGTTAAGTATTTGTTTGTGGGCTTTTCCACTTGGGGCATGATGGTGGCATTCAAAAGTTTCAGATTCTGTAGCAAAGTATCCAGAAACATGTATATCCTAAGTACTACTATTCACATTCCCTTACTGGACATAATATATACATTCAAATTACAATAAGCTTCATTAGTCAAATCTGCATAGTGCCATGTCCTACCATACTCCCCCAGTACTCTTTACATATTTAAACTGTAACTACAGGTAAAGTTGCTAAAAGGTGGGTAGAGGGGGTGACCTGCAATGCCCGTTGCTCCCAACTGAGCTGACTAGAATCTGCATACAGTTCAGTAGTAACACACTTGAGTCGGTCAGCCATGCAACCTGCTGAGGTGGTGACTCTCTTTACCAGGTTAGATGGCTTTGGTTTCAGAAGTTTGCCATCACTTGATTTGGCCTCATTGGCTCCATCTTTGGTGTAAGTAGAGATTATGTCCATACTTAGTGGGGCACTGCCAAGGCAATATGGTTTGGGATACTCTTGGATTTTACCAAAAGTTACAGCATGACCATCACTCACTAGAGTTGGCTCCAGGAATGATGTTGAAACTGGCATCCCTATGTTCTCTTTGTTGGCTGGAGTCCGTTTGAGAGCATAAGCTTCATGCAAGTCACCAATGTGCCCCAACTCCTCTCTTAGCATGATAAAATCACCATGCTGCTGCAGGGATGCCTTGACAATTGGGGGCTTGGCAGGCTTGGCATTCTGACCAATATTTTTCACTGTAAAGCATGGTTTGGACATGTTTGCCTCAGTTTTGGCATCTGGTTCTTCTTGGAGAAGGTCTATGTAAACAATCTTTTTATTTCTGCTAACAGTCTTCCCTTGGTTCCAGCTGAGGTTTAGTTTTAGATTGTCAGTGTGGACTTCTGGATGAAACTCTGTACTGCCAGCTTCCAACATCTCAGAAAATTGATTCTGGACAGTTGGGTCTTTGTGGCAGGCTCTTTCATGGGAATGGGATCTTTCTCTGGTTTCTCCTCTTTTTTCTCTTTGTTGGTTGGAGTCTGTTTGATAGTATAAGGTTCATGAAAGTCATCAATGTGCCCCAACTTCTCTCTTAGGGTGATGAAATCACCATGCTGCTGCAGGTATGGCTTGACAATTGGGGGACTGGCAGGGTCAGCATTCTGGCCAACACTTTTCATTATGAAGCTGGGTTTGGACACATTTGCATCAGTTTTAGCATCTGTTTTTTCTTGGAGATGGTCTACATAAACAACCTTATCACTTCTGATAATAATCTTACCTTGATTCCAGCTGGGGTTCAGTTTTAGACTGTCATTGGGGACTTCTGGATGAAACGCTGTACTGCTAGCTTCCAGCATCTCAGAAAACTGATTCTGGAGAGTTGGGTCTTTGCGGCAGGCTCTTTCTTGGGAATGTGACCTCCTCTCTGGTTTCTCCTTTTTGGTGATCTCTATGGGCCTGTGTGTTATCAACATGGGTTGCACCATGCCAAATCCCAGGGCATCTTGGTAGATCAGAAACTCTGGATGGCCCATGGGCACCACATAAGGCAGTCTAGGCTTTGAGGCAAGACACCCCAGAAAGAGACTGTTGTTGGGCAACAAAACTGGATGAGGGTAGACAGGCCCTTTGTCATGTAAGGAGAAGGGTCTTATAGCAGTGGCCTTAGGTACTGGGTAAGGAAAGTAACTTCTGGGGTGGGAAATTGATGGGGGCCTGAAAGCCTCATTTGGAGGTAGAAATAGGGGGCTTGGTTGAAGGCCATTCTTATTTGCTTTGAAACTCAGTTCTGGGCTGCTGGCTTTGGCAACCTTGCTGCTAGTGCTGCTGCTTTGCTTGACAGGCACGGTTGGAGGTTGGCCCACTTGCTGAATGATGGATGATGTGGTATCCACAGAGCTCCTGTTGGTCCTAGTGCCATCTGCCCTATGTGGGGTTGGGGACTGGTAATATAGAGTTAATATAGAGGTGGGGTGGCCTGCACAGGACACTGACCCCAAAACATTAGGGATCATAGTTCCTTTGCCATTCATGCAAAGGTAAAAAGAACTTTGCTGTTGTATTATCATCCAGTCCATCACCTTGTTTTTCAACATGCTTTCACCATTGTTCTCTTCATTAGTTCTTGGCCTGGGTACTACCCAGGATGATGGATCAGTGCTAATAAATTCAGATCTATAGATAGCACAGCCATTTCTTAGAGAAGATATCTCTTTCAGAATCTCACTTCTGGAGAGCACTAAGCCACTTCCAGCCATGCTGTGAACCAGGCCCATGGAAGCCATCTTTTTCATGTGATCAGCTTTGGAAGCATCTACCTCCACCACTTTAGAAGACAACTCTACTGGCTTATTTGAGATGCTTTTGGTAATACTCTGCTTCTCTAACAGAGGAGGTGAGACACCATC
Organism: Homo sapiens; assembly: GCF_000001405.40. NCBI lineage: Eukaryota > Metazoa > Chordata > Mammalia > Primates > Hominidae > Homo > Homo sapiens. The sequence continues at coordinate 19,483,808 of NC_000024.10, forward strand.
TTTCCTGTCTTGAGCCACTGTCTTCCAGGTGTACATGGGGACTGGCTGAGCACTCTCACCCACTTCCAGGGTCTCAGGATATTTGCTATTGGAGAGCCTCGCTGTGGGGAACTCACTGCCCATCATGTTTGCCTTTGACAGTGTCACTGAAGGAGCGGTAGAGATCCTGGCATAATGCTCATGGAACTCAGAGAATATGTCTGCAACAGCCTGGGTGGGAAGGTGGACCTGGGGTGAGGGCTGAGGGGAGGCACAGAACACGAGAGTTGTATCGCCTGGAAAGCCACTAGCAACTGCCTTGGCAAATGGCACCCTGGTTGTTTCCTGTTCTGAATATGAGGATAGGTGTGGGAATTGATGGCGTTCCGGGGACTGATGGCCATCCTCCGTGGTACGCTTTTGTCTGCACAGCGGAAGAGAGGTGGAATGGCTGAGATGGCCAAAGCTGTTGAAAGCCTCATGGGTGATGCCAAGGACAATGGGATGTGGGGACTGAAATAGCAAGGTGATGGCAGGTAGGAAAATTGCTTCCTATTTCTGTTTCCTGGAAAACATAGCAGCTGGGCCAAGTTGGAGGACTGCTGAGGTAGCCAGAACATGTTCTGTGAATACATATTTGGAAAATCAAGGGAAGGATGGATGGCTGGTGTGGCACTCTCCATGTAAGGATTGACCCAGGGTAGCTGCAGGTAATGAGCATCATAGATGTTGCAAGGCCTATGATTGTGGCTGGTAGGCCTGTCCAAGCCAAGTGTTTCTGCTGTGCTGAAAGCATTTTGTATTCCAGGCGGTGTTTTACATACAGCAGTGAAGCAATCTGGGGGTTTTTCAGAGACAGCAAAATCTTCCACTATCTCAGGTATATTTAGTTTGAACTGCATCTATGGATTTATTTCTGAAGAAAACCCAAGGCCACCTACAGTGTTCATGGTAACCTCATGATCTTGCTTGGAGTTCATTCTGCTCAAACTAGAAAGACAGTGTTTCTGGGGAACAGGAGCCCTTCCTGTTTCAGGCCTGTGTGGTCCATGATCAGTGCTTCCAGGCCGTCAATCTGATAAGCCAATTTGCATCCACCTTGGCAGAGCAACAACATAGATGTTACTTGGGACACTCCTTCAAAACAGCAGTAGCAGTACATAAGAGAAACTGCCAAGTAGTTCAATATGACATCAGCCTAACATCTGAGCAGAAGGGGTTAAAGATAAAGTAAGAAATATAGTATCTGCGTGAACTGCTTTTTTCCCTTATGCAGACTCCTTCTTAGGGCATTGTGCTGCCTGTTTTCTTCACACCTCTGTTAAACTATAATTCTAAAAGCATAAAACAATGATCCTTTCAGATTTAAAGGATATTAAGTTGTCTATTCACTCTGGAAATTTTGCCTCCTCAGCAAAAATTGTTTGCTGCAACTTAGAAGCTACCAACTCCAAAACTGTCAGCACCACCCTTACTGGGTAAAGAACTCACACTAACCCTCCCAAGGCCTGTTAAGGTTTAGATAAGATGAGTATTCACTTAGTTTTTCTTGAGTGTAGGAAGACATTTTTAACAGAATAAGCAACCTTCAGTGGACGACAAAAACTCTAGCCTGGGCAACACAGTGAGACCCTGTCTCAAAAAAATAAAAATAAAAATATTTAAAAATTATAGGTGACACACAGTTTTATAACATAACCATCAGCTGCTATAGTCTGAACAGGAAGCTGCATATATGTGCCAGGCTGCTATGTTTGTCTTGGGGCTTGTTTTCAAAAGTATGTAAAATATTTGGTGCCATCTTTCAAATCCCAATATGCAGCAGAAAAAATTGCAGCATTTCCCTGAAGAGCACCTTTAATTATTTACTGCTTAGACAGAGAAGATGCTACAAGAAAAGAAAGTCACAGGCTAGTATTCCTGATGGACACATACATAAATTCTCAAAAACTACTAGCAAACTTAATATAATAACACATTAAAAGATAGTTAACCATGATCAAATGGTATTCATCTCTGAGAAACAGTTTAACATACACAAAACCAATTAATGTAACACATCACATTGAAAAAAAAAGAAGAAATGAAAAGTACATGATCATTGTAATATCAACTGCAAAAGCATTTGACAAAATTTGACACCCTTTCATGGTAACTCTCAACAAGTTAAGAAGAGAGGAAATTTATAGGCTACATATGACAGATGCATAGCTACCATCAGATTCCATGGTGAAAGGTCAAAATTTTATCCTAAGAACAGAGACAAGACAAGGATGGCTACTCTTCACCACTTATTTTCATCATAGTACTGGAAGTCTTTGCCAGAATAATTAGACAGCAGATAGTAATAAACGGTATCCTAACAAGAAAGAAAGAAGTGAATTTATCTCTACTTGGAGATAACATGATCTTATATTTAGAAAACCCCAAAGACTGCACCAAAAGAAAACCGCTGGAACAGATAAATAAATTCTATAAAGTTACAGGACCAAGAAAATATGTAAAAATCAATATCATTTCTGCATACCAACAAACTACTAAGAAGGAAAAATAACACAATCTCATTTATAAAAGCAACAACAAAGAAATTTAAAACTTGGGTATAAATTTAATCAAGGATATAAAAGACATTTATAATGAAAACTACAAAAAAAGATCAAATAAACTTAAACACAAATAGATTTGTCCATAAAATAGAAGAATTAATACTGTGAAAATATCCATTCTACCCAAAGTATTTTAGAAACTCGATGTTATCACCGTCAAAATTCCAAGGTCTCTTGTCACAGAAATAGAAAACACAAACATTAAATTTGAATGGAACTACAAAAGACGCTGAAAGACTAAAACAACCTAAAACAAAAAGAACAAAGCTAGAGGCAGCATATTCCCTGATTACCAGACATATTACAAAGAAAATCTAACAGGAGCACATAGTACTAGCATAAAAACTGACACATTCAACCAGTTAAGAATGATAGAAAACCCAAAAATTACTCAAACATTTATGTTCAATTTTTTTTTTCCAAAGGTGCAAGGAGTGCAGAATGGAAAAAGGACAGGTTCTTCAAACAATGGTGCTGGGAAAACTCAATATCCACATGCAGATGAATGAAATTAGACTGTTATCTTACACAATATACAAAAATCAACTCGAAATGAATGAAAGAAGCAAATATATAATCAAAAGCTGAAAAACTACCAGAAATCTCAACAATATCAAACTAGGTAACAACTTTTTTGATATCACCCCAAAAGCACAGGCAACAAAAGTAAAAATAATCAAATTAAATGGCATTAGACTGCAAAGCTTCTGTGTAGCAAAGGAAAAAAGAAAGGGAAGAAACACCCCATTGAGTAAGAGAACATATTTGCAAACTGTATATCTTACAAGCCATTAATTTCAAATTTACAAGTAACTCAACTGGATAACAATAAAACAATGTGAAAGTGGGCAAAGAATATGAACAGTCAGTTATTAAAAGAAGACATTCAATTAGTTGATAGGTCTATAGTCTTTCATACTGCCATGGAGACACCAAGATAACAATGATATATGCACCAAACTTTACTCTGCAGACTCATTAAGAAGCTGCAGCACCCAGTCAAATGTATTGTCGAGAAATACTGCAACCAAAAACAGTAGCCAAGTCCATGATATTTTGCTCATCTTTATCCCTTCCTCTATCTGGTATAGTGAGGAATAATCAGAGTAAACCTTCTAATTCTCAGCTCGTCCCTCAGCATACAGCAACCCCTCCTTGCTGCCAACATTGTTCTGTCTTATTTTCAGGATGCCTGAGAAACTGGTTTCTATCTCACTTGAATCCGAAGTGCTGAAAGAAACTGTAGCATCATTTGTATACCAGGATGCACTATGCTGAAAACATGAGCACATCAGAGCAACAATGAGTCTGCAATGTCAGAGGCAGGAACCAGAGGAAGTAAGAAATGGTGGGCAGATGAATACCAAGACCAGATTGAAACCAAAACCAAATCACCTGAGAAATAGCATGGATGATCCTCTAATGGAAATTAAGACAGTTAAATCAACTATACGTGTTAAAATAAAAGCACATACAGACAAGAGGCATCCCAAGAAAGGTACTGAGAAGTCCCAGAACCTCTATCTGGGGTGACTAGAAAAGATCTTCCCCTCAATGAAGCCAGTACATAAAATGGAGGGGTGGCTGTTTCTCAAATGCCAAAATCCCAAGAAAGATTGAGAGACATGCAAGTAACATGGAAACATGGCCTAATGGCCAAATCCAAAAACAAAGTACATCACTGGAAACTGAACCTAAAGAAACTGAGATCACACAATTTCCACACAAAGGTTTAAAATAACTGTCTTAATTGTTCATTGAGAAAACAAAACAAAGACAGGCAACTAAATGAAATAAGAAAAATAGTACATGAACAAAAATGAGACTATCAAGAGAAATAGAAACGATTTTCAAAAAAAAATTTTTTTTACAGCTGAAAAACAAAGTACTGAAATTAAAAACTCACCAGAAGACTTTGATGAGGTATGGGAAAGAATCAGTAAACTTTAAGATAGTTTATTTGAAATTATTGAGTTACAAGAGAAAACAAAAGAATAAATATACATATCAATATACATATTATGAGAGTCACATAAAAGGAAGAGTAAGAGAGAGGCAGAAAACATTATTGGAAGAATACGACTAAAATCTTTCCAAATTCCGAGAAAAAAAGACATACAAATTTGAAAACAACAAATTCCACTAAGAATTTAAAAACACCCATACCAAGATATACTATGATAAATTGTTTTTCTATGGGGGTTTTTTGTTCTCCAGTTTGGAGGGCAGTGGTGCAATCTAAGCTCACCGCAACCTCTACCTTCAAAGTTCATGCAATTATCCCATCTTAGCTTCCTGAATAGCTGGGATTACAGGCAACTGCCAACACACCCAGCTAATTTTTTGTGTTTTCAGTAGATATGGGAATTTGCCATGTGGTCCAGGCTGGTCTTGAACTCCTGGGCTAAAGTGATCCATCTGCCTCGGCCTCCCAAAGTGCTGGGATTACAGGTGTGAGCCACAGTGCAGACCCAATCAAGCTGTTGATTTCTAAAGAAAAAGAGAAAATCTTGCCACATACCAGGAAGCTTCTATAAAATTACCAGTGAATTTCTAAGCAGAAACCTTGAAGGCCAGAAGGCAGTGAGAAATTTAGTGAAAAGAAAACCTGTCAATTAAGATTACATATATACACATACATATATATGGCAAACATTCCTTAAAAATGAAGTAGAAATGAAGACTTTCCCAGATAAACAAAACTTGAAGGCATTTATTCCCACCAGACCTCCGTCACAAGAAATGCTAAAGAAAGTATTTCAAAGAAAGAATGCTAAACAGCAATAGGAAGCCTTATAAGACATAAAATTATCTGATAAGGTAAATATATGGTCAAATATAGAGTCCTGTATTTTGAAAGATTGATGACAAATAATACTTTTAAAAGCATTAAAAGACAAAAGCCTTAAAAAATTATACATCCATACATCTGTGTACATGCCATATAAAGATTTAAGTGGGGTGCAGTGGCATGTGCCTGTAGTCCTAGCTACTTGAGAGGCTGAAACAGAAAGACTGCTGAGGTTAGGAGTTCAAATATAGCCAAGGCAATATACAAGATCCCACAATTTTTTTAATAAAAGATGTTATTTGCAATATCAGTAACAGAAAGTTGGAGGGAAACAAAGCTGTAAACATGCAGTTTTCATTTGTAGTTGAATTCAATATCAATTTAAAATAGATTATTGCAAGTGTAAGATGTTCTATGTAATCCCCATGTTAACTGTAAAGAAATCTCTACAAAATACAGGCAAAAGGCCAGGCGCAGCGTCTCACACCTGTAGTCCCAGCACTTTAGGAGGCTGAGGCGGGCAAATAACCTGAGGTCGGGAGTTCAAGACTAGCCTGGCAAATATGGTGAAACCTTGTCTCTACTAAAAATACCACACACAAAAAAAAAATTGCTGGGCATTGTGGTGGATGCCTGTAATCCCAGCTGCTCAGAAGGCTGAGACAGGAGAATCTCTTGAACCTGGGAGGCAGAGGTTGCAATGAGCCAAGATTGTGCCATTGCACTCCAGACTGGTCAACAGGAGCGAAGCTGTGTTTCAAAATATATATATATATATATATATGCAAAAGGAATGAGAAGAGAATGTCACTAGCAAAAAAATCAAAACACAAAGGAAGACACTAAGAGTGAAGACAAGGGAACAAAAAGCTCAACACACATAAAAACAATAAACAAAATGGCAGCAATATGTAGGTCCTTCTCTACCAGTAACTACTTTAGATAAATGAATTAAGTTTCTTAATTTAAAAAAAGACAAATGGACTAAATGCATAAAACACGGGATCCACAAAGAGACTGATTTAGAGTCTTTAGGACATGATGCTAAAAGTGAATGAGTGGAAAAAGATACTACATGCAAATGGTAACCAAAAGAGAGCAGGGGTGGTTACATTAATATAATGAGTATATTGCAAACTTATGGAATGCAGCAAAAGTTGTGCTAACAGGAAAGTTAATAGCTGTAAACACTTACAATAAAAAAGAAGGCATCTCAAATCAACAACTTAATTTTACAGCGCAAGTGCAAGAGGAATACCAAAGTCAACCTAACACTAGTAGAGAGAAGAATAAATGAAAATTAGAGCAGAAATAAAGGAAACAGAAAATAGAAAAACAATACAAAAAAAAATAAACCAAACTAACAGGTGGCGATTGTTTTGAACACATCAAGAAAACTGACAAAACTTTAGGTAGATATTTTTAAAAAGGGAATAGATTCAAGTAACTAATGTCAGATTCAAATAACTAATAGATTCAAATAACTAATATCAGATGAAAAGGGGACATTACAACTGATGCCATAGATCAGCAACCCCTACCGTTTTTGCATCAGACAATAGGTTTAGTGGAAAACAATTTTTCCACAGACAGAGGAGGGTGATGGTATGATTTCTGGATGAAACTGTTACATCTTAGATCATCATGCACTACATTATCAGAAGGAGCACACAGTCTAGATCCCTTGCATGCACTGTTCACAAGCAAGTTTGCACTCTTATGAGAATCTAATGCCACTGCTGATCTGACAAGAGGTGGAGCTTAGACAGTAATGCTGGCTCACCAACCTCTCACCTCCTCCTGTGTGGCCTAGTTCCTAACAGCCTACGGATTGGAATGGCTCCATTGCCAAGGGATTGAGGACCCCTGCCATAGAGGTAAAAAGGAGTGTAAGAGAAAACTGTGAAAATTGTACACCAAAAAACTAGATAATCTAGAAAATATAAGTAAATTACTATAAACATACAACCTAATAAAAATAAAATATAAAGAATGATAAAATCTGAAGAATCTTACAGTAAAAAGACTGAATCAGAAATCAAAAACCTTCAAAAAAGAAAAGCTCAGGATCAGAAACCTTCACTGTAGAATTCTACTTAACAAAGAATTAACACCTAAAACTCTTGCAAAAAAAAGTAAAGAGAAGAAAGAGTTCCACATTCATTGTTTGAAGATTTATACATTCATTCATTCCATACTGCCCAGATAGTAACACTAAAGAAAAGACTTAAGAAGAAAACTATAGGCCAGTATAACATTTAAGTGAAAATCCTCAACAAAACACTAGCAACAATTCAACAGAACATTGAAAGCATTATACACCATGACCAAATTATGTAGGGTTTACACCTACATAAATACAAGGACATGCAAGAACATGAATAAATGCAAGGAATGCAAGGATAGTTCAACACCTGAAAATCAATCAATAAAATGCATTCTCACTAAGAGAATGAAGAGGGAACATAAACTATCAACTCCATTTATACAAAAAAGGCATTTGCAAAAATTAACTCCATTTTGTGATATAAAAAAATGCTCAGCAGACTTGAAATATAAGAAAACTACCTTAACAAATGTCACATATGAAAAATCTAGAGCTATCGTCATACTCAACAGCAAATGATGAAAAGCTTTTCCTCTAAGACCAACTACAAGATGAGGATACTTGCTCTAGACTCTTTTAGTCAACATGATACTACAAGTCTTAGCCAGAGCAAATAAGCAGAAATAGTAATAAAATAGAAAGCATCCAAACTGGAAAAGAAGGAGTAAAAATATCTGTCTCTTCAGATCATATGATTCTATATATAGAAAACCTGAAAGATTCCACTGGTGGAAAACAAACAAATAAAAAAACCTGTTAAAACTAATAAATTAATTCAGCAAAGTTACAGAACGCAGAGCAATCAAGTTGTGTTTTGTAAGCTTACAATAAAACATACAAAAACAGCTGACAAAAATTCCATTCATAAGAAAATTTTACAAATAGTAACTTGGCATATTGAAACAAGAAATCATTGCTGAAAAAAATTTAATATACAAATAAAGAGAAAGACATCCTGTGTTCATAAATTGGAAGACCTAGTATTGTTAAAATGTCAATACTATCCATATTGACATACAGTACAACACTATCTTTCAGAATGTTAACGGGTTTTTTTGCAGAAGCACAAAAACATATCCTAAAATAAATATGGAATCTTGGAAAACACTGAGTGGTAAAAACAAGCTTGAAAAAGAACCAAATTGGAGATCTCAAACTCCATGATACCAAAGCATATGACAAAGTTACAGAAACCAAAAAGTGTGGTGATGAACCAAAGAGAGAGAACAGAAACAAACCCTCAACTGTATGGTCAAAAGAATAAGAGTGACAAGACCACCCAGCATGGAAAGAAGAGGCCATTCAGCAAGTGGTGTTTAATAAACCTAGATACCCACATGCAAAAGAATAAACTTGACCCTTATACCATACACAAAAAGTAAATCAAGATTGATTAAAGACCTCATGTAAGTACTAAAGTCATGAAAGAAAGAAAAAAATCATAAACAGAAAGGTTCATGACACTTAATTTGGCAGTGATTTCCTGGGTATGACCACAAAATCAAAAACAGAAAAACGGGATTGCATCAAACTAAAACGCCTCTGCACAGTAAACAGTCAGCAGGTTAAAGGGATCCTAGTTTTTTGGTGTACAATTTTCACTGTTTTCTCTTACATTCCTTTTTACCTCTATGGCAAGGGTCCCCAATCCCTTGGCAATGGACCCTTTTACAAACCAAAAGGCTTTTAATTTGAATTAATACCCAATATATAAGGATTTCCAATCAATAGCAAAAAAATTGAAAATGGGACTTTTAAAATGGAAAATAACTTAAATAACATTTCTCAAAAGAAGATATACAAGTGACCAATGGGTATAGGAACAATGTTCAACATCATTAATCATCAGGAAAGGCAACATAATACCACCATGAGATACCATCTCACACCTGCTGCAATGGCTGTTACCAAAAAGACAAGAGATAAAATATATTGGCAAAGATGTAGAGAAAAGGAAATCCTTTTACACCACCAGTGAGAATACAAATTAGTACAGCTAGTATAGAAAACAGTATAAAGTTTCATCAAAACTTAAATATAGAACTGCCATATGATCCAGTAAATCTGCTTCACAGTATGTCTCCAAAGAAATTGAAATCAGTAGGTTGAAGAGACATCTCTTCTCTCATGTTCACTGCAGCATTATTCATAATAACCAAGACATAGAATCAAACAAAGTGTCCATCAATGGATGACCAGTAAAGAAAATGTGGACTATATATACAACGAAATGTTATTGTGAAAATTACACACATAAATATTATTTTGAAAATTTATATTGCCTTGATGTGCCTTGGTTTTACTGTGGCAAAATATATATAGTATAAAAGTTACCATTTTTAAGTGTAAGTTCTGTACAAAAAAATGAAATCCTATCATGTGCTACAACATCAAACTTTGAGGATATTTTGCTAAGGGAAACAAGCTAGTCATGAATACTGCATGATTCCACATATATGAGATATCTAAAGCAGCAACACTCAGACACAAAAAGGAATTGTTTGTCAGGCACTTCAGGAAGAAATGTGTGGGGGTGTTCAGTAAGTACAGTGTGTCTGATTTGGACGATGAATTTTGGAGATTGATTGCACAACATGAATGTAAGTAATTCTACTGAACTGTACACTTAAAGTGGTTAAGATAGGAAATATATGGGGTTTTCACCACAGCTTAAAACCCCCCAAAAAATTGTTAAAAGGACACTGGCAGGAAAATTAAAAAGCAATTGACAGAATGGGAGAAAATATTAGCAAATTATATATCTGATGAAGGATTAAAATTCTGAACACATAAAGTATAATAACAGCTCAACACCACCACCAAAACAACCCAGCTAAAAAAATGGGTAAAGGATATAAACAATAAACAGTCATCCAACAAGGGTACAGAAACGATCAATAAGCACATAAAAAGGTGCTCAGCATCGCGAATCTTTGGAAAAATGTAAATCAAAACCACAATGAGATACCATTAAGCTGGCTATTAGGGTTTACCCCATCAGGATGGCTACTACCAAAAACAAAACAATAAAATGAAACAAAATAACAAGTATGGGGAGGATGTGGAAAAACTGGGGCCCTTTTAAATTGCTGGTAGCAAGGTAAAATCATGCAGTCAGTTTGCAAAACCATACTGTGCTTCTTCCAAAAATTCAACATATAATTACAATTCTGGTCCAGCAATTCCACTTTTTGGTATAATACAGAAGAATTGAAAGCAGAAACTTAAACAGTGTTTTTAAGTGAAAAAAAGTCCACTGATGGATAAATGGATAAACAAAATGTTGTATGTGTGTATATGCATATATATGTATATGTATATACACACACATATATGGCATGAATGAACCTTTAAGATATTATGCAAGTGAATGAAACCATTTGCAAAACAACAAATACTGTATTTAACTTACATAGGTTACCTAGAATAGTGAAATTTGTAGACACAAATTAGAATGGTGGTTGACATACATGAGTGGGGAAAGAGCATTTAATGGATGTAAAGTTTCACTTAGGAAAAATAAAGAAATTCTGAGGATGCAGAGCAGTGATGATTGCACAACAATTTAGATGTGCCTAATGCCACAGAATGTATACTTAAAATGGTAAATATTATATTATATTGTATATATAACAATAATAAATCTAAAGCACATAAAAGAAATAAAATAAAATAAAATAAAATAAAATAAAATAAAATAAAATAAAATAAAAAAACAGAAAATACTCGACTATTGGTAAGAACGTTGCAGCCCCAATGGAAAAGAGCCAGAAAGTTACTCAAAGAAATAAAGAAATAGGAAGTTGGACTGAGGACACGATTAACACCAGGGTGTTTTCCGCTGTCTCTGTCTTCTCTGTATAGACTGAATGTTGAGATTTATTAAAGTCCATAAATTACACTTCTCAGGTAGCACAGACAAAATGGAAGGCATCTCAGAAACCACCCCATATAACACAAATCAATGTCTCTCGGTTCTTCATGCAAGCACCAAAGAGTCCATTCCTAGAAAAGGAGAGGCTAAGAACAAAAATCATTTTCATGTAAATCATTTTGCATAAAATTAATCTGTATCAGGTAGGAGACTCCAATAATGCCCTCAAGGTTGCCAGCAGGTTCGTGTAAGAAGCACTGCAGAGGGAAATACTACCCACTGTTGCTATCTGCTGCCATCACCCTCCTGCCTGTCTACACACACACATGCTCACAAGTTCAGCAGTTACAATAAAATGAGTCTTAGCGAAGGAAAGAAGAGGAGAGAACTGGAAATCTAGAGTAGAAAATACAGTGGCCAAGTACTTGACTCTTGTCAGCAGCAATATAGAGAGAAGGAGAAATGTCCCTTCCTCTTGGTAGACCAAAGTTCCGTAACACTTACCACACACCAATTGGCCTTGGCAATCCAACTTATTTTTCCCATGCCTGTACCTTCTGTCCCTACTGGAATCTTGATGAAAAGAAACTACATGGTCAATGGTGCAATTCCACATGCCACAGGGAGACTCCAGTATACCCAAAGCCTCATTGATAATACTGCTGAGCTTACTAGGAAATGGACACTGAAGATACCATCCCTCCACCTTAACCCACCCCCATCTCAGCCTCCACAGTCATTCAGGAAACCTTCCAAACTGACTGAAGTTTTGCTTCCCATGGTTGGCCCTTCCTCCCCTACAAAGATACAAGTGAGGTGTAAGCAACCACTGGGGATAAAGCAAAGGAGGGCAGTGCAGACCCTGGGAAGTACTGGAGAAAAGGAACTAGCCTGCAAATCAGCAAGGAGCGTATAGGGAAAACCCAGGCTTCCCCACAGAACCCCTCATGCAAAAGTGTCTCGGACCAGGTGCCTCTCCCAGATCAACTATTGCTGTGAGGGACTCCCTTTTCCATTAATCTCTCAAGCTACTACATCTGCTTTTGTGTTCCTCTCATTTCTTTCACATTGTGCCACATGCTGAACCATCAGGGAATCATTTGCCTATGTGACAGCAGAAGCATTTGAATGCTGGGGTCCCTCAATAGAAGAGGTCCCAAAAAAAGAAATCTGTATCTTTCATTACAGTATCTTAGCATTACTTCTTCTCCCCCAAGCACATTCTTGATCTGGTCCCTACAGAGCTGGTTCCCACTCAAAGTGATGGGTGAGAGGGGTTTGCATAGGGAGGGATAGATCTAGAATAGGCAGATCTACAATAACTATTTATTTAAACCCTGAGTGCCTGTCAAAGCACTTGCCTCCACTAGAGTATCACAGGAAAAAAATGCACTCGAGCTAGGTATTTTAACTCATGCCTATAATCCCAACACCGTAGGAGGCCAAGACAGGAGGATCACTCTAGCCCAGGAGTTTGAGACCAGCCTGAGCAACAAAGCAAGACCTATATCTACAAAAAATTAAAATAAAACACTTAGCCTCGTGTGGTGGTATGCACCTGTAGTCCCAGCTCTTCTAGGGGCTGAGGTGGGAGGATCATTTGTCCAAGTGTTAGAGGCTGTAGTGAGCTATGAGCATACTAATGGACTCCAGCGTGGGTGACAATAATAACAATAATAATAATAAGGTACTTATTATTGTTGGATAGAGTAAGCTCCTCTATCCAACAAAATGGAACAAATTATACCATAAAGCTAATAGCAGCATTTATGAGTATACAAAGGGAATATAAAGAAACTTCACTCAGGAGTTCTGAGATTCCTTGCTCTTAATCCAAAGTCTGAGAGTCCACAGAAAGCAGGATAAGGGCCAGAGCACAAAGTAGGAATCCATTTTCTTTGCAAGGAACAATGGGAACCCCATGGGTGCTGCTTAATGTTAGAAGTCTAAAAACACAAAAGAAAGACTTAGAAAAACTTCAGTGTACCAACCACCCACAATTACTTTTCTGGTTGGTCAGAGTTCAGTCACTCCTCCTTGCTCCATAGAACTACACACACTGCAACACATGGAATTGCCTCCAAAGAGCATCAAGCAGATGTAAGGATGCTGGTGCAAATGAGGCCTACCTTGGAGCACAATAGCAAGTGACTAATACATTGCATACCATTAAAAATATTTTTTTCTATAATTTGCATTTAGTTCAGAAAAATGCCAACCAAAGTCCCTCCTCAAAAGCACAAATCAAATCTTGATAGTACAAGCCCAGCTGTAAACAGGAAAAGGCCTCTAACGTTTTCACACTACAGGCTTGTTTATCTTTAAGCCTTTCCTCCAGATGAAACTGAAGCAGGTGAAATGGAAGCAACATTTCTCCAGAAAATGGCACAAGTCATAAAAAGAGACCAATTTATAGAACTGGCAATGAGTTCAGGTATCACTCCAGAAGCATTTCTGTGCTCCCCATTAGGTATCCTAAATATATGAAAAAGCCCATGTTAAAACTTAGGAAGACGGGAGGGAGGGGGAATGGAAGTGGACACAAAGAAATGCAAGCATCCTGCAGGTATTCACCAGAGATTCAAAGTCATGTAGAAGGGCAGGATACAGATTAAGTCAGCCCTGAATGATTCACTGAACCCCAGGTTCTATGGTTATAAAGCTATCAACTCCAGAGTTCCTAAGGAGTAAATTTTTACACTAAGCTTGCCCCAACCCAGCCAAAAGGCAGACCTACATTCCTGATCATCTTGATTGCCTGCTTTGGTGACTTGGGCATTTTAAGGATTCATTGAATAGTCACCACTGCCAATTGATCTCCTTCCCAACATGATGCCTCCATGAAGTGCCTGGAGAGGTGCCAGGAACTTGGAAATGGCCTATGACTATGAACATCTAGTTTAATAAGTCACAGAGTGGATGGTACAGTAGGCAGACCTGAAGACTACACTTTTGCATCCTACAATTGAAGGCAAAAATATTTCTGAAAAGGGGAAGGCTTATAAGGGAAATAGATTGTCAAAAGCCAGCTGGCATTCTTTCTTCCCAAATATACCCTGTTTGAGTCCTGGAACCTACAATGTTGCATTTCCAACCTGGTAAACAGTGGCAAGTGTAGGGAACACAGCACACTCCTGTTGCTAACTTGTCATCTGAAATAACAAGGCCATTTCAGAAGGAAACAGTGACTTTCAGAGTATTCTGCAATTTCCAGGATTATTATTACATAACTGATGTATTTTTAAATAATTATTTAATTTAATTAATAATTCTTACAGCAAGCTTACTACTTACAACTGAAAGTTATTTTCTCAAATCTTAAAAATTCTGTCACAAGCAGCTGAGAAACCAGGTGTACACATCCTAGCCAAACTCCTCCAGACACAAACACGCATGACCCTGTAAGCCTTCTCCCATCACCTCCGCCTAACAAGTTCCCTAAACCACAACATACAAACCATCCTGCACCTCATCCCAATCCTGGGATGTCAGAAAGATTTGTTTAGTTAAGTAAGGAAGTTCGGTTGAGCTTTCTCAGTAGAAGACACTCTGGCCAGAAACTAGCAGCCACCTCTGCACTTCCTCTGTGGGTTTACATCCTGTGGGCTTTATAAGTGCTGAGGAAAGACGACTAGAGACACTGTGCTAATCCTTGCCAATAGCGTTTACACTATTTACAAATTTGTGATTGATGTAAATGGCCTTGACATTCCCCTTACCAAAGTCAAACCAGACTAGAGATACAGCTACAGATCAAACCTTAATGGCAGTTCAAAACAAGTCCCATACGGGTCAGCTTCACCAGAGACATCATAAGCAAAAGAATGCTGCCATTTCTTATAGATTTCTGTGCAGTTTATCAGCCCTCTCCCAGAATTTTCTCCTTGGGTTAAAAAGAAAGCATGATTCCTATAGCCCATTTCCTCAACTAGAAATCAAGTTTGTTCAAACCTCTAGGACTGATTGCTACACTCGGCAAAAGCAGGAGCTGATCTACCCTGGACACGTTGAGGTTTTGGCAGTAAGTCTGTACATGTCACAAAGTCCTGATCTGTCCTATAGCCCACACCATAGTGGTCTCTTTGTTTTGTAAATTGCCCACCTCAATGTCTCCTTTATGATATTTGATTAACTTCATTCCCATAGCATCATTATTAGAGCAAATTACAAGACTAGTGAGTCCTTAAATATGCTTTAACTAAATACTTACATGAGGCTCATTATATGGTTTACCGAAGGCATTACCTTGTATCATAAACTTTCACTAGAAATACAACTGCCCAAGAAACAAATCTTTGGTCTCTGTCTAATGAATATCTTTTACATATAATTGACATTGTTCTTAACAATTAAATTTACCAGGCCAGTTTACCTCCCATCTTAGCACCTTGTTTTTGTTGCTGTTGTTGTTTTGTTTTTTGTTGTTGTTTTGTTTTTTTGTTTTGTTTTGTTTTGTTTTTTGTTTCTTTCTTTTTGAGACGGAGTTCCACTGTTGTCACCCAGGATGGAGTGCAATGGCACAATCTCAGCTCACTGCAACCTCTGCCTCCCAGATTCAAGCAATTCTCCTGTCTCAGCCTCCCCAGTAGCTGAGATTACAGTTGTGTGCCACCACGCCCAACCAAGTTTTGTATTTTTAGTACAGATGGGGTTTCACCATTTTGGCCAGGCTGGTCTCAAACTCTTGACCTCAAGTGATCCACCCATCTTGGCCTCCCAAAGAGCTGGGATTACAGGTATGAGTCACTGCACCCACTTTGTTTTATAAACAGTATTTACCCAACTACAATTATTTTCAAAGTATACAGCCTGGGCCTTGCCTATATCAAAATATACTTCAGCTTTAGCTGAGTGCCCTCAGAGAAGGGGTGAAGGTGGGGAGTACAAGCACAGGAAATTATTTTCAAGTCTTTTTGTTTTCTTCAACAACAGAGGCAGTGGTGGAGCTGGGCAAGTCAAAATGTATGTTCCAGCTTTGGGTCTGATTAAAACTTGGTTGTCTAGAAACCTTGTTAAATGCCTTGTTAAATGCTTTGAAACTCCCATTTAGCAGTTCTGTACAAATGCAAACTTGAATAGCTCTAGGCCTACTTCTTCTAAAAAAAAAAAAAATGAAATGTAGTGTACAAATAATGTAAATCCTAGACAAGTGTCATGTTATCACATGACAAGTGCCAAGGCATTTCCTGTCAAAAACCCATGAATCTATATCCTCTAACCTTTGTAATTTTTTCTTCTATTGACAGCATTTTATACAGCATTTAATAAGCACACCCTGACTGTGTTTCACTGTGACTCTGAGCAAAATAAATGGTAGACTGCATTCTGGCCTGGGCGACAGAGCGAGACTCCATCTCAAAATAAACAAATAAATAAATAAACAAACAAACAAACAAATAAATAAATAAAGGGTAGAAAACCAGTAAGGGTGGGAAAAACAGTCCACAGAAGAGTGTCATGCTGGAGAAATGTCTTCAAGTGGGTAAGGAAAAATAGCATTTAGGAGTACTTCTACTGACCAAAAAGAAAACAAAAGTATTTTTTTGGAGGAAAGAAGCCACTCTCACTTGTCTGGTGGCTCAAAGCTGCGCAGATGTAACGTGTCTGGTTACAGCTTCCATTCCCAAGATAAACCAGTTTTTTTCATGATACTCTGCCCTCAGTTATCAGGTAATTTTCAAAAGATACAGATCTGATTTTCTACTCATGCTAGAAACTTTTTAAAAAATACAAAACATAAAACAGTGATCCCTGGCCGACTTTGCAGAACACCACACTGAGCCCTCATAACATCCAGATTTAATCCTTATCAAATGTATCCCGCACTTCCGCTTCTCCAGCAGGCCACTTCTGTCTCACCTGTTCCAACCAGGTCTCCTTCCTCTAGCAGCTCCTGTTCCCTTCCCCAAAACAATGATGAAAAACTTGCCAGCCAGGCATGGTGGCTCATGCCTGTAATCCCAGCACTTCGGGAGGCTGAGGCAGGCAGATCACCTATGGTCGGAAGTTTGAGACCAGCCTGGCCAACATGATAAAACCCTGTCTCTACTAAAACTACAAAAATTAGCTGGCCTTGGTGGTGGGCGCCTATAATCCAAGCTAGTTGGGAGGCTGAGGCAAGAGAATCGCTTGAACCTGGGAGGCAGAGGTTACAGTGAGCCAAGATCATGCCACTGCACTCCAGCCTGGGTGACAAAGCAAGACTCTCGTCTAAAAAAAAAAAAAAAGAAAAAAAAAACACTTGCCAAAGAGCATAGTGCTAAGGGTTAAGAGCTTTAGAACCAATGTCTAAACCATAAAATGATCCTATTTAGTGGGGAAAAAAAAGATTCAGTCCTTTCAATATGTACTCATTTAAATTACAAAGAACTGACATAAAGGGAAAGAGGCAAACCCAGAGAAATAACCTCAGTGGAGAGTATTAACTGGTCAGTCCCAGGACACTGGCATATCACTGTCAGAGGGAATAGTAGCAGCAAGAAATGAAGGCGCAATCCACAGAATATGACTGGTTAGCTAAGGCACGATTTATCCTTAGGACAATAATGTCCCTAGTGTTCTTTGGTCCTAAAGATGGATGACTGTTCAATCTTAACAAATGAAAAACTTACTGAGGCTGGAGGGCCCTAAATAACTTATCCGTAAGGACAAAACTCAAGCTCAAACGTAGAAGTGCACAGAGAAGGCAATTGCTGGTCTAATTTTTCCACTTGAAATCATTATTTTCTCACGCCGTATCCTTGAGGAAATTTGGAAGACTTCCCTAATACTCCTCCCTAAATAACAGTAAAAAGATACCATTTCAGTCCTAGAAACTAAATTCACAAGAAGCCTTGAACCCAGTTTCTCTTACCTGCAGTAATCTTTTAGCACGTTTTAAAATTTCATACTTTTTTCCTATATCCCACTCTCTACTATGAAATTGACCTCCCTGGTGTGAGGTCATTAGTTCCCAGAAGACCCCACTTTCCCTTCCTCCAGGAGCCCAGAATAGGAAGAGAGAGAAAAAAAAAAGGTAGGTTGGCTACTCTCAGGTCTCCAACTCATTGTTAGAAACTAGGCTTTGACGCTCTAGTTTTGCCACGTAGTGAACAAATCTATCTGCCTTGGGCTAATGTCTTCAAAAAGTACTTTTACACTAGTCACAGGGCTGAAGCAAAACTACCAGAGAGGGGGAAGGGAAGCAGGTGAATGAAGAGACTAATGGGAGTGGCTTGCAAGCCAGGTACTGTGCCCTACAACTCTCGCGCTGCCACAAAAAGCCAATTAACGAAGCAAACTGTTTTATCTTTTCCTCTCCCCAGAAGTTCGCCCTAGAAATCAAAAACCACTGAAGCTTAGGAGTGGCAAACATCGG
Source organism: Homo sapiens (assembly GCF_000001405.40). NCBI lineage: Eukaryota > Metazoa > Chordata > Mammalia > Primates > Hominidae > Homo > Homo sapiens. The sequence continues at coordinate 19,502,522 of NC_000024.10, forward strand.
TTCCCGTTCCGATGTTTGTTCCCACACTATTCCCAGTTTCTAGTTCTCATGGACGCTCCAATGCCCAGGGTTACCGCCAGCTCGGCTCCGTGAGGCCGCGCAGGGGGCACCAGATCCTCGGCCACCTCTATTGGTTTTCCAGCCTTGGACCGCTTGCTTCTCCTAACCCCAAAACTCCAGATGTGCGAAATGGCTCCGCTGTGCGACCCAGCAGTTAGCGGCAGGAGGGACAGAGGGATGATGTCAACTCGTTTTGCCAGCCGAGCACGCCGTCGTGGCCCGGCAGCCCTGGTCTGCGGGCCAGCCCTCCGCAAGTGACTTTTAAAGACTTTCTAGCCTCGATAATCTGACATAGTTCCGACCTCACCCCGCACCGAGATCTGGGTGGGGTGGGCCTTCCCTCTCAACCCCTCTCATAGCATCCCAACACCTCAGGAGAGGGGACGTTCCGCCCAGGCACTGCGAGACAGAACTCAAGTTGCTGACTTCCCCTAACACACCCAGTCTTACTTGGTCCTCGTAGAGTAGGAGGATTCCCAAAGCGATCTTCTACCAACCGAGCCCGGGAGCTCGGTGTCAGAATTGCCTACAAATCCGACCGTCCAGTCCTACCCGCGGCGCGCATGCAAAGTGCACCGCAAGTTCGCGCTCTCTCGGAAGTGTCTATAGCTTCCGGAAGGGGGAAGGAGAGGGAGCAAGGCAGAAGGAGGCTGCCTAAAAAAAATAAAAAGTAAAAAGTAAAAAACTCTTGCGATAAAAGTCTATTGTATTCCTGTCATGATAGCTAGAGCTCTGAAGAACAGAAATTGGTGTTGGAGGAAGGTGCCAGAAATGGTACGGAGCGACCCCTACTGGCCCTATAAATCTACCCCTGTGGCAGTTACTATTAGCATTAAAAGACCCTCCTTTCTTCAAAGCAATAGTGCCTTTTCATAACCTTCCCCCACCTAAAATGGTACTCCTCCCCACATTCTGAAATCACAAGGACAAACAACACCTCGAAGTTGTGACCCCGGGGCCGGACGCGGTGGATCACACCTGTAATCCCAACACTTTGGGAAGCCGAGGCTCGTGGATTACGAGGTCAAGAGATCCAGACCATCCTGGCCAACACGGTGAAACCCCGTCTCTACTAAAAATAGAAAAATTGGTTGGGTGTGGTGGTGCGAGCCTGTAGCCCCAGCTACTCAGGATACAGGCAGGAAAATTGCTTGCACCCGGGAGGCGGAGGTTGTAGTATGCCAAGATGGCACCACTGCACTCCAGCCTGGCAACAGAGCGAGACTCTGTCTCAAAATAATAAATAAATAAATAAATAAATAAATAAATAAATAAATAAATAAATAAATAAAATAAAGTGGAGGCCTCTGAATCTCTTGGTGATCTCACATGCCCTGCTCCTGGCACCCCAATCTGGAGCCCTGATCTGAAACTCTTTACCTAGCAGTTCCTCTAGTTGCACATAAACAATGAAAATATAGTTTAGCTTCAGGTTTTCAACATTAGCAAAACTCTGTATCCATGCAAATCAATATGACAAGTACGACCTAAAAGCTCTATCTGCCCTGTGTCGATGTACATTAATCATTCCCCCCCATCATCTTTGAGATCACTAGTTATGTTTTCTGCTAGGTTAAAGATCTTCGGACAGACTTGCCGCCGAATCTAATCGCCAGGAGTGAGCAGGCGATGCTGGTTGGGGTGACAGGGTGCTAAAAAATAACCAAGGGAGAACAGCTCGATTATTAAAACCCACAACGACTCTCACTCGACAAAAATTCATACAATCCCTTGGCAGAATGTACTGGGGACAACTGCCAAAAGCAGTCTAGATAGCTGTAGACCAGGGCAATTTGTCCACCTCAGGGACTGACAAAAGAGGCCAGTCACTCTGACCAGAACGTCTTCTCATGGCTCAGCTACCTGTGCCTCAGCAAAGAACAGACTTTCCAGAGGGAATCGGGAATTCTGGCCAAAAACACTGAAGAAAAAAGTCAGTATGAGTGGTAGCCAAACTTGGCCTCCTGCCATTCTGACTAGATCCCTAGCAGGGCTGAGACATAACAGCAGGCACAAGAAGCCCTGATGCAGGAGGGTCCCCTCTTGCAGAGAAAAGAGCTCACCTGCCCCATGTGTGGTCCTCAACGCACTCATGCACACATGAGAATTGCACTGAGGCCTAATAAAGGACCTTTTGGGCAGGCACGGTGGCTTAAGCCTATAATCCCAGCACTTTGGGAGGCTGAAGTGGGGGGAATCACCTGAGGTGAGGAGTTCAAGACTAGCCTAGCCAACATGGCAAAACCCCCTCTCTACTAAAAATACAAGTATCAGCTGGGCATCATGGCAGGTGCCTGCAATCCCAGCTACTTCGGAGGCTGAGGCAGGAGAATCGCTTGAACACAGGTTGTGGAGGATGCAGTGAGCCAAGATTGGGCCACTGCACTCCAGCCTGGGCAACAGAGTGAGACTCCATTGCAAACAACAACAACAAAAGGGACTTCTGAGCTCCTTCAGGCCTGGGGCTGGTGGGAGGTGGGGAACAGGGGTGAAGAAGGGGCTATTGTATGAGATACCACACCTCAGGCGTAAACGCACAAAAGCCCTTGCCCCTCCCATGTTTTTCAAAACCTCCAGGATGGCATTCCCAGGGCTACCTGGACCTTCTGAGGAAAGTCCTGGTGATCCTGGGGTTCTGGTGGCATTGAGGCCCAGCCAGCAGCCAACATGGGCTCCACCCAACAGCAGTCTTGCCAGCTTAAATCCTGCTATGCTGGGGTAGTGAAAAATCCTTGAAGCAGGGCAGAATTTACATGCATGTCTGGGTTGGTGGGGGCTTATGCTAATCCACCCTACACAGGCCTTCCTGATGGTTCTCCAGAGGGGTTGGGGGGGAAGTATACAAAAATGAAAGCATTTTTTTTTTGGCTTTGTCTTTCCCAGGCCACCAGACCCTGCATCACTTGAGACAACAGAACCACAAAATATGCAACATCCACTACTCAGGTTCAGAAAGTGGAAAGATATTCCTCCCTTTTTCCATCATCATCCATCCATTCAAAGTCAATAACTCAAAATCTCTTAGAAATCTTGCTTCATGCTCAACACATACCCTCTTTTCTGCTCCATAATGAAAGAAACAATAACCAGAATAAATTTGAAGAATTGAGGGCCATCCACATTCAGGTACGTCACTTTGCCCTCTGTTTCCTGTTTCTGTTTCTGAAAAAGATGCACTATTTCACTGTGAACAAAAATGTTATGTGCATGAATGTGGTTGTGTAACCCATGCTTCCTTCACAGTGTTGTTCTCTCTCATCAGAAAAGCCTTCATTATGCATTGAAGAGGTTTTCCCATTCAGCTTGTGTCCTTAAGCATGGATAGACAGATATTCATGGAACCACCTTCACACCTTTAAATGGGCTTTGGTCCCTAGCAACATCTCACAAAATTTCTGCCCAGTATTAAATTAAACAAAATCCCATATTTTTTCTCAAATACAGTTACACTTTCTGTCTTTGTATTTGCCTATCAATGTTTACATTTCTAGTTCTTAATGGACAACTGAGCACCAAGTGTCTTAATTTGTCTTAGTGCATGTTAGCCTGACACACATCTTAAACTGAACATTCTTGATACATACAGCTCCCTAAATTGAAATTCAAATTGTCTTGTTCTACCTACTACCAATAACATGATAACATCCACAATCCAGAGCAACATGGTTTTGAAAAAAAAAAGGAAAACAATTTTGCGAATTAGTAACATTTATAGGGCACCAAATGTTTGATCTGTAATCCATCCATGAATGAGCAGCTCTGCAAAGAACTGCACTAATGTCTTCATGGTCATTAAGTTTTTAGACCAATCTAATATCGGCACCCCAAATCATCCACACATCAGTCTCCTGCTGCTGAATGAAGGCTGTTTCCCTCCACTTTTCTGATTCTATCTCCTCAAAAGTTCAAAAGATGTCTATTTAGGTCCCGTTTGCTCTCTCCAATGCCTAACCGTAGACATTGGCATGGCACTTTAGGCTCATGTTCTCAGTGTGCATCTGTCTTGCTCAGGACTCGTACCCATGTTACAAGGCTGAGCAGACCCTCCTGTACTTGGAATAGTTTCAGAAGGAATAGTACCATCTCCTGCTTGTACCTCTGGTAGAATTTGGCTGTGAATCCATCTGGTCCTGGACTTTTTTTGGTTGGTAAGCTATTAATTGTTGCCTCAATTTCAGAGCCTGTTATTGGTCTATTCAGAGATTCAACTTCTTCCTTGTTTAGTCTTGGGAGGGTGTATGTAGTATTTTCTGAAGGTAGTTTGTATTCCTGTGGGATCGGTGGTGATATCCCCTTTATCATTTTTTATTGCATCTATTTGATTTTTCTCTCTTTTCTTACTTATTAGTCTTGTTAGCAGTCTATCAATTTTGTTGATCTTTTCAAAAAACCAGCTCCTGGATTCATGGATTTTTTGAAGCATTTTTTGTGTCTCTATTTCCTTCAGTTCTGCTTTGATCTTAGTTATTTATTGCCTTCTGCTAGCTTTTGAATGTGTTTGCTCTTGCTTCTCTGGTTCTTTTAATTGTGATGTTAGGGTGTCAATTTTAGATCTTTCCTGCTTTCTCTTGAGGGCATTTAGTGCTATAAATTTGCCTCTACACACTGTTTTGAATGTGTCCCAGAGATTCTGGTATTTTGTGTCATTGTTCTCATTGGTTTCAAACAACATCTTTATTTCTGCCTTCATTTTGTTTTGTACTCAGTAGTCATTCAGGAGCAGGTTGTTCAGTTTCCATGTAGTTGAGTGGTTTTGAGTGAGTTTCTTAATCCTGAGTTCTAGTTTGTTTGCACTGTGGTCTGAGAGACAGTTTGTTATAATTTCTGTTCTTTTACATTTGCTGAAGAGTGCTTTACTTCCAACTATGTGGTCAATTTTGTAATAGGTGTGGTGTGGCGCTGAAAATAATGTATATTTTGTTGATTTGGGGTGGAGAGTTCTGTAGATGTCTATTAGGTCAGTTAGGTGCAGGGATGAGTTTAATTCCTGGATATCCTTGGTAACTTTCTGTCTCGTTGATCTCATTGTCTAATGCTGACAGTGGGGTGTAAAGTCTCCCATTATTATTGTGTGGGAGTCTAAGTCTCTTTCTAGGTCTCTAAGGACTTGCTTTATGAGTCTGGGTGCTCCTGTGTTGGGTGCTTATATATTTAGGATAGTTAGCTCTTCTTGTTGAATTGATCACTTTAGCATTATGTAATGGCCTTCTTTGTCTCCTTTGATCTTTGTTGGTTTAAAGTCTGTTTTATCAGAGACCAGGATTGCAACCCCTGCCTTTTTTTGTTTTCCATTTGCTTGGTAGATCTTCCTCCGTCCCTTTATTTTGAGCCTATTTGTGTCTCTGCACATGATATGGGTTTCCTGAATACAGCACACTGATGGGTCTTGACTCTTTATCCAATTTGCCGTCTGTGTCTTTTAATTGGATCATTTAGTCCATTTACATTTAAGGTTAATATTGTTATGTGTGAATTTGATCTGGCCATTATGATGTTAGCTGGTTATTTTGCTCATTAGTTGATGCAGTTTCTTCCTAGCATTGACGGTCTTTACAATTTGGCATGTTTTTGTAGTGGCTGGTACCGGTTGTTCCTTTCGATGTTTAGTGCTTCCTTCAGGAGCTCTTTTAGGGCAGGCCTAGTGGTGACAAAATCTCTCAGCATTTGCTTGTCTGTAAAGGATTTTATTTCTCCTTCACTTATGAAGCTTAGTTTGGCTGGATATGAAATTCTGGATTGAAAATTCTTTTGTTTGAGAATGTTGTTCCCCACTCTCTTCTGGCTTGTAGAGTTTCTGCCAAGCAATCAGCTGTTAGTCTGATGGGCTTCCCTTTGTGGGTAACCCGACCTTTCTTTCTGGCTGCCCTTAACAATTTTTCCTTCATTTCAACTTTGGTGAATCTGACAATTATGTGTCTTGCAGTTGCTCTTCTCGAGGAGTATCTTTGTGGTGTTCTCTGTATTTCCTGAATTTGACTATTGGCCTGCCTTGCTAGATTGGGGAAGTTCTCCTGGATAATATCCTGCAGAGTGTTTTCCAACTTGGTTCCATTCTCCCCATCACTTTCAGGTACACCAATCAGACGTAGATTTGGTCTTTTCATATAGTGCCATATTTCTTGGAGGCTTTGTTCATTTCTTTTTATTCTTTTTTCTCTAAACTTCTCTTCTTGCTTCATTTCATTCATTTCATCTTCCATCACTGATACCCTTTCTTCCAGTTGATCGAATCAGCTACTGAGGTTGTACATTCATCACATAGTTCTCATGCCATGGTTTTCAGCTCCATCAAGTCCTTTAAGGACTTCTCTGCATTGGTTATTCTAGTTAGCCATTTGTCTAATTTTTTTCAAGGTTTTTAGCTTCTTGGTCATGGGTTCTAACTTCCTCCTTTAGCTCAGAGTAGTTTGATCGTCTGAAGCCTCCTTCTCTCAACTTGTCCGAGTCATTCTCCATAGCTCAGAGTAGTTAGATCATCTGAAGCCTCCTTCTCTCAACTTGTCCGAGTCATTCTCCATCCAGCTTTGTTCCATTTCTGGTGACTAACTTCATTCCTTTGGACAAGGACAGGCGCTCTGATTTTTAGAGTTTCCAGTTTTTCTGCTCTGTTTTTTCCCCATCTTTGTTGTTTTATCTACCTTTGGTCTTTGATGATGGTGACGTACAGATGGGGGTTTGGTGTGAATATCCTTTCTGTTTGTTAGTTTTCCTTCTAACAGTCAGGACCCTCAGCTGCAAGTCTGTTGGAGTTTGCTGGAGGTCCATTCCAGACCCTGTTTGCCTGGGTATCAGCAGCAGAGGCTGCAGAACAGCGGATATTGGTGAACAGCAAATGTTGCTGCCTGATCATTCCTCTGGAAGTTTTGTCTCAGAGGAGTATCCGGCTGTGTGAGGTGTCAGTCTGCCCCTACTTGGGGGTGCCTCCCAGTTAGGCAACTGGGGGGTCAGAGACCCACTTTAGGAGGCAGTCTGTCTGTTCTCAGATCTCTAGCATCGTGCTGGGAGAACCACTACTCTCTTCCAAGCTGTCAGATGGACATTTAAGTCTGAAGAGACTTCTGCTGTCTTTTGTTTGGCTATGCCCTGCCCCCAGAGTTGGAGTCTGCAGAGGCATGCAGGCATCTTTGAATGGCAGTGGGCTCCACACAGTTCGAGCTTCCTGGCAGCTTTGTTTACCTACTCAAGCCTCAGCAATGGTGGGCACCCCTCCCCCAGCCTTGCTGCCACTTTATAGTTTGATCTCATACTACTGTTCTTGCAGTGAGTGAGGCTCTGTGGGCATAGGATCCTCCGAGTCATGCACGGGATATAATCTCCTGGTGTGCCTTTTGCTAAGACCATTGGAAAAGTGCAGTATTAGGGCAGGAGTGACCCGACTTTCCAGGTGTCATCTGTCACCCCTTTCTTTGGCTAGGAAAGGGAATTCCCTGACCTCTTGTGCTTCCTGGGTGAGGTGATGCCTCTCCCTGCTTCGTCTCACACTCGGTGCGCTGCACACACTGTCCTGCACCCACTGTCCAACACTCCCCAGTGAGATGAACACAGTACCTCAGTTGGAAATGCAAAAATCACCCATCTTCTGTGTCACTCACGCTGGGAGCTGTAGACTGGAGCTGTTCCTATTTGGTCATCTTGGCTCCACCCTGATTAACTTATTCCTGTGCAAAAAGCTGAAATATCTCTACAATGAAAACTGTAAAATATTGGTGCAAGGAATTGAAGAGGACACAAAAAAATGGAAAGATAGTCTATGCTTAGAATTCTCAAGAATCATTATTGTGAAATGTCCATACTATCCAAAGTAATCTACAGATTCAATGCAATCTCTGTTGAAATATCAATTCTATTCTTTGCAGAAATAGGAAAAACCATCTTAAAGTTTATGTGGAACTACAAAAGACTCAGAATCCTGAACAAACAGAACAAAAAAGGAAGAATTATATTTACGTGTCTTCAAATTATACTTCAGAGGTATAGTAATCAAAGCACGATGTAGTGGCACAAAACCACACACATAGACTGGTGGAACAGAACACAGATCCCAGGAACAAATCCACAGACCTATATGTAGTTAACTCATTTTTTTACAAAGGTGCCAAGAACATAAGTTGGTGAAAAGGACAGTCTCTTCAATAACTGGTGTTGCAAAAATTGGATATTCATATGCAGAAAAATAAAACTAGACCCTATCTACCACCATATGCAAAAATCAAATCAAAATGGCTCAACCACTTAATTTTAAGCCTTCAAACCATGAAACTACTACAAGAAAATATTGGGGAAACTCTCCAGGACAGTGAACTGGGCAAAAATTTCTTGAGTGCTACCCCACGAGCTCAGGCAACCAAAGCAAAATTAGACAAATAAGGTCACAGGAAGCTAAAAAGCTTTTGCACAATAAAGGAAAGCAATTAACAGAGTGAAGAAACAACCTGCAGAGTGGGAGAAAACTTTGCCAAATATCTGTCTGACATGGGATTAATCACCATAATATATAGGGAAGCTAAACAACTGTATTTTTAAAAATCTAATAATTCAATTTAAAAATTAGCCAAAAAAATCTGAATAGACATTTTTGAAAAGAAGACCTATAGGCTTATGAAAAGGTGATCAACATCATTGAACATTAGAGAAATGAAAATCAAAACTACAATGAGATATCATCTCACCCCCATTAAAATAACTTTTGTCCAAATAAGCAGTTACAAAAGGGAACTCTCAAACAATGTTGGTGGAAATGTAAAATAGGATGATCATTATAGAGGCCATTTTGGAGGTTTCTACAAAAAACTGAAAATAGATCCAGCAATCCTGCTGCTGGATATATACCCAACAAAAACCAAAACAGTATATGGAAGAGATATCTGCATTCCCATGTTTGTTGCAACACTGTTCACAATAGGGAATATTTGGAAGCAATCTAAGTGTCAATCAATAGAGGACTGCATAAAGAAAATATAAGTATACTCAATGGAGTATAATGCAGCCATGCAAAAGATTGACATCCTATTATTTGCAATAACAGAGTAAACTGTAGTCAAATATGATAATCCCAGAACAGAAAGACAAACTTAGCATGTTCTCACTTACTTGAGGGAGCTAAAAATAAAAACAATTAAGCCTACACAGATAGAGAGTAGAAGGATGGGTATGAGAACCTAGGAAGTGTAGTAGTGCATTGGAGGAGGAAGTGGAGATAGTTAATGGAACAAAAAAATAGTGAAGATCTATTATTTTATAGCATAATGGGATGACTGTAATTAATAATAATTTAATTATACATTTAAAAATAGCTATAAGTGTACAAATGGTTTGTTGTAACATAATGTATAAATGCTTGAGGCAATTGATACCTCATTTACCCAGGTATGATTATTACACTTTGTATGCCTGTATCAAAATAGCCTACATATTCTATAAACATATACCTCTACTATGCACCATGTAAAATTAAAAAATTAAAAATTGAAAAAAGAACTCTAATTGCCATATGAGAGTCATCATAGGTGCCCCTGTAGACAGCTCACCTAATCCTCCAGCCAACAGCTGCCATCAACTGGCCATGTGAGTGTGCCATTTTTGACATCCTTTGGATAACTACGACCCGAGGTGATATCTGACAGCAACCCATCCAAGTCTTTACTATGGTGAAAGAGAATTACTACCCTTGGCCCTTCTAACAATTCCTGACCCAGTGAATTGTGAGCAAAATAAGCTGTGTTTTAATATGTGATGTTTGGGGTAATATGTTAGTCAGCAAATAGTAAGTAAAACAGATCCCTGGTGTAAAGTAAGTAAAACAGTTGCCCCAGGGTGCAAAGGGGTTGATAATTTGCCCATGGTTTCATACCTAAGGGTTAGTGCTAAGACTTAAACTTCAATGCTAAATCCAAATTATTTTATCACAGTATCTTCTCAACATCTCTTGATAGTTTCTTTCTATTGAGAACCTTATTTTCAGACTCAGTTGATTTCCAAACCTCTCTGCACATCAGAGTTAACTGTATACAGGTTATGATAGAGATTGCCATTCCAATTCTATAAAGTCAGATTTTAAAGGCATGAGACCAGGAATCTGCATCCTAAAGTGGCACCCCAGGTGACACTGAGGCAGTCTGTGAAGCTATCAGTAGATCCTACTGCTCAGCCAGGATATTCTAGACTAATTAGAAGTGACCAGCAAGATTTCCTTTGAAATATTTTCAGCATTGGACAATTACTCAGTTGTGTGCTTATCTGGTTATATTTAGACTTTATGAGCCCTAACTTCTGCACTATTTTCTTGACCCCTAAAACTAGAAGACAAAAGCTAATGGTATTGTATCTGGCAAAAAAGTGTTTTTTGAGCAACTCAAGTGTGGCAACACCTTCCTAGATTTTGGGGTCATTGCCTTCTAAGAATGAAGCATTAGGATGAGGACCTAAATGTAAAATCACTTCAGAACATCAAATGACAAGTGTTTGTGACCATAAGCACAATGGAATGGAAAGAATTATACCCAAATATGCTAAGAAGTATCAGTTTAAATGAGGCCCAGTGGAGGAAATTTTACCTGGGGCTGGATGTCTAATGAGATCTGAAAAGCAAAAAGATTACTCCAGGTAGAGCCTAGGAGCTTAAGCTCCAAGGGCAGAGAGGAGAAGAAATGTATTCAGTGGGAAGGGAACAGTTTACACGGTGTAATTTAAGACAGCTTTAGAAGTAGAAGAGAGAGATAAAGCAGACTTGGGAAATGGGGAAAGGCTTGAAGCTGAATTCAGATTTTTATTTTTTCCATTTCCAAATTCCAGTGTTATTAAAGATCAAGTACTGAACTCTATATTTTATTGAAAATAAAAATAAATTAATAGAATTTTCTTAGCAGATTATTTAACATTTTCCCCTGCGATATTTTTACAGGAGATACTGTGAAGAATTTTTAAAGGAAAAATAATTTGTTTCTGCCATTTTGGAACTTTAAGAATCCCACCATTTTTAGCTACTAAAATGGCTAAAACATAAAAGTGAGAAAATTCTGAGGGCTGGCAAGGGGAACTCTCATATATGCCTAGTGGAAGTGAAAAAAAATTGATAAAATTTGTCACACCTGTGGTCCCAGCCACTCACGAGGCTATATTTTTGCACACGTATTTTACATGTCTACATAAATAATATGTGTAGCCTCCAAATATATGCACATGTGCATAAATATAGATGAAAACATTATTCTTAATGACAAAACCAAAAGTAGCCAAATGTTCTTCAACTGTAGAACAGATTATTTAATTTTGGTATAGTCACACAAGGGAATATTCAGCAATGAGCATTAATGAACTACAATCATATACAACAGTAAATAAATTCCATAAACATAATGTTAGGCAAGAGAAGCCAACCAAAAACAACCTTTATTTTTATAAAATACACAATATATAAAGCCAATCAATGTTGTTAAAAGTTAAGAGTTACAGACATATAAGTTTACACATAATTAATGCATAGCTTGCTGAGAAACAACATCCATGTAACCAGAACCCAGTTTAGAGATAGAATATCATCACTCTGATAGTGACAGCAAGGCAATCAGGAATTTCTAGGGAAGTGGTGATTTTCTATTCCTTAAACTGAGTTCTGGTTACATGGATGTTGTTTCTCAGCAAGCTGTGAACTAACTATGTGTATACTTGTGTGTCTGTATGTTTCACTTCAATAAAAGTGTTAAAAGTTAATGTAGTTGGGGATAAAACACAATACAATACAATACAGTGCAGTACAGTACAGTACAATACAATACAAGAGAAGGGCCCAAGAAGGGTCTGTTAGACCAGAGTAGGAATCATTGGAATTTTGGCAAAGTTGCCAATAAAATCTGAGGCTATGCTGCAGTTTCCAGAATGCTCCACACTCTCCATATTGTATTGTTCTAAAGAACAACTATTAGAAGAGCCTACCAGGAGGGACCAAGATGATCAAATAAGAACAGGTCTGGTCTGCAGCTCCAAGTGAGGTCAACGCAGAAGGTGGGTGATTTTTGCAATTCAAACTGAGGTAATCAGTTCTTCTAATTGGGACTGTTTAAGCAGGGAGGCACAGCCCATGGAGGGCAAGCAGAAGCAAGGTGGGGCTTCACTTCATCTAGGAAGTGGAAGCAGCTGAGTACCTCCCTCTCCCAACCAAGGGAATTCATGAGGGACTGTGCTACCCATATGAGTTACTATGCTCTTCCCACAATTTTTGAAATCTGCAGATCAGGAGATTCCCTTGTATGCCTACATCACCAGAGCCCTGGGTTTCAAGGACAAAACTGGGTATGGTTTGGGCAGACACTGAGCTAGCTGCAGGAGTTTTTTTAATGCCGCAGTGGTGCCTTGAACCCCAGTGAGACAAAGCCATTCACTCCCCTGGAAAGGGGGCTGAAGCCATGGAGCCAAGCCGTCTCACTCAATGGATCCCATTCCCACAGGACCCAGTAAGCTATGAACCACTGGCGTGAAATGCTCACTGCCAGCGCAGCAGTCTGAAGTCTACCTGGGACAATCCAGCTTGGTTCAGGGAGGGGCATCCACCATTACTGAGTAGGTGGTTTTCCCCTGACAGTGCTAAGGAGGCTGGGAGGTCTAGGCTGGGCCCAGCAAAGCAGCTGTGGCCAGACTGCTTTTCTAGATTCCTCCTCACTGGGCAGGGCATCTCTGAAGGAAAGGAAATAGCCTCAGTCATGGGATTACAGACAAAACCCACAACTCCTTGGGACAGAGCACCTGGGGGAAGGGCAGCTATGGGAGCAGCTTCAGCGGATTTAATCATTATTGCCTGCCTGCTCTGAAGAGAGCAGCTGATCCTGACAGAGGGATTTCTCCCAGCACAGTACACCAGCTCTGCAAAGGGACAGACTGCCTCCTCAAGTGGGTCCCTGACCCCCGTGCCTCCTGACTGGGAGAAACCTCCCAACAGTAGTCGACAGACACCTAATACAGGAGAGCTCTGACTGGCATCAGGCTGGTGCCCATCTGGGGCACAGCTTCCAGAGGAAGGAATGGGTAGCAATCTTTGCTGTTCTGCAGCCTCTGCTGGTAATACACAGGTGAAAAGTGTCTGAAGTGGACCTCCAGCAAACTGCAGTAGACCTGCATAAGAGGGACCTAACTGTTAGAAGAAAAGCTACAAAACAGAAAGCTATAATATAAACATCAGCATAAAGGACCCCCACAAGAAAACCCCATCCAAAGGTCATCAGCCTTAAAGATCAAAGATAGATAAGCCATGCAGATGAGGAAAACCCCACACAAAAACTCTGAAAATTCTGGAAACCAGAATGCCTCTTCTCCTCCAAATGCTTACAACTTCTCTCCAGCAAAGGCACAAAACAGGATGGGGAATGAGATTGACAAATTGACAAAAGTGGGCTTCAAAAGGTGGGTAATAACAAACACCTCTGAGCTAAGGGAATATGTTTTAACCCAATGCAAGCAAGCTAAGAACCTTTATAAATGGTTAGAGGAACTGCTTGCTAGAATGATCAGTTTAGAGAGGAACAAAAATGACCTGATGGACCTGAAAAACACAAGAACTTTGTGAAGCATATGCAAGTATCAATAGCCAAATTGATCAAGCAGAAGAAAGGATATTAAAGGCTGAAGACCAACTTACTGAAATAAGGTGTGAGGACAAGATTAGAGAAAAAAAATGAAAAGTAATGAACAGTCTCCCATTAATATGGGACAATGTGCAAAGACCAAACCTATGAATGATTGGTGTAACTGAAGGTGACAGGGAGGGATAATGAAATCAAGTTGGAAAACACACTTCAGGATATTACCCAGAAGAAATTCCCCAACTAGCAAGACAGGCCAGCATGCAAATTCAGGAAATACAGAGAATGCAACTAGGATACTCTTCAAGACAAGCAACCTCAAGAAACATAATCATCAGATTCTCCAAGGTTAAAAAGAAGAAAAAAGTGTTAAGGGCATCTGAGAGAAAGGTCAGGTTACCTACAAAAGAAAGCCAGTCAGAATAACAGTGGATCTCTCTGCAGAAACCTACAAGCCAGAATAGATTGGGGGCCAATACGCAACATTCTTTAAGAGAAGAATTTTCAACCCAGAATTTCATATCCAGCCAAACTAAGCTTCATAAGCAAAAGATAAATAAAATCCTTTCCAGACAAGCAAATGCTGAGTGATTTTGTCACCACCAGGCCAGGTTTATAAGAGCTCTTGAAGGAAGCACTAAATATGGAAAGGAAAACCTGGTACCAGCCACTGAAAAAATGCAGCAAAATATAAAGACCAATGACACCGAAGAAACTGCATCAACTAATGTGCAAAATTACCACCTAGCATTAAGATGACAGGATCAAATTCACACATAACAATACTAACAATAAAAGTAAATGGGTTAAATGCCCCAGTTAAAAGACACAGACTGGAAAATTGGATAAAGAGTCAAGACCCATCAGTGTGCTGTATTCAGGAGACCCATCAAAAAACCAAGAGTTGCAACCCTAGTCTCTGATAAAACAGACTTTAATCAAACAAAGATAAAAAAAGACAAAGAAGGGCATTACATAATGTTAAAGATGTCAGTGCAACAAGAAGAGCTAACTATCCTAAATATATATGCACCCAATACAGGAGCACCTAGATTCATAAACAAGTTTTTAATGAACTACAGAGACTTAGACTCCCACACAATAATAGTGGGAGACTTTAACATCCCACTGTCAATATTAGATCAACGAGACAGAAAATTAACAAGGATATTCAGGACTTGAACACAGCTCTAGACCAAGAAGACCTAATCAACATCCACAGAACTCACCAACAGACATCACCAACCAAAAACATCCAGGACCAGATAGATTTACAGACAAATTATTCCAGAGGTACAAAGAGAAACTGGTATCACTCTTTCTTGAAACAATTCCAAACAATAGAAAAAGAGGGACTCCTCCCTAACTCATCTTATGAAGTGCATCATCCTGATACCAAAACCTAGCAGAGACACAACAAAAAAAGGAAATTTCAGGCCAACATCCCTGATGAACATCGATGGAAAATCCTCAATAAAATACTGGCAAATGGAATCCAGCAACACATCAAAAAGCTTATCCACCACAATCAAGTTGGTTTCATAGCTGGTATGCAATTCTGCTTCAACATATGAAAATCAGTAAATGTAATCCATCACACAAATAGAACCAATGACAAAAAGCATATGATTATCTCATAGAAACAGAAAAGGACTTCTGTAAAATTTAATATTCCTTCATGCTAAAATATCTCTGTGAATTAGATGTTGATGTAACATATCTCAAAATGATAAAAGCTATTTGTGACAAACCTACAGCCAATATCATATTGAATGGGCAAAAGCTGGAAGCATTCCCTTGAAAACTGGCACAAAACAAGAATGTGCTCTCTCACCACTCTTACTCAACATAATATTGGAAGTTCTGGCCAGGGAAATCAGGCAAGACAAAAAAATAAAGGGTATTCAAATAAGAAGAGAGGAAGTCAAATTGTCTCTGTTTGCAGATGACACAATTGTATATTTAGCAAACGCATTGTCTTAGTCCCAAAACTCCTTAAGCTGATAGGCAACTTCAGCAAAGGCTCAGGATACAAAACCAATGTGAAAAAATTATGAGCATTCCTATACACCAACAACAGACAATCAGAGAGCCAAATCATGAGTAAACTCCCATTCACAATTACTATAAAGACAATAAAATAACTAGGCATACAACTTACAAGGGACATGAAGGACCTCTTCAAGGAGAACTACAAGCCACAGCTCAAGGAAATAAGAGAGTACACAAACAAATGGAAAAACATTTCATGCCCATGGACAGGAAGAATTAATATCGTGAAAATGGCCATACTACCCAAAGTAATTTATAGATTCAATTTTATTACCATCAACCCACCATGGACTTTCTTTGCAGAATTGGAAAAAAAACTACTTTTAATTTCATATGGAACCAAAAAAGAGCCCTTATAGCCAAGACAATCTTAAGCAAAAAGAACAAAGCTGAAGGGATCATGCTATTTGACTTCAAACTACACTACAAGGCTACAGTAACCAAACAGCGTGGTACTGGTACCAAAACAGATATATAGACCAATGGAAGAGAACAGAAACCTCAGAAATTACACCACACATCTACACCCATCTGATTTTTGACAAATCTTACAAAAAAAGCAATGGGGAAAGGATTCCCTATTTAACAAATGGTGATGGAAGAACTGGCTAGCCATATGCAGAAAACAGAAACTGAACTTCTTTCTTACACTTTACACAAAAATTAAAGATTTACTGTAAATCCCAAAGCCATAAAAACCCTAGGAGAAAACCTAGGCAATACCATTCAGGACATAGGCATGGGCAAAGGCTTCATGACTAAAACACCAAAAACAATGGCAATAAAGGCCAAAATTGTCAAATGGAATCTAATTGAACTAAGGAGCTTCTGCACAGTGAAAGAAACTCTCATCAGAGTGAACAGGCAACCTAGAGAATGGGAGAAAATTTTTACAAGCTACCCATCTGACAAAGGTCTAATATCTAGAATCTACAAGAAACTTAAACAAACTTACAAGTAAAAAAGCAGACAATCTCTTCAAAAAGTGGGCAAATGATATGAACAGCCATTCCTCAAAAGAAGACGTTTATGCAGCCAAAAAAAAACAACAAAAAAACATGAAAAAAAACTCATCATCACTGATGATTAGAGAAAGGAAAATGAAAACCACAATGAGATACCATCTCACATCAGTTAGAATGGTGATTATTAAAAAGTCAGGAAACAACAGATGCTGATGAGGCTGTGGAGAAATCGAAATGCTTTTTACACTGTTGGTGGAAGTGTAAATTAGTTCAACCATTGTGGAAGACAGTATGGCAATTTCTGAAGGATCTGGAAGCAGAAATACCATTTGACCCAGCAATCCCATTACTGGGTGTATACTCAAAGGATCATAAATCATTCTGCTATAAAGACACATGCACCCTTTTGTTTACTGTAGCACTATTTACAATAGCAAATCCTTGGAACCAACCCAAATGTCCATCAGTGATAGACTGGATAAAGAAAATGTGGCAAATATACACCATGGAATATTATGCAGCCGTGAGAAAGAATGAGTTGATATCCTTTGCAGGGACATGGATGAAGCTGGAAGCCATCATTCTCAGCAAACTAACACAGGAACAGAAAACCAAACACCACATGTTCTCACTCATAAGTGGGAGGTGAACAATGAGAAACACATGGACACAGGGAGGGAAACATCACACAGTGGGGCCTGTCAGAGGACAGGAGGCAAAAGGAAGGGAGAGCACTGGGACAAATGCCTAATGTTTAAGGGGATTAAGACCTAGAAGATGGATTGATAGGTGCAGTAAACCACCATGGCACATGTATACCTATGTAACAAACCTGCACATTCATCCCAGAACTTAAAGTAAATTTAAAAAAAAGAAGAAGAAAGAAAAAGAACAATTGTTACATCTAGCTTGTCCTACTTCCAATTCTACCCTACTATTATTTACAGAATTTGGGGTACCTCACATCAGAACTCTCCTACGTAAAGATGGCTTAAATTTCTATTGACCCTCACCATTAAACATATCACTCCCGGCCGGGTGCAGTGGCACACGCCTGTAATCCCAGCACTTTGGGAGACCAAGGCAGGCAGATCACGAGGTCACGAGATCGAGACCAGCCTGACCAACATGGTGAAACCCTATCTCTACTAAAAATACAAAAATTAGCTGGTTGTGGTGGCATGTGCCTGTAATCCCAGCTACTCAGGAAGCTGAGGCAGGAGAATTGCTTGAACCCAGGAATTGGAGGTTGCAGTAAGCCAAGATCATGCCACTGCACTCCTTCCTGTTGATGAAGCGAGACTCCGTCTCAAAAAACAAACAAACAAACAATAACAACAACAAAAATCTATCACTCCCAATGTTCTATCCTTTCTACTTACAAAATATGTCTTGATGTTGCAATCTGGAATTTTTGTATTATGTAACAAATTTCTTCTATTGGTATCAGTTTGGATAATGGTCATTAGATTTCATTAACCATGATGATGAACTAAAAAATCAGCTTTCCTATCTGCAGGTATGAGCCAGATTGTGGTACTTGACTGACTGAAGAGCTCTGGAGAGTTTACTGAGGGGTGGCAGGGTTTCAAAAATCATCATTATCTGAAAGGATTATTGGGGATATTTCCCATCTTATACAACAAAATGGCCTGAAAAATGTGGGACAGGACTGGGAATAGAGAAACACGAATTTCAAGAAAAAGCTTAAAATCTCACCTGCTTATCAGAGTCCAGTTACTTTACACACCAGATGACACATAGCTGATCAGATTCACTAAAGATGTAGTTGTTAGCACAGTGAGGCCAAGTGATGACTCTTTGGGCCACTATGGACCATACGCTACGTTTGTGCCACTCAAAGCAAACTTGCTGTGTCTGGTGAATTTTCTCACATTCCCTACCTGCCTCTTTCACTTCCTGGCAAGCTCAGAAAAGAAAAACGTTTTTCAAACAAATTTTTTCATTCTTAGCATTGGAATGGCATATGGCCCATCTGCCCAGGTTCAAGATAGGAGACATCCTATCTTGTCTCCACATCCTTTGTCATGAGAATTTGCAGTTCATCTTATGAGCGTACCTTCTTACTCTTGAGATCAGGCTACAGGATTGCTTTGGGAAATAAAATGTCATCAGAAGTAGCAATGTGTCCCTTCTGAGTTTACGTCTTAAGAGTCATTGCATTTTCATTATATCCTCTTGAATGTTTGCTATTGCCATAAGAATAATATGTCCTAGATATTCAACTCGTTCATGAAAGATAGCTGACATGTGAAGCAGACCTGGACTCCAGCCGACACTTGGAGTTAAGTCCAATTGTGCATAGCGTAGATTAGCTCACCATAGCTGACCCAAAGATATATGAGTCATAGATAATTGAGAAATAAATGTTTACTGATGCATAGTATTAAGTTTTAGGGTAGTTTGTTAAATAGCAGTACTGTGAAAGAGCTGACTGATTCACGAGTTATGCATATTATTCTGTCGATGCAAGATTTGTAATGAATAATTTACTGTTTAAAATAATGTCCTCTCTCTCTATCCCCTTTATCATCTTAATTTTTTGGAGTATTCATTGTGAACTAGGATATCATATATTTTAATATATTTATTCTTGTTCTCTTCCCAAGAGTTTCATTGTGTCTGAGATAATGTTTATTTCCTGTATAAATGCTCAATATCTTGGTAGGCACTAGTGGTTGTTAAATAATTATGCATGGAATAAATATATTACATAGTCAATTTTTCTTATTATTTCAACATCCATTATCTAATTTTGTTTCTGTGTGCAATTCAGTAAGTTGGGAAGCAGCAAAGATAATAGAGAAGACTTATGGAGAAAAATATAAGAAGAGGAAACATCCAAATATTGTCCCTGATGAGATATGAGTTATTCTTCTCCAAGACTGCCTCCCTATGGTTGGGAAATACCAAAACTGTGAAAACAAAAATGCCAGCAAGTAGCTTAGACAGTGTCATCTAATGTCACCACCATGCCACAAAGTTTCTGTATGCTATAATCAGGGTTTCTGTTAACCTTCTCTGTGAGTCACTGCATGGACAGAAATTTTAAGGGGACTTATATGTCTTCAAAGAGATGTCAGAATCTTTGACTTTGGCATTGTTCCAACAGTATGTATCAGTAAAATTATATAGCAGAAACACCACAATGTCAAGGTCAGACATTATGGCCACTGAAGCCTAAAATTAGATGCAATATTTTGCAGCATAGAGAAAAGTACATCTTTAAACAAACTTCTTTATTTCCCAGTATTCTGTTTCCTGTAGGTTTTTAAGATATCCACGAATAAGCACTTTGTATATGAAAAACATCCAAGACAACTTTGTCTAGGTTTCTTTCTCAGGCTTAAGAGATTATGTTGCCTCCTTAATTTGTATTAAAATAGTTTTCCCGGCCTATATTAGAAAATGAGGTCTAACCCTTCACGGAAGGTAAAAAGATGCCTCTCTCACCTCCACTCCTAATGACAGGAGAACAATTTGCTATCTCTTTATTTCAGGTTGGATACAGGAGAGTGATTTGATGACTTTCCATAAACTGCACTGTAGGGTGCATTTAAAAGTGGGACCTTAGAAGGGATTGATTTTGTTTTCTCTTTCTATAGCCCCTCACTCTCTTTCATAGCTTTCCTTGCTAGGCACAAAAAAAAGACTGTTTCCCTGCTCGATCTTTTGAGGGTTTACACCACTGTGGCCCCCAGATTCCCAGCATGTTGCTATGTACACAGTACATGCTTAGTAGATGCTTACTAATTGACTAAAATATCAAGCCTCTTGGGTAATCATGAGTATCTTGGATCTCTCCCTATCTGGAAGTTGCTTTTGTTTTCTGACTCTTTTTACTGAAGTAGTGAGATCTAGGTTCTTGCCTGGTTTGTTCTGTGACCTTGAACTAGTGTTTCTACCACTCGAAAACACTTTACTCAGATGGGTGAAATATGGACATAATTAAACCTGTGTTCAATGAAATAGTATGTACTCTTACTTGCTGGCAAATTATTCCCAGGTGAAGCTATTATGCTCCTTCCTGGGTCCATGTCTTACTGAGGTTCCTTGTCTTCCCTTCTGCTCACAGGCAGTGGTAAAAGCTGAGGATTCTGTCCTGGTTCCTCTTAATTCTATTTAGCTTCATGATACATCTCTGGTCGTTGGGTTCCTTTTGTCCCTACAGCCATTCTTCCTGTGTTCCTATATGCTGTGGAATCACAGCACAAAAGCAATAATAGTTTTAGTATGTCAAGGATACCTGAGTTATTTATCTGCTGCCAGCATTGTCTGTTTAGATCTAATGTAAACTGACTTCTCCCTTGCCTAGTGATGACACAGGTCCTGCTTAATTAAATGTGTATGAGCTGTGAATTTTTCCCATTGATATCCTTATCTCCTTCATTTCAGCAAGAGTGTTAACATGCACTCAAAATCTCTACTTAAAGGGAAACAGAAAGTGCCATCACAGATACACATCCCTTACTCCTCTGTTTCAGAAGTTTCACTTTCTCTGCCTAAGTAATGACTGACTTTTCCATAGCATCCTCTTCATTCTCTCGGCATGGGTACATTCGGTGCAACTTATCCTGAACACAGTTTAATTAGTCAATGTACCCAAAGGCAAAGTCAAAGACTCTTCCTCTCCAGTTGGGCAGTGAGGCCTAAGCCCAATGCAGGAGCCTGCAGCCAGCCTCTCACAACTGGTTGAGTGCTGGGCTGCTAGCAGGTAGAGATGCCTATTCCTAGCTATTGACTGCCTGAAGCAGGAAGTAATGGAAAATCCATGTGGGCTGAGGACATACAGGGCACAACCAGAGACAAATGTATGGACCAGTGTAATAATGATGTGGAAGGGATGGCAAAAGGAATGGGGTGTGTGTGCATGCACACGTACACACACCTGTGCATATGTGGGTGCGTGTGTGTTCATTGGTCTCCTTCTCTTCCCTCTCCATTGTTTCCTTCTTTTTCCCATTTTCTCTTGCTCTCTTCTGTTATTAGACCACCAGAGTTGAAATTAGTATTTTAATTAATGTATTTGTTTTAATAAATAAAGCATTTCAAAACAACATAATTGCAAGAACTGAGTGTTAAACTAAACACCAACCTAATTAAATGCATTAGGGATATATAATTCAGTTTATTAGAAATATAATTAACATACTCTTTAAGTCTCCTTGGGCCTTTGTCTTTCTGAAGATAAGACAGAGGAATCATAACCAACTTTAATAAAATGAAAGAGGATGTAAAGGCAAAAAGTGAATAAAAATAATTGGGGAAGGTACAAAGTTCAAAGAGAGTATTCTTTTTCTAAAAACAATGTGACAAAATATATTCAGTGTAAGATTTATTATGCTAGTCATTTTCCATTGTATGAGTTAAATACATTCTTGTGTGTAACCAGTCTCCAGAATTCTTTTCCTTGCAAAGTTGAAGCTGTGTATGCATTAAAAAACATTAAACTCTGTATGCATTCCTATTGACAGGAAGATGATGCTTGAGTTTTACAAATACATTTATTTTTAAAAACATACCACTTTCTACAATTTATTTCAGAAAATAGAAGCAGAGAGAATATTTCCTGACTCATTGTGTGAAGTCAGCATTACTCTAATATCAAATTCAAATAGACTTATGAAAAAATAAAACAATAGACCAATATACATGGATGCAAAAATCTTCAACAAAATATTAGCAAATTGATTCCAACAGTGTATAAAAAGTATTGCACCATGTCAAAGTGGGATGGATTCTAGGCATGCAAATCTTATTCCACATTTAAAAATCAGTAATATATCACAGTAACATATTTTTTATAAAACCATATGATGATTTCGATAGAAATAGAAAAAGCATTTGATAAAATTTAACATCCATTCATAATAATAATATAAAACTCTTAGCAAACTGGGAAAAGAGGGGTCAATTCCTCAAGTTGAAAAATAACATCTAGAAAAACATACAGCTAACATCATACTTAATGGTGGGAAACTACAAGCTTCCCCTCTAAGATCAGGAGGAAGAAAATAATATTGTCTCTCATCACTCCTACTAAACACCATAGTAGAAATTCTAACTAATGTAGTAAGACAAGGAAGGAAAATAAAAGGTACACAGACTGGGAAGGAAGAAATAAAACTGCCTGCGTTCAAAGACAAAATGAAAATCTGAAGAAAAAAAAGTCAACAATGACACTAAACTACTGTACCTAAGTAATCATAGCAGCATTACAGGGTACAAAGTTATAGAAAAGTTAATCATTTTGCTATATACAGGTAAAACACCACTAAGCTAAAAATATGAAATCCAAAATGCTCCAAAATCTGACTTTTTGAGGACCAACGTAAAACTCAAAGGAAATGCTCATTGGTGCATTTTGTATTCACATTTGAATTATGGGTGCTCAACTGGTTAAATATATGCAAATATTCCAATAAAAAAAGCCACTGAAATCTGAAACACTTTTGGTCCCAAACATTTTACATAAGGGGTACTCAATTTGTATCAGCAGTGAATAATTAGAACTTAAAACAAAAAAAAACATTTAATTAACACCTGTCCTAGTTCATTTTTGATTGCTATAACTTAATACCTGAAACAGGATAATTTATTTTTAATAAAATAAATTTATTTCTTATATTTTTGGAGGCTAAGTCCAAGATTGAGATTCTGCATCTGATGAGGGGCCTCGTGCTGGCGCAGACTCTCTGCATAGTCCTAAGGCATCACAGGACATTACATGTCAAGGAAGCTAACTGTGCTGGGTTATGTCTCTCCTTCTCCTCTTATAAAGCCACTAAGATCTCATCGTCATAATTCATTTAATGCCAGGGAAATTAGGATTTTTTACATAAATGTTGGAAGAGAGAAATATTCAAAGCACCAAAACACACACACACACACACACACACACACACACACAGAGAGAGAGAGAGAGAGAGAGAGAGAGAGAGAGAGAGACTTCTTGATTGATATTCTAACAAAGTATGTACAGGAATACCTGAGGAGGGAAGGGGCTTCAAGATGGCTAACTAGAGGCACCAAGCATTATATTTCTCTACAAAGAAGGACAAAACAGCCAGCAGATACACACACAGAAAAAAAGATTTAAGAAAGAACATTGGAATTCAGTAGGAAAGTGACAGGGAACCTCTGAAGTACAAGAGGATAAAGCAGTAAAGCAGCCAGACTGACCAGGATTGGCTTGCAGTTAGGAGAAACTGCAATGCAGATAAAACGTAAGCAAGAGATTCCCAGGTGTCCACGTTTCCACTGGTGTACTCCTGCAATTCTAAACACAGGAGATCCCCTCAGCCCTTCAGGGCCTCAGACTAGAATAGGGAGCTGCCTGGGACCTGAGCACAGCTCCAGAGACGGAATTCACACAAGATTATTCACACCCACTGAGACCCATGACAACATTTTGAGATCCCATTACCCACCACATTGCATTGCACCAAGCTTCAAACAGTCCCCGAACCTCCACATCCCTGGAGCCCACTGACATTCCTTCCACACGCACCCACAGGGATAGACACTAGGAGGGCCCAGTGGTACAGAAAAGTCACCAGCGCTGTAGTGCACATGTGGCCTACAGTTAGAGAACGGGCAGTACAGTGTACCAGGGAGGCTTCCTCCAGAGACAAGCTGAGCCAAAGCACACATTCCAAGAACCTGAGAGTCATGTTCCTGAGGCTGCTAATTCTGACAGCAACCCCCCTCATTCCAGCAAGTGCTGCCATGCACCTGCACACATCATAAGAGGGACTTAGGACTGCCCACTTAGTTGTCATCCTGGGTCCACACCTTCCTGGAGGCATGAACTCACAGTAAGCCCACTGCCTCCAGCAAGAGTTGTTATGCACCTCACACACCTTAAGAGGGACTGGGAACTGGCCCACCCAGGGACTGGGGACTGGCCCATCTTATGGTGTGAGAATAGACACATCATAAAAACTGTTACCACCTGAGTGTGCTGTCCAGTGACCTAATGATAATCTGCCCAGTCACTACAGCCAGCACTCATGTGCACTACTGAGCAGTTCAGACTCACCTGCCCACCGCTGTCACCAGTGCCCCCACATTGTTCAAGAGTCTGGAGATCAAACTATCCCACCTGCTGCAGGTAGCCCCACTGCTAACTGTAGGCACCAACAGTAGGTTGAAAAAGAGGATCAGCCACCCACAATCACCAGTGCCTGTTTATGCTTTCTGAGGGCCTAAGAATGAGCTCACTCAGCATGCTGGTGCCAGCACACAGCATGCTGGGTGTCTAGGGACTGAACTCTCCCTCTGCCTCTTTGGGGGCCTGAGGATAAGTCTGCCCAGCCTGCCATCACCACCACCAACTATGCCCAATAACTTTTTCCAGCCATATATGCTATGTGGAGGCCTCAGAACTGAACTTCCATGACTGCCAACACCATTGCAAGACATTTGAGAGCCCAAGGGTTGGGCCACTGCCATTACTGCCATTGGTGATATCATCCATGCTGTACAGAAAGCCTGATGTCAAGTTACCAGTCTAACCAACTGCTGCCACTGCTGGTATCCAAGTAAGCCACCTGAAGACCTATGGATTGAATATGTTGATCCCACTAAAACTAATGCCCACGTACAACCCCCAGAGGTTCCAGGACAGGCATGCCTATATCACTGCTGCCACAACTGGGGCTCAAGGACCAGCTAACTTGGTGTTCCCTCTGCAGGAAAGTTTCACCACAGGCTTCACAAACAACCATAGCCTAAGCCAATAAGAAACTCACAGACACCACTGATACTGATTACAGAGAAATCATATGGAGACTATACTACTGCATGCACTTAGAAGGAAAGCCAAAGCACCTGAATCATACATATATCTACAGCAAAAGTTTTTTTTTCGATGAAAGACAACCATAAATTTGGAAGATGTGACTGTTACACCAGGTGTATAGATATCAATGTAAGGACACAAGAAAAAGTTTTAAAAATCAAGGAAACTTGATACCTCCAAAAGAACACAATTATCCATGAACAGATTCTAATGAGAAAAAATCTATAAAATGCTAAAAATGAATTGAAAATAGTAGTATCAAGAAGATTCAGTGAAATACAGGAGAAGACTCATAATAAAAAAATAAGAAAAATAATTAATTATCTGAATGAGAAATTCAACAAAGAGGTAGCATTAAAAGAACAAAATAAAAATTCTACAACTGAAAATTTTGAATGAAAATTCAAAATACTATCAGGTGCTTCAAAAACAGACTAGATCAAGGAGAATTAAAAAAAATTGAACTTGAAGACACATCTTTTAAACTCATCTAGTCAGGAAAAAATAAAAATGAAAGAGAAGAAAGAAAAACTATGCGATATATGGGACACTATAAAGTGAATATATTTTTGAATTTCGGGAGTTCTGATAAGAGAGGGACACAGACATAAAACAACTATCTAACAAAATAATAGCTGAAAACTGAAAAGTATTGTAAGAGATAGATATATACAGATATAGAAAACAAAAAATTTCCCCAAATAGGTTTAAACCATAATGGTGTTTCTGATGGCACATTAGAGCGAAACTGTCAAGAGTCAAAGACAAAGGGAAAATTCTAAAAACAGCAAGAGAAAAGTGTCCAGTCACATATAAGGAGATCCCCATCAGACTCAGAGCACATTATTCAACAGAACCATTAAAGGCAAGAGGAGAATGGGGTGATATATACTAAGATGCTAAAAGAGAAAAAACCTCCTGGCCTAAAATATTATGGTCAGAAAAACTATCTTTCAAAAATGAAAAAGAAAGGAAGTTCTTACCACACAAGCAAAAACTGAGGGGATACATCAATACTAGATTGTTCTACAAAAAAAAAAAAAATGCTTAAAAAAGATGTAAGTGTGGAGGTGAAAAGACAATACATACCATCATGAAAACAGGCAAAATTATAAAGCTCACTAATAAAAAATTAAAAGACAAATGAAAAAGAGAAAGTACTCAAATATTGCTACTCTAGAATACCATCAAACTGCAATGATAAACAATGAGAGGGAGAAAGTAATAAAGAGAATACAAAAACAACTAGAAAACAATTTTTTAAATGAAAGAAATAAATCACCTACCTATTCCTAATAACCTTGAATGTAACTGATTTAAATTTTGCACTTAAGCTAGGCATGGTGGATCATGACTATAATCCCAACACTTGGGAGGCTGAGGTGGAAAGATTTCTTGACCCCAGGTATTCAATATAGCCTGAGAAACATAGGAGGTCCCTATCTCTGCAAAGAATTTTAAAACCTAACTGGGCATGGTGGCATATGCCCATGACCCCAGCTACTGGGGGTGCTGAGGTAGAAGGATCACTTAAGCCCCAAAGGTTGAGGATGCAGTGAGCCATGATCACAGCACTGCACCCTAGCTTGGGCAGCAGAGTGCAATTCGACCTAAAAAAAAATAAGTGACTAAAAAGTAAATTATCCATTTAAAAGAAATAGATCTGATAAATGACTTTTTTTTTTTTTTTAAAAAAAAAGAACATGATTCAGTTATATGCTTCCCACAAGAAACCCACTCCACTTGTCAAGACACATAGTCCAAACATGTAGAGATGGAAAAAGACACTTTCACACAATGGATACATAAACCAAGCAAAGGTAGCTACACTTATATTAGACCAAATAAATTTTCAGTTAAAAACTGTTAAAAAGAGACAAAGAATGTCATTAATGATAAAGAGATTTGTTTAGCAAGAGCATGTAACAAGTCTAAACGTATATGTACTCTACATGTGAGAATCAGAATATATAAAGCAAATGTTATTAGATTGATATAGTTTGAATCTGTGTGCCTGCCCAAATTTCATGTTGAATTGTAATCCCCAATGTTACAGGTGGTGCCCCATGGGAGGTAGTTGGATCATGGGGACAGTTTCTCATGAATGATTTAACACCATCCTGTTGGTGGTGTTCTAGTAATAGTGAGTTCTCGTGAGATCCGGTTGTTTAAAATTGTATAGTGCCCCCTCCCACTCTGTCTTGCTCCTGCTCCTGCATATTAAATGGGCCTGCTTCCCCTTCATCTTCTGCCATGATTAGAAGCACCCTGAGAATTCCCCAGAAACAGATGCTGCCATGTCTCCTGAACAGCCTGCAGAACCATGAACCAATTAAACCTCTTTTCTTTATAAATTATACAGTCTCTGGTAGTTATTTCTAGCAATGAAAGAACAAATAAATACAGAAATTGGCACCAAGCAATGGGGCATTGCTGTAAAGATACTTGAAAATGTGGAAGTGATTTTGGAACTGGGTAATGGGCAGAAACTAGAAAAGTTTGGAGAGCTCAGAAGAAGACAGGAAGAAAAGGAAAAATTTGGAACTTCATAGAGACTTATCGAATGGTTGTGACCAAAATGCTGATAGTAAAATGGACAGAGATGTCCTAGCTAATGGGGTTTCACATAGAGATGAATAACTTATTGGGAACTGGAGCAAAGGTCATTTTTGTTATGCCTTGGCAAAGAACCTGGCTGCATTGTGCTCCTATCCTAGAATTCTGTGGAACTTTGAACTTGAGAGTGATGACTTAGGGTGTCTGGCAGAAGAAATTAAGCATCAGATAATTCAAGACATGGCATGGCTGCTTCTAAAACCTAGCCTCATGTGCATGAGCAAAGAAATGACCTAAAATTGGAACTTATATTTTAAAAAGAAACAGCATAAAAGTTTGCATCCTAGCCATGGGGTAAAAAAGAAAAGCCCATTTTCTAGGGATGAATTCAAGCAGACTGAAGAAATTAGCATAAATAAATAAGAGCCAAATGGTTATACACAAGAAAATGGGGAAAAGACCTAGAAGGCATTTCAGAGACACTTGCAGAACCCTCTCTCTTCACAGGCCCAGAAACTTAGGAAGACTGAATGGTATCATGGATCAGGCCCAGGACCCTACTTCCCTGCACAGCCTTAGGACACTGCCCCCCATAGCTCAGCAACTGCAGCTCCATGGGTAGCTTAGTGGGGCCCAGGTATAGCTTAGGCCATTTCTTCCGAAGTTGCAAGCTATAAACCTTGGCAGCTTCCACATGGTGTTAAATCTGTGGGTACACAGAGTTCAATATTTAAGGCTTGGGAGCCCCCACCTGTATTTTAGAGGATGCATGGAAAAGCCTGGATACGCAGCCAGAAGCCTACTATTGGGCAGAGCCCCCATGGAGAATATCAAGTAGGGCAATGTGAGAGAAACATATGGGGTTAGATCTCCCACAGAGGCCCCACTGGGGCACTGCCTATTGGAGCTATGAGAAAAGAGTCACCAAACTCTAGACTCCAGAATGATAGATGCACTAGAAGCTTGCACCATGCACCTGGAAGAGCCACAAGGCATTCAATGCCAGTCCTTGAGAGCAACCACCAGGACTGAGCCCAGCAAAGCCACAAGGCAGAGTTGCCTAAAACCTTGGGAGACCACCACTTCCCTCAGAGTGCCCTGGAGGTGGAACGTGAGGTCAAAGGAGATTATTTTGAAGAAGACTCAAGTAAGTAAGACAAGAATTGAAAAAGGTGACATCATAACTGATACTCCAGAAATAAAAACTATAATTGGAGACTATCATCAATAACTATATGCTAACAAATTGGAAAACCTAGAGGAAATGAATACTTTCCTAGACATATAAAGCCTACCAAGAGTCAAAAAAAGAGAAATGTAATTTTTTTTAGATGGAGTTTCGCTATTGTTGCCCAGGCTGGAGTGCAACGTCACAATCTTGGCTCACCACAAACTCTGCCTCCTGGATTCAAGCGATTGTCCTGCCTCAGCCTCCCAAGTAGTTGGGATTACAGGCATGCACCACCACGTCTGGCTAATTTTGTATTTTTAGTAGAGACAGGGTTTCTCCATATTGGTCAGGTGGTCTTGAACTCCCAACCACAGGCAATCTGCCAGCCTTGGCCTCCCAAAGTTCTGGAATTACAGGCATGAGCCACCATGCCTGGCCAAGAAAAAGAAAATATTAACAGACCAATAATAAGTAATGAGATGACACCAGTGACAAAATGTATCTCAACTAAGAAAATCCTAGGACTGGATGGTTTTTCTGTTAAATTCTATCCAATTTATAGTAAAAAACTAAAACCAATTCCTTTTAAAGTATTCTGAAAATTTGAAGAGATGGGAATTTTTCCTAACTCATACTATGAGACCAACATTACCATAATCCCAAGATCAGACAAGGACACAACTAAAAATTAAAACTACAGGCCAATATCCCTAATAAGCATCAGTGCAAAAATTCTCAGCAAAATCTAGCAAGCCAAATCCAACAACACATTAAAAAGATAATACACGATCAATATATCTACTTTATTCTAGGTAGGGAAGGTTGTTTCAACACACCCAAGTCAATAAATGTGATATATCACATTGACAGAAAGAAGAACAAAAAGCATATGTTTATCTAAATAGATGCAGAAAAAGCATATGATAAAATTCAACATGCCATCACTTTCAACAAATTAGGCATAGGAACAGATTTCAACATAACCCACAACTAATATCATACTGAATGGTGAAAAGCTACAAGCCTTTCCTCTAAAACCTGGAACAAGACAAATATACTCACAGTCTTCACACCTGTTCTGTACAGTACTAGAATTCTTAGCCAGGACAATCAGGCAAGTGAAAGAAAGAAAAATCATTCATATTAGTAAAAAGAAATCTCAAATTTTTCCTTTTCACAGATGACATGATCTTACATATAAAAACCCTAAAAACTCTATGAAAAACCTCTCAGAACTGATAAATGAATTCACTGAAATTGAAAGTTACAAAATCAACATACATAAATCCGTAATATTTCTATTTACCAGTAATAAACTATCTGATAAAGAAATTAAAAAACAATCACATTAATAATAGCTACCAAAAATACCTAGGAATAAATTTAACTTAGTATATGAAAATTTCTACAAGGAAATCTGGAAAACACTAATCAAATAAACTGAAGAGTACACACACACCCCACAAATGGAAAGATATCTCATGCTGAAGAAATTGATATTGTTAAAGTGACCATATGTCCCAAAGCAATCTATAGATTTCATACAATCCCTATCAAAATACAAATAACATTTCTCACAGAAATAGAAAAAGCAATTCTAAAATTTGTATTGGACCAAAAATACCCCAAATATTCAAAGCAATACTGAGTACAAAGAGAAAAATAGAAAGCATCACACTACTTGACTTCCACATATACTACAAAGATATAATAAAATAGTGTGATACTGGCACAAAAACAGACACATAAACTAATAAAACATATTTACAGTTTACTGATTTCATAGGGGAAAGGACACCCTTTTCAATAAATGATTCAGAGAAAACTGTATACCCAGATGAAGTATAAAATAAGACCCCTAAATTTTACTATACACAAAAACCAAGTCAAAATGTATTAAAGACTTAAATGTGAGTCTTAAAACTATGAAGCAACTAGAACAAAATACAAGGAAAACGCTTCAGGGCATTCATCTAGGAAACTATTTTATAGCTAAGATTGCAAATACTTCAAAAGCACAGTCTACAATACAAAAAATAAATGGGACTATATTAAACTAACAAGCTTCTTCACTGTAAATTTAATTATTAACAGGAAGAAGAGACACAACATGGAATGGGATCAAATATTAACAAACTATTCATCTTTCAAGAGGCTAACATTCAGAACATACAAGAAATTCAAACAACTCAACAGTAAAAATAAAAATAATTTCATTAACATGTGGGCAAAGGATCTCAATAGACATTTCTCAAAAGAGAACATACATTTGGCCAAGTATATGAAAAAATTTTCAACATTACTAATCAGGAAAATCCAAATCCAAATCACAATGAATAGACTCCCTAGTAAAAATGGCTTTATCTAAAAGAAAAAAGTAATAAATGTGTGTGGAGAAAATAAGAAGAGGATTTGGAGAAAATTGAGCACTTATACCGTGTTGATGGCAATGTAAGTTAGTATACAGTCATTATGAAAAACAGTATGGAGGTCTCTCATAAAACTAAAAATAGAACTACAATATGAGCCCGCAATCTCACTGACAGGTATTTATCCAAAAGAAAGGAAATCAATATATTAAAGAGATACCTGCACTCCAGTCTTTATTGCAGCACTAGTCACAATAGCTAATATATAAAACCAACTTATTTTCATTAACAGCTGAATAGATTTAAAAATGTGATACATATACATAATATTACACAGACATAAAAAATAAAATCCTATGATTTCAACATCATGGACAGAACTCGGGGTCATTATGTTAATTGAAATAAGCCAGGTATAGAAAGATAAATATTACATGTTCTCACTCATATATAGGGGCTCAGAGCATTGCTGTTATTGAAATAGAAAGTAGATTATAACTAGTGTCTGGTAAGGTCAGTGAGGAGAATTAAGACGGGTTGGTTAACGGGTACACACATACAGTTAGATAAAAGGGATAAGTTTTAGCGTTTAGTAGTACAGTAGATTAACTACAGTTAATTATAATCTATTTGCATTTATCTAAATTGATAGAGCAGAGATTTGACATATTCCCAACACAAGGAAATGGCAGACATTTAAACCCTTATTTGATCATTACACATTGTTTAGGCATATCAAAATATCACATGCACCCCATAAATATGTATAATTATTATGTATCAATAAACATTTTTAGAAACAATATATGAGGAAAGTACAAACTTGTGGTGAAAGAAATTAAATAAGAGTCAAATAGATGGATATTCTATATTCAGGGAGAAGACCCAATAATGTTAAGATGTGAGTTTTTCTCAAGTTGATCTACAGATTAAATGCAATCCTGGTAAAAATCTCAACAGTTATTTGCTGAATTGACAAAGTGATTCTCAAGTTTATATGGCAGGGCAAATGATACAGAATATCCTGTACAACAATAAAAAAGAATGAAGTCAGAAGGCTGACAATATCAGACTTCAAGGTTTACTATAAAGCTACCCTCCCCCTTCCCCTCCCCCTCCCCCTCTCCCTCTCCCTCTCCACGGTCTCCCCCTGATGCCGAGCGGAGGCTGGACTGTACTGCCGCCATCTCGGCTCACTGCAACCTCCCTGCCTGATTCTCCTGCCTCAGCCTGCCGAGTGCCTGGGATTGCAGGCATGCGCCGCCACGCCTGACTCGTTTTTGTATTTTTTGGTGGAGACGGGGTTTCGCCGTGTTGGCCGGGCTGGTCTGCAGCTCCTCACCGCGAGTGATCTGCCTGCCTCCGCCTCCGGAGGTGCCGGGATTGCAGACGGAATCTCGCTCAGTCAGTGCTCAATGTTGCCCAGGCTGGAGTGCAGTGGCGTGATCTCGGCTCGCTACAACCCCCACCTCCCAGCCGCCTGCCTTGGCCTCCCAAAGTGCTGAGATTGTAGCCTCTGCCTGGCTGCCACCCCGTCTGGGAACTGAGGAGTGTCTCTGCCTGACCGCCACCCCGTCTGGGAGGTGAGGAGCATCTGCACGGCCGCCCCGTCTGAGAAGTGAGGAGTCCCTCTGCCCAGCAGCCGCCCCGTCTGGGAAGTGAGGAGCCCCTCCGCCCAGCAGCTGCCCCATCCGGGAGGGAGGTGGGGGGCAGCCCCCGCCCTGCCAGCTGCCCCCTCTGGGAGGGAGGTGGGGGGCAGCCCCCGCCAGGCCACTGCCCCGTCCGGGAAGTGAGGGGCCCGTGTGCCTGGTGGCCACCCCATCTGGGAGGTGTACCCAACAGCTCATCGAGAACGGGCCATGATGACGATGGCGATTTTGTCAAATAGAAAAGGGGGAAATGTGGAGAAAAGAAAGAGAGATCAGATTGTTACTGTGTCTGTGTAGCAAGAAGTAGACATGGGAGACTCCATTTTGTTCTGTACTAAGAAAAATTCTTCTGCCTTGGGATGCCATTAATCTATAACCTTACCCCCAACCCCCTGTTCTCTGAAACATGTGCTGTGTCCACTCAGGGTTAAATGGATTAAGGGCGGTGCAAGATGTGCTTTGTTAAACAGATGCTTGAAGGCAGCATGCTCTTTAAGAGTCATCACCACTCCCTAATCTCAAGTACCCAGGGACACAAACCCTGCGAAGGCCACAGGGTCCTCTGCCTAGGAAAACCGGAGACCCTTGTTCACATATTTATCTGCTGACCTTCCCTCCACTATTGTCCTATGACCCTGCCAAATCCCCCTCTCTGAGAAACACCCAAGAATGATCAATGAATACTAAAAAAAAAAAAAAAAAAAAAAAAGAGAGTGACGAACTGGGATATCTGGTGGAAGAAATATCTAAGCAGCAAAGCATTCAGACTGC
Organism: Homo sapiens; assembly: GCF_000001405.40. NCBI lineage: Eukaryota > Metazoa > Chordata > Mammalia > Primates > Hominidae > Homo > Homo sapiens. The sequence continues at coordinate 19,536,510 of NC_000024.10, forward strand.
TGTGTGGCTGTTTTTAACTGCATGCAATCAGATGTGAGAGGAAAGAAATAAAGATGGAATTTATAATTAAAAAAAAATAAAGCTACACTATTCAAGACCGTGTGACATTAGTAAAAGAATAAACAGATCAAAGAAACAAAATAGAATGTCAGACACGGACACATATAAATAAAGTCAACTTGTCTTTAAGAAACAAGCAAAGGCAATAGAAGTAATATAGAAAGAATAGTCTTTTTAACAAATGATCCTAGAACTCTACATCTACAGTAAAAAATAAATTTTTTTCACAAAAATTAACTCAGAATGAATTATATACCTAAATATAAAACAGAACCATAAAATTCTAGGATTTTTGAATCCTAGACTTTTAATGTAAGTTATGTATATAACAAAATTTTTATATATAAAAATACATGTAATATATATTTTTACTTTATATATAAACATATAAGTTTTATAAATCAACTTGTACAGTACATAAAAGTTTAAGAAGATAACACAGGAGTAAATGTAAATTACCTTGGGTATGACAATTGACTTTTTTTTTCTTTTTGGAGATGGAGTCTCATTCTGTCGCCAGGCTGGAGTGCAGTGGTGTGATCTCAGCTCACTGAAACGTCTGCCTCCTGGGTTCAAGCAATTCTCCTGGCTCAGTTCTCCAGTAGCTGGGACTTCCTATCTCAGCCTCCCGAGTAGCTGGGACTATAGGTGCGGACAACCACACGCAGCTAAGTTTTGTATTTTTAGTAGAGATAGGGTTTCACCATGTTGGCTATGAGGTCTCCATCTCTTGACATCGTGATCCACCCACTTTGGCCTCCCAAAGTGCTGGGATTACAGGAGTGAGCTACCATGCCTAGCCAACAATTGACTTTTTAGATACAACACCTAAGACATGCTCCATTTAAAAATAATAATAAGTTGGACTTAGTTATGATTTAAAAACTTCCATTATGCACTGTTAACAGAATTTAAAGATAAAGTACATTCTGCAAAAAATATTTGCAAACACATGAGTGATAAAGGATTAGTATTTAAAACATACAAAGAACCCTTAAAACTTAACATAAGGAAACAAACAACCTTATTAAAAATAGCTAAAATCCTCACATGGAGCACCAAAAAAACAACAACAGCAAAGTAAAAGAACTGAAGAACTGAAGAGACACCTCACCAAAAAAGATATACAGATTACAAATAAGCATATAAAATTACTTTATGTCATATGTCATTAAGAAATTACAAATTTAAAAAATGAGATATAGCTACATATCTGTTGGAATGTAGATAAACAATGAAAATACCAAATGCCATTGAGGATGCTCCAAATGGAGCAACAGAAACATTCATTCATTTCTGGTGGGAATGCAAAATTATAAAGCCACTTGGGGAGAAAGCTGGGCAGTTTTTTATAAAACTAAATAGAATATCACCATCTAATTCAACAAGTACATTTTTTGGTATATACCTAAAGAAGCTGAAAACTCATGTTTATATAAAATCCTGCATTCGAATACCTACTGCAGCTATATTCATAATTGCCAAAACTTGGAAGCAACCAAGATGTTTTTCAATAGGTGAATTATTAATAAACTGTGGTCCACCCACACAATTGAATATTTTTTAGCAATAAAAATAAATGAGCTACCAAGCCACGAAAAACATATTGCTAAGTGAACGAACCCAATCTTAAAAGGCTACATACTGTATGATTACAACTATATAACATTTTGGAAAAGACAAAACTATAGAGAAAGTAAAAGGATCAGAAGTTGCCATGTGAGGGAGGAAGGAATGAATAGTCAAGAGCACAGAGTATTTTTAGGCCAGCGAAAGTATTCTGTATAATATACTAATAATGAATACGTTTCGTTACACATGTGTGAACAAATGTAGAATGTATAATGCAAAGAGTGAATACTGGCTGGGTGCGGTGGCTTACGCGTCTAATCCCAGCAGTTTGGGAAGCCGAGGCAGGCAGATCACGAGGTCAGGAGATGGAAACCATCCTGGCTAACACAGTGAAACCCCGTCTCTACTAAATATACAAAAAATTAGCTGGGCATGGTGGTGGGCGCCAGTAGTCTACTTGGGAGGCTGAGACAGGAGAATGGCGTGAACCCAGGAGGCGGAGCTTCTGGGGAGCCAAGATCAGGCCACTGCACTCCAGCCTGGGTGACAGAGTGAGACTCCATCTCAGAAAAAAAAAAAAAAAAAGAGTGAATCCTTATGTACATTATGGACTTGGGTTTATAGTAATGTATCAATATTGGTTCATCAGTTGGAAAAAATGTACTATACTAATTAATGCAAGATGACAAATATAAAAACATAGGGAGGGAAGATATGTGAGAACTTTCTATAATTTCAGGCTAATTTTTCTTTAAATGTGAAATTTCAAAAAATCTATTAACTTAAAAATAAATATTTTCATTTCTTATTCTTAATCTCCTTCCAGTTATAAAGTATCCAGAAATGTCCTGTTTGTATGATATCTGTTATCAAAAACTGGAGAAGAAAAGTGCTACAAAGAATCAGCAGAACTCCACTGGAGTTTCACCAGTTTGATATATTCAGGCTAATGCACATTACTATTGCACAACACAAGAGCCTTCCCTTGACCTGACTTCCAGTAAACAGTTTCCTTCCTCACACTTTGGAGAAAACGATATAGGGTGTTAATATATTCAGTAATATCATAAGGTGATGACAAACAAAAACCCAGAGGAGATGGTCAATTTTTAGAAATTGTATCTGCTTCACTGGGCAGCAGCTGGAATCAAGGAGCTGTAAAGAACATCCCCTTCTTTGATTTGTGAAGTTGCCTAAAATTGGCAAACTACACTGCCTGTACACATGGGGTCTTTACAAAGGGAGAAGGTGCTTAAGAAAGGCCTATATTAGGGAATCACTGCAGGCACCTGAGCAATTTTTAAGCCAACATCCAACATCCTTTACTTTTCAGCTCAAGTCATAAAGATATGAAAAAAAATAATAATAATTTATTTTTGACTTGGCTATTTTAAGTTGAAATTTTTATCTTTCTTATTTTATCATGTATTTAGAGAATTAAATTTTAATAGACCTTCTACTTTGTTCTTCATAGTTGCCTTGTAGAACTTGAGCCTCTTTTGACCTTATGACCAGTCCTCATCTTCTAATCCATCAGGTACAGGGCTCAGTTTCTGTGACTACTTTGCCTGGTGCTGTCTTTTCTCTCTGCAGCTCACCTCCTTTTGATCATAGCCAAGTATTCAGGTTGAAGATTAGACATTTTGACCATTCTGGCTGGCTCTCTCCCTGAATCTGAAACTATCAACAAAGAAGAAACACCGTTGGGGCTAATTAGGGTCCATCGTTAAAATATGCTGAACTTAAGCCCATAACTCCTCCCATCTTATGTTGTTATTCACAAATTAAGCATTTATTTGGGGTAATAAATCAATAGGTTTATGAGAAGTTTCACAGACAGCCAAAAAGGGAGAAAACCCCTCTCCAGAAATCTTCATTAAAAAGTTGAGTGAGGCCGGGTGTGGTGGCTCAGGCCTTTAATCCCAGCACTTTGGGAGGCCAACGTGGGCGGATCATGAGGTCAGGAGTTTGAGACCAGCCTGGCCAAAACAGTGAAACCCCATCTTTACTAAAAATACAAAAAAAAAATTAGCCAGACATGGTGGCACCGGTATTTTGGAGGCTGAGGCAGAAGAATCACTTGAATCCAGGAGATGGAGGTTGCAGTGAGTCAAAGTCGCACCACTGCACTCTAGTCTGAGCGACAGAACCAGACTCCATCTGAAAAAACAAACAAAAACAAAAACCTGAGTGAACAGAACTGGGGTGTCTCTGGTGCACCCCTAATCTGGTGTCTTCACCTTTCCTACCTTCTTGCTAGCTCTCAACTGCCTGACCCAGCCCATCTCACATCTTTTTGCCCACATCTGTGCTCCTGGGAGAGATCTTGACGAAGACAGCAAGTTCATCCCGCCCACACCCAGTGCTGGCCCGCAATTGGCTGAGCTTGCAGTAAGGACGCTAGCCAGAGAAGCAAAGTTTATTTCAACTTAATGTATGATCTTCCCTGGATTTGTGAGCTACCCTAACTCAACATCCTCCCCTCAGTTTGTACTCGTCTACAGTAGGCTTTCATATTCAACTAAGGGTTAGAAAGCACTTTCTTTCCAGGTACATTAAAGCTGGGACCGGGAGTCTGGGCCAGTCCTATACGACGACTTTGGAAGACCTCGAAGGAAAGGATAGCCTAGGAATCATCTCGTTTGGACCTCCCTCGCCCTACCACGTGCATAGTCTCTATGGACTAATGCTCTCTATGTATAGTAGGTTCCAGCGGAGTATAGGAGAGCTAAAAATAGAAAAATCCTTACTCGCTGGGACACAGGGAAGACATAGGAACGACTACGCTTTTTCTTTAATACCGAACCCAAGTCACTCTTGCACTTTATTGTCAGCACACATTCTGACTGTAAAAGCCTTTACTGCCGCCACGCGAGAGAGTTCGAAATATTGTTCAAATATTTCTGCACTTTAGACAAACCCATCTTATCAGTACAGAAGCTGGACTCTATACTCCATTCGGCCGAGGCTTGCAACCTGAATCAACGGCATCTCCACCTCTTTTGGAGATCCCATCCTTTTGTGGGGGAAGGGGTCTCGCTCTGTCGCCCAGGCTGGAGTGCAGTGGCGTGATCCGGGCTCGCTGAAACTTCTTCCTCCCGGGTTCAAGTAATTCTCCTGCCTCAGCCTCCCGAGTAAGTTGGACTTACAGGCACCCTCCACAACACACGACTAATTTTTCTATTTTTAGTAGAGAAGGAGTTTCACCGTATTGGCGAGGCTGGAACTCCTGACCTTGTGATCCACCCGCCCCCGCCTTCCAAAGTGCTGAGATTACAGCTGTGAGCCACCGACCCTGGAGATCCCATCTTTTACCAGGCTGGCTCCTGAAAGGGTGAGAAGCTGCTCAATGCACACGCGGGACAAGTCGGGAAATTAGCTGTAGGTGCACAGGATAGAGGAGGGAGGGAAGGCCACAAGATTTATTTAAAGATGTTCAACAAGAAGCGAGAGAGACACGCACCTGAAAACCTCTGAGCCGTGAAATCTCAGGAGTCCTATTTTAACTCGCGGACGAGTAGTTTCCGGTCCCTACTTAGCTCAGCCGCGAGTCTCTCTGACAGCACATCAGCAACTCTGCAAGCCCTTCAGTGCCTAAATGGATTTCGAACCTTGCTTGCATTCTGCTCTGCTGCGAAGGCTCTCCTAATTCCCCACCTCTAACTTGTCCCAACCCACATCCTGCCTCCCTGGGTAGGAGCCAGCGCCTTGCCTCTGGGGCTTCGCTAGAGAAGCCTAGGGCGCGGTCGTTTGCATCCATCCCTGCGGTTGCAATTCCCAAAGCCTTAGCAATTTGCCACTCTATCACAGGTGACTGAAACTTCACACTAGCCTTGCTCACCTTCATGACAACCTCCCAAACCCGCTTGCTTTGCTTTCCTTGCCACTTGCAGTGAGTTTTCTTTAGAGTGGAACCCAGATTCCGCCTCGAAGTTTTGTAATTTGCAACAGCATAAAGGGAACTGAAGAACATTATGTTAAGTGAAATATCTCAGGCACGGAAAGACAGACTTTTGAGTCAGCGGCCGAACTTTGTGCCTAAATTCTTCGCTGCGAACGATACCAAGATAAGCCCAAGCTATGGGACATCAGGCCAAGAAGTGCTCACACGCAAGACAGAACAAAAGTGGGAGAAGCAAAGCAAAACACTTCAGGTCGACCAAAAAGATTGGCAAGCGCAGGCAAAAGGCTAGAACCAAAATACTGGAGATCAGGAAGTGTGTGCACAAGTCACTGACGCTATAGGAGTAGCCAATATATATGAGCCTTGCATCTCATACCACATTTAGCCCACCCAGTCACCAGCACCGGGATCTGCAGCCTCTACTTGTCTGTCTGTTTAAGCCCTGCCAGCGAGTAGCAGAGCCTACAGCATGGTCTTCACTGTTCTGGACCCCTTGGTGCCTGCCATTCCCTGGGCTGAGGACACAAGTAGTGGCACTTTCTCAGGGCATGAGCACAGCAGTTGCTTAGCTTCTATCTCAGTCCTGGTGGCTAAAGTCAATAGTCATCTTTAACTCCATGGTGCAATAGGGACTGGCGCTTTCTCTGTATGCATTTTCCACTCCTAGTCATCAATAGAAAGAAACTTATAGTACAACCTGCAGAACAAGAAACAGTACAATGCAAGAATAAATCCCCAATCTGAGGTTCTCTGGTTCTTTTCTGGCTCAATCACAGTCACTCCCTTTCCCATTATTTCTTTTTTAGCAGGCTGCTCAAACTTGACATTAAGCAAACTGCTTTTCCTACAGGGCTATCTGTGCCCATACGCTATCCACTCCCCTCCCCTCACCCATTCCTTTCCACCACCACCACCACCCACACACATCGAGTCATTCTAACTCTTCTTATTTCCCAACAGGCTTCTGGGACAACAAATAATCTGTCTTGTTCTAGTTTACAAAGGTGAGGACAAGAGGATATTAAGGTGTCTAAACACTCCTGCAAGAACCAGAATTCAGAAGAAGAGGAAGTTCCCAAGTTAATAGTTGCTTTTTCAGATAATTATGTGTCCAGAAAAAAATATTTTCTTCTTTATCAAGGCATAAAAACACGATTTGTTCTGTCCTTACAGAGAAAGAAAATTGTGATAAACGAATGGAGTAGGGACAGAAGAGAATAAATGCACATCTCTGAAATATGCAGTTTTCATTTTCCAGTATGGAAACATGAGAGAAACTGAGTTGAAGGATTTTGGATCCTAATCAAGTTAAATTATGTTATGTTAACAAATTGAAGTGCTTTCCTCTACCCTTTATGTTGAGTTATATTATCTACTTTACATACTATTTTTATTATATCTTAATATCAGTATGAACTAAGTTGGAGATCTTGCTGTCATTATAACCTATTGAGTAATCATTTCAGAAAAAACATCATGTAATAGTATTTCTAGTAAGAGATACATTGGAAAGGAACTGTTGGAAGATGACAGTTAATAATATCTGGGCCACAGCTCTTTGTAAACCTAATAGCTGTTAGAGAGCCACTACAGAGAAAAAAATATTCTACTCTCTCAGAACTAACATATATAAATAAAGCTGATACCTGAGCCTTCTACAGATTCATCCCTGGCTTACTATTAGGTCTAGCATCCTGAAAGTGTGTAATGTAGGCTTTTTAAGGCCAACCTTTACCTATTTTTATGAAGTTCAGCTCTAGAGGTTATAGGAAACTCTAAAAAAAATGTACCCCTCAAAGGAAATGACATTCTACAGGCAGATATTGCTATACAGTGGCTACAGTTTTATCACTAGCAATATTGAGCAGGTGTCACTACCAGACTCCTTGAACACTTCCTACAGGTTGTGTCCTCCTCCATATGCCACCATTTGAAGCAAAGGCAATAGTTGCACCAAGAGAGACACACCCTCCAATATCTGCCCTAAAGTGTTAGTCTAGAATATAAAGAACTTGAAGTAAAAAGAAAAAAAAAATCTAAAAAACAAATTGTTTTCATATTTGAGTTTGAAAAGCTATGAAATGTATTTTAAGATGCCACACTGGCAAAATTTGATCAGTTTTGATGGACACATTTCCTTGGTTTCTTATTTACCTTCCCTTGCAATATGATGGATTATTCTTTTTTTTCCTTATTGCCTAGATAAAAAAGAGTCTGTGCCTTAGTAGAATAATTTTCTCCTCATTATTTGTCTTCATTTTTTTGAAGGAAAAAATACAAAAAAAGTTTTCCACTTTTGAATGTAATATTTTTCAAAATCACATATTAACTTCTTCACTTCTGTATTTATTTTTACATGTTTTATTGTCTCCTTTAAGTGGGTAACCAAATATTGTTTCTCAGACACCAATGGTCCTATCTTAATGAAATGTTCACATACCCTTTGAGCTTTTTTCCCCTTTCCAAGTCAGATTAATTATAAAATGGAATAAAATAAAACTTTCGGGGTATATTTTATACCTAAAATGATTTTTGAGATTTTGACTCTTAGAAAAATCACAAATATGTGTTATTTCATATTAAGAAGAAAATCGATGATGATAAAATTTATTTGATATGGTACTATTAAAGTGTTTTATTAGAGCTATCAAATCGGAAGGCATACACAGACTACCCTGTGTTAAATTTGAATAAACAAAACCTTATTTACACACATAGTTCAGAAATCATATGCTGTACCTGAAGTTCCTAAAGATTTGTCAATAAACTTGCTCTCTAGTATGTTTTTTTTTAAATCAGAATACTGTGGTTACTTAGCCTGATATTAAGCCAAAACAATATGGCATTATCAGTAATAATTTTTTAAGATATTAACTTCATCACAACTTTACATTTTCAGTTTAATACACCATCTTCTGGCCCACTAATTTCTATTGGGATGCATCTCTTAAGTTTTATTAAAATATAGATGGTGTATTAAAATACTGGCTGAGCATGGTTGGCGCACACTTTAGGAGGCTGTCACACTCATATGGTTGGCTGGCACTTTAGGAGGCTAAGGCAGGAGGATTCCTTGAATCCAGAAGTTGGAGAGCAGCTTGGGCAGCATAGTGAGATCCTGCCTCTCCAACAACAAAAACAAAATATATACGTGGTTAGGATATTCTCCAGATTCACTAAATTTCTTCACTTAATATTCTCGGTATATTCTTAATACATTGTTTCTATGTTCTTAACACATTTTCACTATATTCATTATAAGTATGCACATTCTCCTAAAAAAGTATAAAATTTCAAGATATTTTCCTGTCTGGGAAAAATTTATCTATTTTTGTATCAGATATGTTATTCAGTACATTATTTGAAAATAGTCATTCTTATCTCTGTAGACATTGTTTTTAAACTTTTTTGTATTAGCTTTGTTTTGCAAACCACAAATGCAATTAAATTTCCCTGTCAGTTCCAATTTTTTTTTATTATTAACTCATCAGATATTTTATGTTTAAAAGTGATTAGTAATAAGTTAATTATGGCCATTTTAAGCATTGTTTATCTAAAGATAGCTTTTTATTTGCTTCTATGAAAGCTCAAGCTCTTGCAATCAGCTACAGGCCAGAGTACTTCATTTTCAACACGGAAGTTCTATTTCAGAGCCCCATAGTTCTTTACATTATTGACACTTCAAATAAAGCCTTGGCTACATTCTTCTGATGACATAGCTTAGACAATTTTGAGACAGAGTCAGGATTTCCAGTCTCTTCTCTGATTTTTATTCTTTAGAGTTGGGGTCTCACTATATGGCACAGGCTGGTTCAAACCCCTATTTCAGGGGATCTGCCTACCTCAGTCTACTGAGTAGCTGAAACTACAGGTAGGTGTCCCACTGAACACCTGGCTCAAAACTCTTTTTAGTAGAAAAGTAATTGGGTTCATGACACTATTAATTCAAGGTCTAGCAATATAAGAATTATATTCAGGTTACAAATACCTGAATGAACAAATAAGGAAACATTCTTTGAAATATTCTTGACATTATTTTAAGTCTTTAGATCTGGACACATAAGAAGTCTTTTCTCTTTCTTTTTAAGCTATCTGTAATGTATAACAATCTAGTAGGTTCATTATGCTTTTTAAAATGGAAATTAAGCTTTTGTAAATAAAATCTTATCCTCCTTGCCTGATGGCTTCAGAAATTGAAAACTCTTTTTTTTCCTTAATTATACTTTGAGTTTTAGGGTACATGTGCACAACACGCAGGTTTGTTACACAGGTATACATGTGCCATGGTGATTTGCTGCACCCATCAACTCGTCATTTACATTAGGTATTTCTCCTAATGCTATCCCTCCTCTAGCCCACCATTCCCCAACAGGCCCCAGTGTGTGATGTTCCCTGCCCTGTTTCCAAGTGTTCTCATTGTTCAATTCCCACCTATGAGTGAGAATATACAATGTTTGGTTTTCTGTCCTTGTGATAGTTTACTGAAAAACATGGTTTCCAGCTTCATCCATATCCCTGCAAAGGACATGAACTCATCCTTTTTTATGGCTGCATAGTATTCCATGGTATATACGTGCCACATTTTCTTAATCCAGTCTATCATTGATGCCCATTTGGGTTGGTTCAAGTCTTTGCTATTGTGAATAGTGCCGCAATAAACATACATGTGCGTGTGTCTTTATAGCAGCATGATTTATAATCCTTTGGGTATATATCTAGTAATGGCACCACTGGGTCAAATGGTGTTTCTAGTTCTAGATCCTTGAGGAATCACCACACTATCTTCCACAATGGTTGAACTAATTTACACTCTTATTAAGAGTTTCTTGGCTGGGCATGGTGGCTTATGCCTGCAATCCCAGCATTTTGGGAGGCAGAGGCATGCAGATCGCTTCAGGTCAGGAGTTCAAGGTGTGCCTGGCCAAACTGGCAAAACCCTGTCCCTACCAAAAATACAAAAATTAGCTGGGCGTGGTCACACATGTTTGCAATTCCAGCTATTTGGGAGGCTCAGGCAGGAAAATCACTTGAACCTAAGAGGCAGAGGTTGCAGTGAGCCAAGATCGTGCTACTGCACTGAAGCCTGGGTGACAGAGTGAAGTTCTGTCTCAAAAAAATTAACAAAAATATTATTTTACTCATGTCTATATAGTATTTCCTCAGGCTTAAAAATAACCCATTATTCTTGGTAAGAGAACATAACTGGAAACATTGATAACACAATGAATTTTTTTTTTAATACTGTGGGTTTTTTTTTTTCTGTTTTTGTTGTTGTTTTTTGAGATGGAGTCTCTCTCTGTCACCCAGGCTGAAGTGCAGTGGTGCAATCTCGGCTCACTGTAACCTCCGCCTCTGGGGTTCAAGCTATTCTCCTGCTTCAGCCTTCCAAGTGGCTGGGATTACAAGTAGCTAGGACTACAGTGCATGCCACCATGCCCATGCGACCACACTTAGCTAATTTTCGTATTTTTAGTAGAGATGGCGTTTCACCATGTTGGCCAAGGTTGTTGAATACTGTGTTTTAAAATAATGTTCGTTTACTTAGATATGACCAGATACTTTCAAGGAGCTAAGGCTGACAGCGGGGAGCCAATGATTACAGAACTCTCTTGGAAAAACTGATATGATATCAGGCTTAAGGATCTAGCTGTACAGTTAATAAGAAGGGTCACTTCCTGAGAGACATGGTATTTTAAGAACTTCAAAAATAGATGGATTCCCCTGATATAGTTTGGGTATTTGTCCCCTCAAAATTTCATGTTGAAATGTGATACCAATGTTGGAGGTGGGACACAGTGGTAGTGTTTGGGTCACCAGGGCAGATCGCTTATCTATTAGTTACAGAAAGTTCTAGTTTTTAAAATAGTCCCCATCTTCTATTCTTTCTCTTGTTCCCTCTCTCACTATGTGGCATGCCTTCTGCCATGAGTGAAAACTTCCCAGGCCTTCACCAGAAACAGTGTTAGCACTATGCTTCTGGTACAATATGTAGAACTGCAAGGCAAAATAGATCTCTTTTGTTTATAAATTACCTAGCCTTATGTATTTCTTTATAGTCAAAGTGGACTAATATATCACTCCAATATAGAGATGCTGCAAGAAAAATCTGATGCAGAGTTCTTGGCCTTGTCTTCCTAGACAGAGAAGCTTTAAAAAGTCCACTATGAGAGTCTTTATAAAACCTTCAAGAATATCAGCTTTGACACATCTGTATCATAAATTGCCATTCATGTTAAACTTAGGAATATAGTCATATTGAACCTAATGAAACTAGCCTCGTTTTATGATCAGGAATTATTGTTCTCTGAAAAGTTAAAAAACTGAATAGGAGAGACTGTATTTGTGAAAACTGCATGTTTACATACAGCAAACACTTCTTATGATCTGCAGTTTTGAGACCCTTCCTTCCCTCCCTCCCTTCCTTACGTCCTTCCTCCCTCCCTCCTTCCCTCCCTCCCTCCTCTCTCTCTCTTTCTTTCCCTCCCCTTTTCTTTTTTCTTTTCTTTCTTTCTTTTTCATTCATTCTTTCTTTCTTTTCTTCTTTATCTTTCTTTTTTCAGACAGGATCAGATCACTCTGTTATGTGATCATGGTTCAATGCAGCCTCAATCTCCTGGACTAAAGTGATCCTCTCATCTCAGGCTTCTGAGTAGCAAGGACTACAGTGCATGCCACCATGACCAGAAAATTTTTCTATTATTTATACAGGCATGGTTTTGCCATTTTGTCCTGGGCTAAAGCAATCTGCCCACTTCAGCCTCCCAAAATGCTCAGACCATAAGTGTGTGCTACTGCACCCAGCTAGGTATTTTCACATCTGGGTTTGTATTATTTCATCGTCTTGCTCCACATAATTTACTATTCCAGGAAACCTGCCTGAAAAGATAAATCTGGCAAATTAACTTGATTATAGATAGTCACTGAAAGATGCTTCCATTGAAAGCATCAAATCAGTTTATTTGTGCATTTGCCTCTTAGGAAGCTATAACAAAATACATAGATTGAAGGATCTATAAACAATGGGAATTTATTTCTCAAAGTTCTGGAAGGTGAAAGTCCAAGATTAAGAGGTCTGCTGATTTCGTTTCTGGTGAGAGTAGCTTTCTGGCTTGCAGATGGCACAGGAATCTTCTTCCTGTGTGTTCCCTTGGCCTTTCTTTAGGCCTTCAGGTGGAGATAGATCTTCCTTCCTCTTCTTACAGGAGACTAATACCATGAGGTCCCCCCTTCATGACCTAATCTGAACCTAACCACCTACCAAAAACCTCATCTGTAGTGAGTAGTGGGGTGGGGGGACTTCAACATATGAATTGGAGAAAGAGGACACAAACAGCCGATAATAATATCCCAAACATTCTTTGAATCTCTCCAGTTAAAATTTTCCTCAGTACCCATTAGTCCCACATTATTGAACTAAGATCCTTATCTTTTCTTAAAGAAGCTCCTTTCTTCTCTTCATGTATTAAAAAATAAGTCTTAATTCAAACTTCAAATCTTGAAAAATTCATCTTAACTTAGTCTTTCCAGATCTGCTTCTCACATTATTGCTAAGACCACGTGGAAGTTAATGCTCTCCCTATGGCTGTGATTATGAACCAAGCTTTCTATTATTAACTGATTGCTTAAGTGATATTTTCCAGGAGACAGCATTCAACCCTGGGGAGAAGAAGTGGGAATAGGCAAAGTTCCAGGGAGATGGATGGCAAGGAAGGGTCAGTATAGTCTGAGGTAACTTTGCTCTCATTTTATGATTCCTTGTTCCATTGCATGCCATCCAGGTTCTGCAATGTCCTGGACTATGAGTCTAATTTTATATTTTGTAATATGAGCAGGTAAGGGGACAAGTGCTACCCTGGGCATTATGAGTAGGCAAGGGAACAAGCAAAAGTAAACATGAAATTGGCTCACCAGGTGCCTTTCCTGCACAACCTCTAACCCTTACTTAGCCCTTTCGGAATCCTAGGAAGGAAAGCCCCCAGCCCCGGCCACGGATTTTCACAGGGAACTCCCCTCTGCCTCCGAAGGTCAGGCTGAGATCAAGGGTTTCCTCCCTTTCCCCTAGGCTCGCTGTGTTTCTAAACTGCTGCTAAATCTCTAATTTCACCGAAAAGCTCGGAGGAGAGGAGCTGAGAGGAAGCCGCTGCTATTGTGTGAAATAACCACATGTGGGGACGTTAGCATCAGAGTGCAGCTGCGAGGAGAGGCAGGTGAAGGCCCCTGAGCGACTTGGAGCTCTGGGCTTACGGCAACCATCGCCTCTGCTCAGTGTTAGGGACGCGAAGACACAGGGACAGACAGTAGCTAGACTGAGCTAGCCTTGTGGCCGACTGCAGGGGAACTAGCGAGCTCGGGCAAAATACCCTGCTGTCAGCCTTCCCTGCTCCAACTGGTCTTCCAACAGCAGATGTACTCTTCCATCTGTCTTAATTTTTCAAACCAGAAAACATCAGGAACATCGACGTCCACTGCATTGTTAGTGTCTTTGGACCTTTCAAGCTTTCTTAGTACAACCTTGTGTCCGTGTCCGTCTGTGCGCAGGAAGAAAAGTACCTCAAGTATCAAGGAGAGGATCCAGGGCTCTGGCAGAACAGTCGCGAGTCGGGATCGCCAGGCCCCACCCCACTCTCCACCTCAAACCCCGCTCCTTGCCCCACCACGAACACACACCAACCACCCTCAACCCCAGCGCAGCATCATTGAAGCACTCTGGTCAAGCTGTCAGTTTACCTGTTAAGGAAAGTTAACCCTTTTATTCCAGTTTTGAATATTGCAGATTAAAGCAGCCCCTTCAGGCCTTGAAATGGCTGACAGGTGTGTAAAGGGCCAACGCGCCGCAGGTATTACATCACTCCCCGACTCAAATCTCCAGGTTCCATGTGGAGTAGTAGGTGGAGAAGGAGGTGGGCCAAGGGTAGGAGAAGTGGGAAGAAAAGGGAAAGTATCTTTGGTTTCTTTTCAACTTTCTAGATTTTGCAGAGTTATAAAATAGTTCAACCACAATGAGGAGTGGAAACTCAAATGATTAAAACTAGAGTGGGCACCCACTAATTTTACAGGTTTTCCTTACAGACTTCAAGCTGTGGCGACAATGTCTTCAAACATAGTAACAGCCCCTGATTTTAATGGGTACAGAAATTATCTATTTGTCCAAGTCTTCACCTGAAAGTCACTGTTATAGCCTTTTAAAAACAATCTTTTCACAGTTTTGGAAGTTCCTAAGAGATATTTAATGAATTCAAACCTGACAGAATAAGGTAAATTTCTATTCGGAAAGGTGAGACAGGAGGGTAGCTACAACACATGAGTTCAAGGCTGCAGCAAGCTATGATTCGACTACTGCCCTGGGGGCCTGGGGGACAGAGCCAAACAACAAAACAAAACAAAAGAGATCCCGGGAGCGGTGGCTCACGCCTATAATCCCAGCACTTTGGGAGGCCGAGGCAGGTGTATCACGAGGTCGGGAGATCGAGACCATCCTGGCTAACACAGTGAAATCCTCTGTCCACTAAAAAAAAAAAAAAAACAGTCCCAGCTACTCGCAAGGCTGAGGCAGGAGAATGGCGTGAATCCAGGAGGCGGAGCTGTGAGCGGAGATGGCGCCACTGCACTCCAGCGTGGGCGACAGAGAGACCACTGTTGTTGCCAAGAGTGGACGGCTTAATGCCTGGTACCATCTATTCTTGGCTTCCCCATATGCAACTCCAGCGGCACAAGAGGTTCAAATTTATTGCCCCAAAGTTTCTCTATTGTTCATTTTTTCTTCTTACTAATTTTATATTTTGTTTTAGATTAGCTTTTGTTTGTTTATGGCTCCTGGAATTATTTTCCATTAGCTATGGCAATGATGGGGAATCCAGGTTATAACCTCACTGTCTCATGACAATCCTTCCTTACAAATTGATTTAAAGTTTCTGGAGATCTTATCAGATGAAAAATAGAAAAAACTTTACTTTCTGTGTTTCTGTGTCTGTAATTCAGAATTTACTTCTCATTTTATGTTTCTTTTTTTAATATTTCAGAAATATATAATAAATTTGACTTACTATAAAGGAGCTTTACATTAAATATTTCTAAAAATCCAGAAAATAATAAAATTAAACTTCTAAATTTTAAATACAATAAAAAAGCTATTATTCAGAAACTAACTCAATGTTGGAATTTTTGAAGTAAAAGTGAATATTTGAGTTTAATGAAAACAACTTTGTATCTGACTAATTACTGCAAAGTGTAATACAAACACACTTTTTATTCTACAAGTGTACATTTTCTCAAATTTACTGATAAGCTAAAATTACTTCTACTTAATGTTTAAGATTATTTAAGAAGTCAATTTGTGTTTAACCAAATTGAATTATTTTTATAGCAAATATTTATCTCAATAGTAATCACATTTTATCTTACTAATGCCTTTTCCTATCATTTAAAGGGTTATTCTTAACTTTCTGTGTAATTTGCCTGAACAGCAAACATTTGTAATTTAAAAGAATAATTTCTCTGCTCTAAATTGACCTTTATTATGTTTTTAAAATTATTGTATGCTGGGTGTGGTGGCTCACACCTGTAATCCCAGCACTTTGGAAGGCCAAGGTGGGCAGATCATGAGGTCAGGAAATCAAGACCATCCTGACTAATGTGGTGAAACCCCATGTCTACTAAAAATACAAAAAATTAGCCGGGTGTGGTGGCAGGTACCTGTAGTCCCAGCTTCTTGGGAGGCTGAGGCAGGAGAATGGCGTGAACCCAGGAGGCGGAGCTTGCAGTGAGTGGAGATCATGCCACTGTACTCCAGCCTGGGAGACAGAGCAAGACTCCATCACAAAAAAAAAAAAAAAAAAAAAAAAAAAAAAAAAAAAAAAAAAAAAAAAAAAAATTGTAAACACACACGAGGAAAAAAAACAAAGACAAAGGCAGTGAGAAGATTATAATATGAAACATGGACTCTGAATGCAGGATGGTGTAACTATCAGAGAGGTACTTTTGAATATCTTCATCACCATTTTCCTTTTATCTAGGCTATTTTCTTAGCCTCTCTGGTTTCTTTTCAGTTTGCTCTTCTTGTCTTTCCTCAGGTACTGTATACTGGCTTTCCACCCAAGCTTGTATGTGTGTTTTTTTGTGGGGAGGGGTTGTTTTTGTGCTTGTTTGTTTGTCAGTCAGGACTGAGCCCACTTACTTGACAGGAATCCTGGATCCTACTTGCCTTGAAAAGTTGCCTTGACTGGATAAGCATGACCTCTGGAGTCTCAGAGAGGAGCTAGGCCCTGACTGCTGCCCCAGAAGCAGTTATCAAGATTTTAAGCTTATTATTTCCCAAAAAACAGACATTGTTAAGAATATTCCACATCAGCAGTACTAAAACTATGTTAAATAAGAATAAAATTAATATTAAAATAATGTGGCTGTCCCCAAAACATCATCAGCCAACCCAAGACTGCGTTTATCTCTCCATGAGACTGCATGTCTCATGGAAACAAAACCTGGCAGAATCAGATGGGTAAAATACAATTCTGAGTTTTAGAAATAATTGCATGTTACTTTAACTTAGTCCTATTGCATATCTTCATATATTTTTGTCACTACTACTGTTTCTGAAACAAACATAACTTTGTAGAGTCTTCCTCTACTTACTGGCTTTCATTGTGCATGCAGCCTACACATTCTTCCATTATTTCTGGAAGCTTTGGAAGAAAAAGTCTTGAGATTGGCATTTCAAGAGCTGAGTGCTTAGTCTCAGCAGGGAACTACAATTACCACTAATAATAATGATAATGATAACAAGGGTACAAAAGTCAAGTCCAACCAAATTTCCTTCAAACCCTTTTCTAGAAATAATATTTTCAAAGGCCATTAAAATATGGCAATGTGAGACAAAATAGTGCTTTATTGGAAAACCTTGTTTGGTTAGGGAAGATACCTTTTTGGGTTATATGATTCTGATTGTGTGGGAGTTACTTTACAACAGTGTAAGTTGTAGATAGTGATACAAGTGCAAAATAATTCATGTGTGTAGATACACAAACAAATTATGTACCACATAGGGCATCTCCTATTAAGAGTCAGTTTTGCCATATTCCTTTAAATATTTCTTTACAGCATATAAATTTCCCTTCTTTGGCTTCTCTTTGAACAGGTTATAATGTCTTCCTTGTTAGCTAATTTTGAGCTATATGGTTTAAGTAAAATCTGTAATACATATTTATTTTATATGTGCATGAGAATTATAATTTTACTCTTTTTGAGAATTCTCATTTACCACTGTGGAGAGATACTTTTGATCCCCACCAATCATACTTTCCTGGGCCTTTTCTTTTTCTTTAACCCTTCTGGGTTTGATGATTCTGATTGTCTGGTTGTGGGGAAATTTTTTTTTTGTATATATCTTCATATATATATACATTTTTTTTTAAAGCTGGTATTTGCTTCAGAAAGCCCCACCTTGCCTTCCAAGGAGGGTAGGCAGTCTCATGTATTTTGAACTTTGAGGAAACTGAGTTTATTGATTTCCATTTCAAAGAAACTGAGTTTCTTGATTTCTCTTTATCACTCCTCCCTCTCCATGTGCGGTAGCTGAGAGAGTTCTGGTGGCCCCGATGCTCTGCCATTGGAACACAGCACACAGACACACACAGGTGCAGAGTCAGGCACCAGTAGCATACCTAGACAGCCAGTGTTCTGGCTGCTCTTCCTTTCTCATCCTCTGAAACCTCTAGCCCTGTTTTTTCATGGCATTCGTTATTTGTGTGGTCCTTTACTACAGAGGTTTGAGGGTTATTTTAAGGAACTCTTTCGCTGGGCTCAGGAGATAGGCAGAAAGACAACTTGAGATGAAATGCATGAAAAAGTAGCCCAACTGCTTTAATTAGTATCCCTGAGAGGAGGACAAAAAGCTTTTGGCAGTTGGGATTTACCTTCTATTTTATGGAGGGTGGGGTGTGGCCGGGGAGCCACTCACTTCACATTCCACCAAGGCAGAAAGTGAAATTTCCTCCCTGAGGTCCTGGAACTGGTCCTTATAGAGACAACTTGGTGGAAAGCATAGCTCATGAGGGCCCCAACCTTCAGGGAAGTCCCTATCTGCAAATGGGTCACCTTCCAGAGACAATTATAGTGGCTCATGTTGCTTGAGTTCTGGGATATATTTCTGTAAACCAGGAGCTCACAGTCACAATTTGCAAAGAGGGTAGGCTTAATAGGAGGGCTGGGATTCCCACGTGGCCGCTAGGTTCCTCCCACTCCTTTTTGGATCATGGTTCTTGATTAGGCTAAGGCTGGCTCTCGCCTTTCTTTCTGGTGTCTAGGAAAGTCGTGGAGGCAAGTATGCCGCTATAAAAATTAGACTCTGTGTTACTAGCTGAAGATGATGCAATTTATTTACGACTGTAAGTAAATTTATCAATGTGCAGACTCCAGCGGCTCAGTGCCTCTTGCTTACTCTTGCTGAACCCTAGGCTTTGGAGAAAGTTGCTTGAGTTTCTACAATTCGTTCCATAATTTTTAGGATCCCAGTTCCTGCAAAGTTAGGAGATTTACTGAATCAGTGGTAAAAAAAAAATATTTTGGCTAAATTTGAACCAAACAGGCAGGCTCCTCCTAAAAGTCTGTATAGATTGAGGCTTCCGATTGCCCAACAGAATTTTCTGTAGTTAAATCTGTCCTCCAACACCAGAAATCTGTGTTTGCTGAAGCTGCTGTGAGCGAGACCTCGTATCTACCTAAATGTGTGTGTGTGTGTGTGTGTGTGTGTGTGTGTGTACACGGTCTCTACCAAAGAAGATAAAAATTAGCCGGGCTTGGTGGTGTGCACCTGTAATTCCAGCTACTCCACAGGCTAAGGCAGGAGAATCTCTTGAACACAGAAGCAGATGTTGCAGTAAGCTAAGATCACACCACTGCACTAGGGCCTGGGCAGCATTGTGACTCTGTCTCAAAAATAAATAAATAAATAAATACATAATACATACATACATAAAAATATACTACAGAAATGTTCTTTGTAGTAAGCCATTTTACAGAAAATGGTGAGGGAAATCCTGGTGCAGAGGTTCACTCCCAGTACTTCCAGAACTAAAGGCAAAGACAGGAGAATCACTTGACTTCAGGAGTTTCCGGCCAGCCTAGGCAACATCCAAGACCCTTTTTCTAAACTGAAAAAAAAAAGTGGTGACGGAATGTTTTGACAGTCACTGTTGCCCAGCAGCAAGCAATATTCAACATTAGCTATCACTGGATTCTCAATGAGAATCCCAGAGTATCAAATGGTTCCCAGCAGATCCAAGTACAATAATATGACCAGAACAGGGATTCTGCATTTCCAACTTTCAAACTTGCCACATATCATGGATAATATATTGACCACTAATTATTTACATCCACCAGCCATTTAGCATTATCATTGCTAGGGGCTTGCCCTTTTGAATTCATTCTGCAATTGTACTGTAATAATATAAAAATAGTCTCGATCATCCAAAATGGTTGTTGTGCTGCTTTCTCTTTCAGATTGTCCATGTTAAGAAAAAGTTTCTGTGTTTATGTATGTGCATTTGTGTATGTGGATGTTGTCGAGAGCATACAAAGAACAAACAAACAGAAGAAGAAATAATCTATCCACAGGACAAGTCTTCTGTTTTCTCTCTTCTTCTTCAAGGAGTGTGAGCTGTCATAGGAGTTACAGATACCAGCCAGTAGCTAAACAAACTTTCTGCATTATAGTCAAATGGATCATGAGGAACGCAGGGAGAAAGTGAGGGCTCAGGATCCTGGTTGGGTCCTAGAGTAGGAAGGGTGCAGCATCCATTAAACAGTGTAGAAAAGAAAAACTAATACAGTTATCCCTTGCTATCTGTGGAGGATTGATTCCAGAATCCCTGTTGGATACCAAAGTACATGAATGTTTGAGACCCTGATATAAAATGGTGTAGTATTTATGTATAACCTATGTACATCCTCCCATATATCACCATCCTCGATTATTTAAATCATTCCTAGACTATCTAAATAAATCATCCCTAGATTATTTATAATTACTAAAGCAGTGTAAATGCTATGTAAATAGTTGTTATACTGTATTATTTAAGTAACAATGACAAGAAAATGTTGGAACATGTTCAGTACAGGTGCACCCTTCCATTTTTCCCCAAAATATTTTCAATCTAAACTTGGTTGAATACATATAGACAGAACTCACGGATAGGCAAGGATTATTGTATCTTTTCCTCAGTGATCACAAGGTTGATGACTGACACCACTATGAATAAAAACAAATTAACAAGGGAAAAACATAACAAATTTATTCAACGAAGTTTCAGGTGACATAAGAGCCTTAAGAAATAAAGACTCAGAGAATCAGTGAAAATTGTGTATTTTAGTTTTCAGTGCTGCCAAACAAAAATGATGGGGCCATGGTTTTGTATTGAGCTCCAAAATTAGGCAGCAACAGACCAGGTCAAACTAAAATGGAGTCACTCATGCTAAGTTTCACATAATATCAGGTAAATTAATCTGAAATATGAGGGAAAGAGATAGATCCTGAAAGCCATCTTTTTTTTCTGAAAACAAGAGATTACAGTCTACCCAATTCAGTGCAATAACGAACCATACTCTGCTTTATCCCTTTCAAAAAAGTAACCTCATGTCAACTAGTCATTTTTCTGTTGTTTCATATCTTTGCTCTCACCATACAAAATCCACCGTTCTACTACTTGCCAGTGGGATCTATCACTCCATTTTGTAGAATGGAGGATGCTCCTTCATGACTTGCAAATAAAAGCCAATTATCTGTATAAGTAAAGGTGTTGTAATTTTCCCTTTTGATAGTTTCAGTGGTTCACACCTGTATCTTTGCCTCAGTATGTGGGGGAAGGATGGGAGGCTGAGGCAGAAGGATTGCCTGAGGCCAGGAGTTTGAGATCATCTTGAGCAACATGGCAAAATCCTGTTTCCACAAAAAATTAAAAATTAGCTGAGCATGTTAGCACATACCTGTAATCCCACATACCTGGGAGGCTGAGGTAGGATGATGACCGGAGCCAGGGTGGTCGAAGCTACAGTGAGCCATGATTGCACCACTGCAGTCCATCATGCATGACAGAGTGAGACCTTGTATCAAAAAAAAAAGAAAGAGAAAGAAAAAAGATAGAATGGACAGGTAATGTAGAAGTATTATAGGACAAAATAATTTATGATATGATAATAAATTGGGTAAACTTTAAGGCCTGGGAGTTCAGATTCTTTTTAGCCTCTCTCTATTGTATCCTTTCCCTTTGTGTATGGTGCAGGACATATGCCACACGAGAGTCTTATGAACTACTTTCAAGGGAGGTATGTCAGACAATAATTTTATGGACAGCTTTCACACAGAAAGGTTAGAATGAGTCAGTGATGCGTCATGCCTGTACTCCCAGCACTTTTGGAGGCTGAGGCGGGTGGGTCACCTGAGGTCAGGGGTTCAAGACCAGCCTGACCACTATGGTGAAATGCCATCTCTACTAAAAACACAAAATTAGCTGGGCATGGTGGCACCTGCCTGCCTCTAATCTCAGGTACTCAGGAGGCTGAGGAAGGAGAATCACCTGAATCCAGGTGGTGGAGGTTACACTGAGTCAAGATTGTGCCATTGTACTCCAGCCTGGGCAACAAGAGCAAAACTTCATCTCAAAAAAGAAAAAGAAAAAAAGAAAGGAAAACAACAAAAAAAGAAAACGTCAGTGAGTGACCTCCATGATGTCATATTTTGGCATAATATGTCCTAAGCCCCAACACCAGTGACAGCAGGCCAATGGATCCTATCCTTGGGCAGAGAAGTTCCTAGGTCAGGGATAGGAGACAAAAGCCAGTACCCAATCCTAACAGATGCTGGGCTCAAAATCTTGCACCTTTCTACCCCAGTTTTAACATCTCTGTATCTTCAGGGAGAGAAAAAAGCATAGGTCTTTTTTTCTAAAGTTCATTTAAGACAAAGTATTGGCCAGGCGCAGTGGCTCACACCTGTAATCTCAGCACTTTGAGAGGCCAGCATGGGTGGATAGCCTGAGGTCAGGAGTTTGAGACCTGCCTGGCCAAAATGGTTAAACCCTGTCTCTACTAAAAATACAAAACTTAGCTGGGCATGGTGGTGGGCACCAGCTACTTCGGAGAGTGAGGCAGGAGAATCACTGGAACCCAGGAGGCAGAGGTTGCAGTGAGCCAAGAGAGCGTCACTGCACTCCACCTTGGGCAACACAGTGAAACTTCGTCTCAAAAAAAAAAGACAAATTATTATCCTTTTCCACCATCCTTTCCCTACATGCCAATATTACCTCATACTTAGCCGACCAAGAATGAGTCAGAGACAGTTCAGGGATCCAGAGCAGGAAATAGTGGACACACACACCAGCATCTGATCTCCAGAATAACAGAAGAGTACATAATCAAAAAGCTACTTTACATTAATATTCTTCACAAGGGTTTCTTTTCAAAAATGAGTTTTGACAACACTGAGATGCTCTTTTTTCTTTCTTTTAACCTCCAACTCTTGATGTAACCACCCAATGGGTTCATTTTGTCCAGAGCCCAGAGACAGCTGATTTTTCAGTAGGTGAATTGCAATAGAGGAAGAGATTAAATACACATAGAGCTGGCTAAATAGGAGCCTAGGGTTTTATTATTACTCAGCCTTCCTATCAACTTGGAGGCTAGGGTTTATCAAAGACAGTTTGGCAGGTGGGGGCTAGGGAATGGGTGCTTCTGATAGGTTGGGTATGGAATCACAGGGATGTGGAAAGTGGTCCTCTTGTGCTGAGTTCAATTCTGGTAGGCAGAAACAGGACTGGCTGAGTCTAGAGTCGCCTGTCTAGTTGGGCCATTTGGTAGTTAAAAATGACAAAACTTGAAAAAACACATCAAAAGGCCAGTCTTAAGTTCTACAAAAGTGATGTTAATTACAGGAGTAATTGGGGAATTTGCAACTCCAGAATAATGACCAGTAATCATTTAACTACATCTACATCTTAGCAGGATCACGCCCCTCTCATTGTCCTAACCTGGTGGTCTTTCATTGTTTTACAAAGGTGATTTAGTTTTGGGAAGGACTATTCTCCTTTAAACTATAGACTAAATTTTTCTCAAAGTTAGGTTAGTTTATGCCCAGGAATGAACAAGGGCAGTAGGTAGGTTAAGGGCAAGACGGTTAGATCAGTTCTCTGTTACTGTTATAATTTTCTCATTGTTATATTTTTTGCAAATGTGGTTGGATAAAATCATGGCTCATACAAATATACAAAAAATACATATTAAAATTTTATTTAACATAAAACATTAAAATTTATTTAATAAATTATAAATGAAAAAATCAGTAACATGTTATAAGCAGTTTAAAAAAGTTAATGAAGCTCAGTTTTAACATGAAGTATAGGAATGGTGAAATTATATAAATGAAATTTGTAAATGGTGTCAATGTGCTTTTATCTAGAGCTGCTATAGGAAATCACCATAAACCGGGTGGCTTAATACAGAAAAACTTTCTTGTCTCACAGTCCTAGAGGTTAGAATTCTGAAATCAAGGTGTTGCCAAGTTGGTTCCTCTGTGAGTTCTGAGAAAAATCTGTTTCCTATCTCTCCTAACTTCTGATGTTTGCCGGTAGTCTTTAGTATTTTTACTTGAAGTTGCGTCACTACAATGTCTGCCCTCATTTTTACATGGCCTTCTTATTAAGAAAAACAGTCTTTGGACTTAGGGACCTCCTTACTCCAGGATGACCTCATTTTCACTTAATTATATTTGCCATCATTTTATTTCCAAATAAGAGCACATTCTGAGATTCCAGGTAGATACTAAGTTTTCAGAAACAGGATTAAACCCAGTGCAGATTGAGAGAAGTCCCTAGAAATGTCACTGCACATAATTCATTTGTATATCAATAAACAAGAATTATTTTGCATTGCTATAAGTTACCTGCAATTTATAAAGTTGTGAAATAGTTCAAGACAATGAAGGGAGAGACTCTCTGGTAACTACAGAGTATGAGCTCATCATTGCTTAGTTTCCACAAGAGGTATCTCTGAATTTTTTTGTTTATTCCCAATGATCTTATAGCACTTGTAAAGTTTTTACATTAGTTACAAAATGCAATTTGAAGTGAAAGAAACAGAAATACAAAATATTAGTTTCTCTTTTTCTCCTACATTCCTACATGGATTTGTAGAAGAGCTGACCTTTACTTATAAAATAAATCAGCAAATGAGTGTCTTTTCTAGAATGGGGTGACCCAATTTTTATTACAGTGAATTATTAGGACACATATGCACAGCACTTGAACATGTTCTATCTTCTGAAACTTGTGTGAGGTACACAAGCTGGTGTTATTGTTCCCACATTACAGATTAGGAGATTTCTCAGAAGAATTTCAGTTTGGTAATAAATATTTCTTATTGAATTGGGGCTAGCAGCCAGGTGAAACTGCCTCTTTTTGCTCCCACCTATGCTGCAGGTCAATGTCATTTAGCAAATGCTAATAAGTGAGATCTTCTGAGATCTTCCTACTGAGGCTGAAATAACACTAGCACCTCAAGCAGGTCATGTTTTAGGCAGCTCCTTTGCACAGCCCAATATTTCATCTGAAGGAATTGTCTCTTAAAATCTTCCATTCTCTCACTTTACCTGATTAATTTTGTATCTAAACCTCGGAACAATTTTAAAGCATTTCTGCAGGCTGATCTCTTCTTATACTGGAAGAATTTTAGGAATCTGTGAGCCTAGTTAAATCTAGGAGGGTCAGTAAGATTAGTCACTGGGCAGGCAGGGTCCTGTGTTTAGATATTTTTCCTGTGGAGAATAAGATGAGGACTGTTGTTAATTTAGGTGATAATACTTTTTGCCTAAAAAAAAAATTGTTTCTCTACTATTTTATTTTGATTTTTATTTTATTTTTTCAATTTTTTGAGGTTTTTGCCTGGGCTGGGTAAACTCAGCTGTATGGTGCTGGATGTCAGTCTACCATCAGAGTGGGACACCATACTGGGAGACAGAGGACATCCACATTGCACAGTCCTGAGATATCAAATTCTCAAGGATAACACAGTTTTTCCGCATCTGTGGAATGAAGAACTATAACTATGGATAGACATCATAAAAACAAAAGCCTTATGTAGTGACTAGTTAAGATTATAGTGCCAGCCCTGGGCTTTCGGGTTGCAGAAAACTGGTAGGTTGTATGTTATGGGACTCAAGAGCATCTCTCAACATAGGCAATTGTATCTCTGCTGTCCTTTCTCTTCAGCAGCTTTCCTCTATAGGTCTCAGTGGGAATCCATCCTTTCGGGTTTTGGGATTTCAGAAGTGAACATGGCATTGCACTGCAGAGATGGTGTGTGAGTCCAGCCTACCCGAAACCAATGCAAATTAGTAAGTATTTGGGAACTAAAGTTACTTTTGGAGACGTTAAGGGTGAAAGCCATCTCCTTCACTGACTACAAAGCAACTAGAGGCTCAGGAAAGCATTAGGTAATGCTCACAGGGTCAGCTCAGGAAGTGAAGAGCAAAGACTGCCATTGTGTTAACAAGAGGTTGAAAGTGTATTCTCAGAAGAAGAAATCTACTGTCATATCCATCCCCATCCATCTGCAGGCTCCAATACACAGCTCTTTCGTCTGTCCTCTGTAGTAAGATGAAATACCAAGCACAGAGCACAAATCCTGAACAATCGCCATCACCTATTTGGTGGACGCATAGGCCTGGTCTCTGATCTGGTCGCATGTCCAGAGGGTCTGCTAACCCACTGCACCTAGGGAGACAGGCATTGTACCACCTTTTCTCTACTCTTCCCAGACTCAACACATTTGATTGTATATGCGCATGAGGTAGAAATATAAGATGAAGCAGGGACAGAGTCAACAAGCCAGAACTAGATGCTTCTACCTGGACAGAAGACCTAGAATTCTTTTTTGGATCCTAAATTCACCAGGAAATTTTAACCACATGCATTCAGAGATGCTGTGTAGGTGTGGCCAGTGTCAGCTGGCAGTGTACCCAGTGTACCACTGTGTCGCCCACCCTGTGGTCATTAGCAATTGGAATTCCTCAGTAATCTGGCTGGGAAACTGACCTTTGGAAGTCTTTCCCTTACTTCTCCTTCACCCAGCAAAGGGCTATGCAAATATCCTTTTACAAATTAAGGGCTGAATATCCAGCCCTAAGGTTTCTTCAGTTAGTAGATTAGTTTTACTTTGGAAAGCTGGGCCCAAGTTATTTGGCTCAAAACATCCTCCCAATGCTGAGGACACAACAGTTGAGAAACAGTACAACTGTTAGTATCCAGATTGCAAAGGAAGATGTAATAGTATATACTCATGTGTCACTTAACAACAGAGATACATTCTGAGAATGGCATGCATAGGTGATTTAACAACAGAGATACATTCTAAGAATGGCATATGTAGGTGATTTTGTCATTGTGCAAATATCATAGACTGTACCCACAGAAACCTGGATAGTTTAGCTTACCACACACCTAGGCTATATGATATAGCCTATTGCTCTCAGGCTACAAACCTGTGCAGCATGTTGCTAAACTAAATACTGTAGGCAATTAGGACACAATGGTAAACATTTGTTTACTTAAACACACTTACACATAAAAAGGTGCAGTAAAATTATTATAATATGATGAGGCCACCATTGTCTATGTAGTCCTGTTGTTGACTGAAGTGTTATGTGGAAGATGGCTGTATTTGCAAGATCTTGCATATAGCAAATACTAGGAAACACATACACCACCTATCTATCAAAGCTAATAAGTCAATTCTGAAACGTTGAGGCAAATAATATCAACATATAAAACCCAGTTGTATTTCCATACATTAGTAATGAATAATTCAAAAGTGAAAATAACACAATTTATATCATTAAAATAATGAATACATATAACAAATCTAACAAAAGAAATATAAGATTTGTACCAGAAAACTACAAATAATGTTAAAAGAAATTAACCTAAGGAAAAATGGAAAGGTATCTGTATTTATGGATTGGAAAAATTAATAACATTAAAATGCCAATTGTCCCCAAACTAATCTACAACTTCAATGAGATCTCTGTCAACATTGCAACCAGCTTTTTGTTTGTGTTATTTTCCTAGAAATGAACAGATAACCTGAAAATTCATATGATTTTTTTTTTTGAGATGGTGTCTTGCTCTGTCACCCAGGCTGGAGTGCAGTGGTGCGATCTCAGCTCACTGCAACATCCGCCTCCCGGGTTCAAGTGATTCTCCTGCCTCAGCCTCCTGAGTAGCTGGATTACAGGCATGCGCCACCACGCCCAGCTAATTTTTGTATTTTTAGTAGTGATGGGGTTTCACCATGTTGGTCAGGCTAGTCTTGAATTCCCGATCTTGTGATCCACCCCCCTCAGCCTCCCAATATATGAAGTTTTAAGAAACCCAGAAACCAAGATCAATCTTGAAAATATAGTTGAACGAATTAGGCTTCCCAATTTCCAAACCGGCTACAAAATGACAATAATAAAAACAGTGTGGTACTGGTGTAAGGACAGGATTATAGGTGAATAGAGTAAAATTCATAGTCTAGAATTGAGCTCTGACATCTGTGATGAGCTGATTTTCACAAAGGTGAGAAAACTATTCAGTGCAGGAAGGAGTAGCCTTAAACAAATGGTGTTAGGATAACAAATATCAACAACTAAAGAATAAAGTTGGATCCTACCAAATTAATTTAAGATGGTTCAAAGTTATAAATGTAAGAACTAAAATTATGGAACTTTTAGATAAATAAATAGTCCTAAATCATCATGTACTAGGATTAGCCAATGGCTTCTAACATGTGACATCAAAAGTACAAGGGCAAAATAAAAACTGGATATGTTGAACTAAAAACTTTTATGAGGCAATGGATACCATGAAGAAAGTAAAAAGGAAAGTCAGAGAATAAGAGAAAGTATTTGCAAACCATATCTACCAAGGGATTTATATCAGAATGTATAAGGAAATCTTAAGTGTCAATAGAAAAAGACCAACAACTCAAATATTAAAAAGCCAAAAGATTTGAATAGGCATTTTCCCAAAGAAGACATATAAATGACTAATAAGCACAGAAAAGGATGCTCAATGTCATTAACCTATAAGGAAATGTACATTAAAACTACAATTATATATACACAATTATGATTTTGTCAATTAAAATAACAACTATAAAGTGTAAAGCTACAGCAAGATAATCACACTCAGTGAAATGGCTAATCAAACAGATGGGAAAAGCAAGTATGGTGAAGATGTAGAGAAATTAGAATTTTTATATGTTGTTGGTAGGCATATAAAATTGTGCAGCTGCTGTGGAAAACATTTGTCAGTTCTTCAAACAAATTAAACATCAAATTACTACACGATCCAGCAATTCCAAACAATTCAAAACATATACTCAAACAAATACTTGCACATGAATGTTCAAAGCACCACTATACAAAATAGTCAACAAGTGGAAACAACTCAACTGTTTACTGATGGAAAAGTAAACAAAATGTATATCCAATCAATGAAATATTAGAGCTGTAAAATAAATGAAGTCCAGTTGTCTTGTGGTTTCCAGGGAGACTGGTTTCCAGGAGCACCCGTCCACAAGATACCAAAATACATAGTTGCTCATGTCCCTGATATAAATGTGTAGCCTGGGTAACATGGTGAAAACCTGTGTCTACCAAAAAAAGGTACAAAAATTAGCCTGCCATGATGGTGAGCTTGTAGTCCAAGCTACACGGTGAGGCAGAAGGATTGGTTGAGCGTCAGAAACAGAGGTGGCAATGAGCCAAGACTGTATGTCACACTCAGGATAGGTGACAGGGTCAGACTCTGTCCTTCCAATCCCCTGACAAAAAGATGTAGTATTTGCACATAACCGATGCACCTCCTTCTGTATATTTTAAATCATTTATATATTACTTATAATATCTAATACAAAGTAACTGCTATGTAAATAGTTGCTATATTGCTTAGGGAATATGGACAAGACAAAAGTCTGTACACGTTTGGCGCAGATGCAACCATTCATTTATTTTTCCTGAATATTTTTGATCTGTGGTTGGTTGAATCTACAGATGTCTAGGGATTCAGAATCCACTAGTACAAAGGGCTAACTGTACTGATATTATACTACGACCTTGGAAGCAAAACCGTTATTATAAGCAAAAGAAGCTAGACGCAAAGTCCACTTACGTCAGGATTACATATATATATACACACACACATACATACGTACACACACACATATATACACACATACATATATACACACACATATATACACATATATACACACATATACGCACATATATACACACTTATATACACACATATATACACACATATATACATATATATGAAAAGTTAGTAAATTGTGCATTTAAAAACAAGGCAATGCATGGTGTATGAATTATCCTGATCTCCCAAGTTTTGATGACTGGAACCGTAATTGCATCTAAAACAAATAGGTGATGTTTTTCAGGGAATTCCCCTTCGCCTCCATCATATCAAGGAAAATAAATGGATTAACAAACGTATAACTGTAAGTAAGAAACGGATAGCGGAGAAAGTGGAGTCCATTTAACCTGTACTTGGTGCAAAATAGCTGCTGATAGTTGTTTCAAGCCCGCGTGGGTCAGCGGGGAACAGTACGTGGACCCCATTGCACTGGACAGGCTGGAGTCTGGGTCGGTGTCAGAGCTTAAAAACTGATAAGCTGAAAGCCAATGCACCTACCCTTTAACGTCATGTATTTTTTATCCCTACATCATTGATGGCTAGGAACAGCAGGTAACATCCTCATAAGATTAAGCAATAAGAAAATAGACTTTATGTGTACTCTCACTTGTCGTTAATTTCGTACATTCTCTAACAAAAGAATACGGTTGGAATAAAAATCTAAACCTTTCCAGAACAGTAATGAGTACCTTACCATACGGGAACACCGGCCTGGGAACTACAAATCCGGGTTGGCCACACCCAGAAGAAATACTCTCTTTCCTAGAACGTTGCATTACGCTCCAATCCCGAGCAGGTCCAGAGAGCCGTAGCCGCTCAGCCTGCTGGGACTTGTAGTTCTTTTTTTAACAGGCATAGGTTCCCGAGGCCACTTTCGGCTCTGTCGGCCTGAGGCCGAGCCCAGGATTTAATGTTCCCCACCCTCCCGCACTCCCCAAGATAGGTTGGTAGTGTTAGGAAGAGTGGATGGCGGAGTCAACCTCCTCCGGTCACGTGTGGTACTTGGCATGCAGCGATTGGTCGCCAGAGTTATAGGGCCCCGCGTTAAGTCCATGAGCTTCCGTGAGGGTACTCTGCCGGTTTTGCTGCGGAAGTCACCTCGTGGCGTAGGGGAGAGGTAACACCGAGAAGAGGCAGCGGCGGTGGCGCCAAGACGATTGGTGCCAAACAGGGCAGAACGCAACTCAGCTCTGGGGTGGGTTCCTGTCCAGAGGGGTAGAGAAGAGTGGCTGAGGGCGCGCCCTGATCTCAGCGGGAAGAGTGCGACCCCGAGGGCGCGCTAGGTATGAAAGCCACGTGTGGCTGGCACCGCGGGGACCCACGCACCAGGTGTACCCTTTCCAGTCCCTGCCGTCGCCTTATTCCCGGTGCTGGTCACCACCGTCTAGGGCTTACTTGGGACACAGGCTAGTTCTCTCCTGAAGCTATTGAGCAGTATGTGTTGAGGTGCGCTACGCCAGTTGAGGTGAAGCTGTTACACAGTATGAAAGCCGGGCTTTGTAGCTGCAGCTGCGCATTGCACCCCCAGCTACGCAGTCTCCTTTCCTTCTCAGTCACAGGACCGGATGGCAAGTGGCCGCAGCCAGTCGGTGAGACCGACTGAGCTCTGGGGCTTCAGTTCTTGACGCTACCTACATGGCTACATCTCCAGCCAAGGATGAGAGGTGATGCCAGAGGACCTCGATCTAAATTGGGCACCATTATCGTATGACAACTTCTCTTGCAAAACATCTTCTCTTTTCTCTTCTTTTCTCTGTCTCTCTCTTTCTCTCTCTCTCTTCGTTTCTCTCTTCTTTCTTTCATTGCTCTTTCTCTGTCCTGTGCACGCCAAAGCGGAAGCTGAAGTGCGGCGTCTTTGATCTCTCAATCCTGGAGACACAGGAACATTTTCCTTACTTTACTCAACTCGTTCCTTTGAATACCGCAAAATTAAGACGGCGTTTAAAACAATCGAAATCCCTTTTCTTCTGGGGTTTGGTGCCTAAAGATTAGAAAAGTTTGCGCAAGGAATTCGCTGCAGCATATAAAACTTTCAGGACCCTGAAATACAGAACTGCAAAGAAACGGCCTAAGATGGTTGAATGCTCTTTATTTTTCTTTAATTTAGACATGTTCAAACGTTCAATGTCTTACATACTTAGTTATGTAAGTAAGGTAGCGCTTACTTCATTATGCATTTCAATACTCAAAAAAAATTCCTTTGTGAAATGTTGAAATATTTTTCTAATCTGTTTCACGAGCTTCAAAAATGAGGAAAAAAGATTCAGTTTACATTTCAGCAAAATGCCTCTTTTTAATCGGATTTATGTTTACTTAACATTTACAGTACATTTACGCTTGAGCAAAGTTAGGTTTTGGATTTGCTTAGGGTCAGATTTTTTTTTTTTTTTTTTTTTTTGGTCTGTGCATGAATATGTTACTGCTGAGTTATCTCTCTGTCTGTCTCTCCCTCCCTCTCTCCTTGTATTCTAACAGAAAGGTTTAGAACTTGCATAATTGGGAAAGAAGCTGTTGCCTGAACTTACTGGGGGATTCAGCATTGTCATTTTGGACATGTCACTTATCCTCAGTATTTGCTTCCCCCAGGAGAGAGCTGTAATAAAAAAGCATTGCAATTTAATACATAAGCTCAGTAAGTTCTTGTTTATGCTCCTTGTGATGAAACAAAAAGTCCTTCAATTAGAAACAAAGGTTTAATCAAATAGCATTTTTAATGACCATGTTACAACTAAAGTTAATGACCCTTTGAAGAGCAGAGCTCTAGTTAATAGCTAGTTGTGAATAATGAGAATTTACTTCTGTTTCTGTCTTACTTTTCTATACTTAACCTCATATTCCTTTCTTCTTTGCTCATGTTTCTGGCCATCTTTTTACTTTGGGTTTCTTTCTTTCGTTATTCAACTAACTGAGATCGGATTGAAATACGTATCTAAATTTTTTTAAAATTTTTATTTTTAAAAATTGCTGAATATTTTGTATTTCCAAATTCACTTTTAGGTTACTTCCTTATCACCTTTATTTTTTTATTTCCTGTATGTCACTGACTGGGAAATAAAAATTACTTAATTTTAACTGAACCTCTGCCCCTCTTTTCCAGGATGCAGAAATAATATTTGTGTTGTTTTAAAAATCTTAGATCAATTAAAAAGAAAAATGACTCTGTCATTCTTTGGTAAGTTACAATACTTAAGTCAGAAACTAGAGAAGATGGGCTTTTTTAGGTTTTGTTATTCTCGTGCTGATTTTCTGTCCCTTCAGTTTTGCCTGTTTTTGCTTAATATATTTTGGGCTTAAGTGCATATAAGTTAATATTTGTTAAATCTACTTGGTGGATTACCCTTTTATTAATGGATAGCGTCCTTTGTCTCTTTAAAAATATTATGTCTTAAAGTTTATTTTGTGTAATATTAGCATAATTGTCTTAGTTTCTTTTGCTTATTATTTTGATGGAATATCTTTTTCTGTTCTTAACACTTACAATAAAGTGTATAATAGTTTGAATTGGTTTATTGTTTATGATAAAGTAGTTTGAATCTTAGATTCAGTAGTGTATAGAAACTTTGCTCCTTTATAGTTTTGCACTCTGACTTCTGATTGTCACGTTACCTCTTTATACAGTGTGTGTCGATATCATATTGTTTTATACATTTATTTTATAAAATTAGTTTTGTAAATTTTTCTTTTAAATCATATAGAAAAAACCTTACAATCCCCAAGTTTAATAATGCTAGCTTTTATATTTACCTACATAGTTATCTCTGCCATTGTTCTTTATTTTTCTTTATAGGTTTGAATTATTGTCTGGTGGCCTTTTATTTCTGACTACAGGGCCCTCTTTTGCATTGTTTTTGTAGGTCAGATTTATTAGTAGTATGTTCTTTCAGCTTTTGTGTATCTGGGAATATTTCAGTTTCTCCTTTATTTTGAAGGATAGTCTTTGAGTTTTTCCTACTTAACAGATCCTGGAGCTTCTTGGATGTGTAAATTAATGATTTTCATCAAATGTGAAGTTGTTTTCGGCTATTCTGCAGATATCCTTTACCACCCCTTTGCTGCCTCTTCCTATTGTGGGTAATAGGCATGTCTCTGTATGTTGGAGAGAATCAAAGGTCTTTTAAGCCCTTGATTTTTATTTATCTTTTGTTTTTTGTTCCTCAGACTGTATAGTTTCAGTTGACTTAGCTTCCAGTTTGTTGATTCTTCTGCCTGCTCAAATCTGCTGTTGAGCCTGTCTAGTAAAATGTTCAGTTTGTTGTACTTTTCAGCTTCAGAATTTCATTTGATTGGTTATGTTATTATTTTGTTCACTTACTGTTTTCCTAATTTTCTTTAGCTCTTTGTTTGTGGTTTCCCACCTAGCTCTTTGAATATATTTATGACAGTTGGTTTATAAAACCATTAGTAAGTCTAAAACCTAGGCTTCCTCCAGAGTGTTTTCTTTTATTTTTTTTTATTTCTGTTCATTGCCCATACTTTCCTGTTTTTTTTCCTTTTTTTTTTTTTTGCATGACTTACAATTTTTTTTGAAACCGAAGGCTTTGAATATTACCATATGGTAACTGTCAAATTCAGATTTAGACATTAAAGAGATTATTCTAGTAGAGATAACACTGAATTCAGGAAGCTTAAGCACCTTAAAATCAAACAAATATTTTTCTTTCCTAGGGAAGGATAAGCAGGATTAGTAGAAACTTAAGGACAAATTGAACAAGCAAATGGGGAGAACAGAGAGCAGGAAATGTATCTCACATGGTAAACCAGTTCTTCAGATGAGCTATTAAAGTGAGTGTGTGCTCTTATTTTAGTGCATGACCAGTGGTAAGACAAAATTTGTGGTCTGTAGATGAAAGAAAAGACTGACTAATCTTAGGTCAAAAGAAGGCGTAGATACCCTTTGGCCTTGTCTTGAAGTGGTATTGGGGAATACCTGGTCATAACACTGGAAATCAGATTCTGTCTACTCACCAGAGTTTGTGGTTGCTGGTTGTTACGGGGTTTTTTTAAGTGAATTTTGGGGTTTGTTAAGTGGCCAAACTATTTTTGTGAAGACTGTTGTATGTGGGTTTCAGATGTCTCTACATCAGTTTGTGGTCAGCTAGTGAGTTAAATTTTATGAAAAGCCTGGAGAAACAAGAATAGCAGTAAAAACTTCCAGTCTTTGTAGATTGGGTGTCTTCAGTGCTTAGCTGGGCAATTTAAAACTTACCTTAAGTAGTACAGTTGGCCCTTTGTGTCTGTGAGTTTCACATTTGTAGGTTCAACCAACTGTGGATTGAAAATATTTGAAAAATTAAAAATAGATGGTTGCATTTGCACTGAACATGTAGACTTTTTTTTCTTGTAATTTCTCTTAAACCATACAGCATAACAACTCTTTACATAGCATGTACATTGTATTAGGTATTCTGAGTACTCTAAAGTATACGGGAGGATGTGTGTAGGTTATGTGCAAATACTATAACATTATATGTAAGGGATTTGAAAATTCTGGGATTTTGGTATTTGCAGGTGGTGTGGGATGGGGGTCTGCCTGGAACCAAGGAATGCCCCAAAGGAGGATGGTGCCTTGTTGTGTGCATCCTGATGGTCAGCCAGAGGAGAAAACCTAGGGTTTTCTACATGTGCATCCTGCTTTGGACATGCATGTATCCTTGTAGGTCCCATGGTATTTGTCAATCCTTTATAAAACCTTAACATTTTTGTGTATCTCTTTCCCAGCCTCTTATTTCCCCTTAAGGCTTTTTAGCCTACGTACTACTTTTTTTCTCTGTTTACTCCTTACTTCTAGTGGCTGGGGCTTCAACAAATATCACCAGCAGGACACAACAGCCCTGAGAAGGTTCTGTGGCCTTCCCCTGGGGAACCACTAGACAAGTGAACCGCACCACCATAGCTCTTTAAGAGCAAGGTTTATATTCCCCACTCTGGCACCAGCAGTTCACACCAGGAATACTAGCTGCTTTCCTAATGGTTACCGTCAAGGTACAGATTAGGGATGGTAGGCAGGTTAATTAAAATGCCACAGATCTCTTTCTGAAATGTAGTATCTTCTTTTTTTTAATCTAGTACTTCCCTGGTTATTGTAAGTTCTGATTAGATTCCAGAGTTTCAAAGTACTTTATTTGGACAATTTTTGGTTATATAAAGTAAGTTTTAACCTAATGTCCAAATTAAATCCCTTTGTCTCTTTTCTCTGTCTCTTCCCAGTTCTTTTTTCCTTGATCTTAATGTGATGTACAAAGTAACTTTTAGATACTATAGTATCTGTGACAGCATTTAGACATATAAAGTATTATATAAATTTAATATGTTGTTCAAAGCAGTGCATGGGAACTATGTTAAAATTTTACCAGGTAGAATATTCAAAAGAAAAAAAGATGTTAGTTGACCTTAATATCCACTCAGACCCTGAGATTATGTTTTTATGATTCAGCCCATTTTCTAGTTGAATTTATGTTGGTACTTAAAACTGTGAGTTTTATGAGTTGATGATTAGTTGATGGGACAGACTTATAAAATATCCAGTGTTGTCTCTCTGTTCCACCAAGATAATTTTATTTATCTTCATTGCCTTGGATTTTTGTTTCAATGTAACAATTCCAAAGTGTCCTTCAATGATCCTCACTCTGGTACACTTCTCCCCCTTTAATATGTCATGATAATATTTGCTTGCTAAGATGATACATTTTGTGTTCTCACACAAGGCAGTATTGTTTGGTGGAGAACTGATTCTGGAAGTTGTGCTGTTGGTTTTGAAGAGAGTTTCTCTTTTAGGAATTGAAGTGTGAACCACATTAAAGGCAATAATGTATATGTGGTAGGTAGAATAATATGTCCCAACTCATCAAATGATATTTATGTCCTAATCTCTGATACCTGTGAATATGTTGTCCAGCTTGGCAATACTTGATTTGCAGATATCATAAAGTAGGATCTCGAGATTGGAAGATTATCTTGGATTATGTAGTGAACGAGTGTAATCAGTCACAGGAGTTCATTTACGAGGAGGGCAGCAAGATCAGTCAGAAAAAGAGATGTCCTAGGAATATATAAGTTTTATTTTTTCTTAAAATATTTTAAAATAAAAATAAGATTAAAAGGAGAATTTATAGCCCCCACTGCCCCCGCCAAAAAAAGTAAGGAGATCTCAGAGAGAGACAGAGAAAAAGAGAGAAAAGAGAGAGAGTAAGAGAGAGGTCTGAAGATGTTTTGCTGTTAATCTTAAAGATGGAGGCAGGAAAATAAACCAAATAATGGAGGCAACCTCTGTAAACTGAAAAAGACAAAACAGATTCTCCTCTGGGAAATAATAAATATATTTGTTCTTTGCCCCGTTTTCCTAACATACACCTCCTAAAATCCTTGTTGATGGGATGCTAGGAGAATTTTTTGTTCCAATATTTAATCTTTGACCTCCAGTTCCTGACATAGAGATCCGAAGACCTTTGTAA
This sequence comes from Homo sapiens, assembly GCF_000001405.40. Classification (NCBI taxonomy): domain Eukaryota; kingdom Metazoa; phylum Chordata; class Mammalia; order Primates; family Hominidae; genus Homo; species Homo sapiens. The sequence goes on from NC_000024.10 coordinate 19,573,739, forward strand.
TTTCCTGAGTAATAGGAGCATTTGACAAACAGCTCCTAAATCCCTTGGAATTTCCTGGTGATAGGAGAATCTTTTTCTAATGAGGTGACTATTGGTGTGTTCTTAGTCCCAGAATGGGAGCTGGTTGCCAGAGAAACCAACCTTGTGATTAGAAGATTGGGACTTTCAGTCTTATCCCAAGCTTTCCAGGGAGGGCACCAGGGGCTGAAGGTTTAGTTGATCACCAGCCACCGGTAATGTAGTGAGTTATGCCTATGCAGTGAAGCCTCATAAAAACCTAGTGAGTGAGGTTTACATAACTTCCAGGTAGCTTGAAGTGTGAAGGGTCCAAGAGGTTCCTGGAACAGTGAAGCCTCATGCTCCTTCCCACATACCTCACCATTTGCATCTCCTGTCTAGCTTTTCATTTGTATCCATTGTAATATTCATTATAATAAACCTGTAAGTCTCAGTGTTTCTCTAACTTCTGTGAGCCACTCTAGCAAATTAATTGAACCAAAGGAGGAGGTTAAGGACAGCATAGTTTACAAAATGAGCCCTGTTTCTGACATCTGAAGTGGGGGCAGTCTAGTGGGCCTGACCTCTTAACTTGTAGAAACATTCTTTCTTTCTAGATGACTAGTGACCAGAATTAAATTGAATCCTAGGCCACCCATTTATTGTCTTCTGCAGAATTGGCGAGAATGGAGAGGAATCCTCACCTATCGGTGACCAGAGATGAAATATTCTGAATTGAGAGTTTAAAAGAGCACACTTAGAAGAGATTTAGAGTTTAGTTTTTCCTGTCAGTCTTGCAATAGTGTCAACATACGTTAAAATGATCTGGGTAAAAAAACAAGGCTGGATGTTTCTTAGCTTATTATGATTGGTTTAATTGGAGCTGGGGAAGTGTAACTTCATAAAATTGTGACCAAGTAGTTCCATTTAGGTAATCCATAAAAGTAGAGAACGATTGGACATCTAGAAATGTATGACTTGATGATACTAACTGAGTGACCCAGTTGTTGGCCTTTTCCAAAACAAGTAAGGCAAAAGCATATTTCAGTGTCTTTGGGCATTACAATCTTTTTTTTGGATTTCCTGATTCTTTTGCTGCCAAGGTTGGCATTTAGATTCATAGAGATATCTCCATTTGCAAATAATCACTGTGTTAGAGTTTTAGAACTAGTTGTAACCTCTTTCAGTTTTATAAATAAAATAGTCATAGGCAGTAAATGTAAATACAGTGAAGTTGTGCATGCTTTAAAAGGCCAACAATATATGTGATCTAAGATAGAGTATTACCTTATGAGAACCTACTAGTAGTGTAGAAATTATGATGCTAAACATGACTGTAATAATTTACCCTTTCTGAAACTGTTTTAGTAATTCTAGGCTTCTTTTGGTTTCCTCATCTCTAAATTTGGCAATGACTATTTCTCTTTGAATTTACCTGTGAGTAGCTCTCTGTAGCTCTGTGTATTCTTTTGTATACCACAGCAATCACTGCAGGGTCTTTTGCTGTTACAGGTAGTACTTATACTAACTCCTAGGATGTTATTTTGCTGGAGTTTTATATTCTGCATCAGAACTCCATATTTACTCTGCTCTTGAAAGACCATACTCTTTGGAATGTTATAGTTATTGATAATCACTTATTCTCATGTTTCCATGTCTTTGATTCGTATCCCTGGACAAACTGAAATTGGCTCATCACTGAGATTGTCTGTTTATCATACCTGCCTATAAGCTATTTCTCTAGATTAAATGAAAAAGTAGATTAAATGCTGTTGCAACTGACTTCATGACAGTGAGCCAAACAATGAAGGCCAAGAGAAAATGCTTTATATGAATTATCTGTCACCACTCATTTGCGTTAATTGATATACCAACCACTTAATAATTTGAGACCTATATTTTGGGTATGGTTTGCTAAGAAGAAAATGAAACTTTTCACGTTTCCCTAGATTTGCCTGACAATAGGTGCCAACATTGGGACTTTCCTAGATGATGTCTTTCCTTTGATTCTTTATATATCCCTGCTGTACTTAGGCAGTACTTCTCAAACTTTTTGGCTTAGGATACTTTTAGTTAAAAATTATTGGCCAGGTGCAGTAGCTCATGCCTGTAATCCCAGCACTTTGGGAGGCCAAGGCGGGTGGATCACCATCCTGGCTAACATGATGAAACCCCATCTCTACTAAAAAATACAAAAAAATTACCTGGGTGTGGGGGTGGGCACCTGTAGTCGCAGCTACTCCGGAGGCTGAGGCAGGAGAATGGTGTGAACCTGGGAGGCGGAGCTTGCAGTGAGCCAAGATTGCCCCACTGCACTCCAGCCTGGGCAACAGAGCGAGACTCCATCTCAGAGAAAAAAAAAAAACAATTTATTGAAGACCTTCGTGTGGAATCAGTGAACTCTTTTCTGTGTTATATTAAACTTCTATCACCTTTTTTTTATGTTTTAAGTGAATTTTATGCCTTTCAGTAATTTTGTAACATTTGTCATTTGGAAATATTGGTTTGCTGAGTTGTATAGATCTTTCAGATGGTTTACAATATTAGAAAATGAGATTTGTTAATATTATTACTGGCCTTATCAGAAAAGTCTTTAAAGAGTGGGAAGCTGGCAGGCTAATGCAGATTGAAACTTTCCAAAATTCTAATTTTCACTAGAAAGCTTGATTTTTATCATTGCAATGAATAACTGTATTATTTATCCTCCCATACTTATTTGGTTCATTTTCTATAAAATGTCTGACCCTAATCAAGATAACGATAGTAATAAGAAATACTATACTATCATATATTATATACTATTATTATTATAAAAACATGTATGTTTATTGAGACACTGTTCACAATAGCAAAGACTTAGAACCAACCCAAGTGCCCATCAGTGTTAGATTGGATAAAGAAAATGTGACACATAGGCACTATGGAATACTATGCAGCCATAAAAAAGGATGAATTCATGTCCTTTGCAGGTACATGGATGTAGCTGGAAAGCTTCATTCTCAGCAAACTAACGCAGGAACAGAAAACCAAACACCACATGTTCTTACTCATAGGTGAAAGTTGAAGAATGAGAACACATGGACACAGGTAGGGGAACATCACACACCAGGGTTTGTCAGGGGTGGGGGCCTAGGGGAGGGATAATATTAGGAGAAATACCTAATGTAGATGATGGGTTGATGGGTGCAGCAAACTACCATGGTGTGTATATACCTATGTATACACATGTATAAACCTGCACATTCTGCACATGTACCCCAGAACTTAAACTATAATAATAAGAAAAGAACTATGAAGAATCAGAAACTGTATTTACAAATTAATAAGATTGCCATAGTTTATGGATGTTGACAGAGCTATTGAAACAATAGTTTCTCTCTTTTTTTTTTTCTTGTCGCCGACAAATCCAGGTGCAGAATGAGGATAGGGGATCCAGCTACCTGGTTTCCCCTGTGACTGACCTAGTTCTAGATCACAAGGATACTGACCACAAAGTCTCCCTATGATGGCCCACACAAGCAAGAGAGGAGAACATAATGGAGCTCTGAAAGATTTATAGATACTCTCATTCCTTTAGCATGTCACATTTCTGGACAAACCATGTACTGGGAGTAGGGGATGACTGAACGGAAGTCAAAGTTATAGTTACTGGAAATACAAACTGTGGCAGTAGAAAACCCTAGGCACAAGGGAAGTAAAATATTAACCACTCCAGGCTGGAGTGCAGTGGCGCAATCTGGGCTCACAGCAAGCTCTGCCTCCTGGGTTCACACCATTCTCCTGCCTCAGGCTCCCGAGTAGCAGGGAGTACAGGCACCCGCCACCAGGCCTGGCTAGTTTTTTTTGTATTTTTTAGTAGAGATGGGGTTTTACTGTGTTAGCCAGTATGGCCTCGATTTCCTGACCTCGTGATCCGCCCACGTCAGCCTCCTAAAGTGTGGGGATTACAGGAGTGAGCCACCATGCCCAGCTGAAACAATAGTTCTTCACAATGGCATCTACCACTATGTCCACATTTGCACCTCTGTCCTGAACCTCGATTCCTATAGGTTGATGTGTTGAGAACCAGACAATACGAAATAGAAGACAAATCATGAGCTTACAGAACCTGAAACTTTTTACACTGGGCAGTGTGGTAGACAGAACAGCAGTGGCTGCCCAAAGATGATCATGTTTTAAGTCCTGACATCTGTGAATTATCATATTGGGAAAAGGTGTTATTGTAGATGTTGTTTAAAGTTAGGATTTTGAGAGAGGAAAATTATGTAGGGTTATCTGGCTGTGCCCAGTGAAATCACAAGAATCTTTATAAATGAAAAAAGAAAGCAGAAGAATCAGAACCAGAGACACGGCATTATGCATAGGACTGGACTTGTCATTACTAGTTTTAAAGGTAGAGGAAGCAGAGATCTAAGAAATGCAGGCAGCCTCTAACTAATGTTAACAAATCTCATTTTCTAATATTGTAAGCCTGTGGAAGAGGCTAGGGCACAGATGCTCCCATAGAGTCTCCAGAAGGAACCTAAGGTAATGAGATAAGCCGCTAAACTTATTGTAATCTTACACAGGTAGTAAGCAAACCTGCTCTTTGCTTGTACATATAATAGTATTTTTATTTTTTTCTAAGGCTGCTTTTTATACAGGCATCCTTGAAAAAATACAGTGGAACAAAGATCCTCTGTATCTCTGCTCCTAAGATAGCAGAGACAGCATACTGGCTTCTGTTCAATTTTCCTTTGATTACACAACTTCATTGGCTACGGTGTTTAATATGACCGTCATAGGCTGAGACAAGATCTGTTCAGTTTATCTCATAAGTTACTAGTTAAATCTCAGACATATTATACTTTTGTAACTGAGTGACTCCCATTGTAAGGATAACTACTTCAATGTGCGTATAAATGAGTCAGTTGTCTCTCTTGGGGGCTTCAACAAATAAGCAAAGATAACCTCATTGTGGAGAGCACTTCACATTTGTTTTTAGGGTTACATAGTCTACTCTGTATCCTTAAACACTTGAAGATCTGTTATAACTACATCTGAGATAGTAGTCACAGTGTTTTCTCATGTTAATGCCTGGCTTCCACCCAGGAGGCACATGTGGTGTGTCTGCAAATAAAGTGTTTATGATTATTGGGGTCCCCCAAGCTGGACCTGTATCCATGTTCAAGTGGCCACAGGGTTACTTGCTTTAGCATGGCTCCTTGGCTGGCTGTTAAGTGAATAATTAAACTGAGTCTTTTTTGCAGGAGCTAACTGAGACCAATCAATCAGTCAATTTTCCCTTTCTGTGTGTAACACAAGCTGGATGTCCCTGGAATGACTAAATAATGACTAGAGGAGTCGGGGAAGACATCCAGTGATAATTAGTTGGGAAGGTTCAGGTTCTGGGACATCCGTTGCTATTTCCGTGTGAATGGCAATCAAATCATCTGAGTTGACTAGCTAGGAAAGCAAATTTAACAGGCCTGTTGTCTTTGGGAAAGACACACAAGGGTGTGCACGTGTGCAGATGTGTGTGTGTGTCTGTAAGTCTTCAGTAGCAGATTTAAAAGTGTCATTAATGTCCTATTCTTATACCTTAGAGTCTTAATATTTTACTTCCCTTGTGCCTAGGGTTTTCTGCTGCCACAGTCTGTATTTCTAGTAACTATAACTTTGACTTCCATTCAGTCATCCCCTACTCACAGTAAATGGTTTGTCCAGAAATGTGAGATGCTAAAGGAATGAGAGTATCTGTAAACCTTTCAGAGCTCCATTATGTTCTCCTCTCTTGCTTGTGTGGTCCATCATAGGGAGACTTTGTGGTCAGTATCCTTGTGATCTAGAACTAGGTCAGTCACAGGGGAAACCAGGTAGCTGGATCCCCTATCCTCATTCTGCAGCTGGATTTGTCCAGGAAAAAGAGAAGTATTAAGCCTAAAGAGCAGTCAGAGTAGAATGCTGAATTTTCAGAAGTTTTATATTAACATAATCATTCATCTTTTTTGTCCTGATAATTACTCAGGAGGAAACTGAGAGGGCATGGTCCCTTTCTATGGATAGCAATACTCAGTGTCCCAATTTTCCTTTGGGACACTGGGACACAGGCAGAGACTCCGAAAGTCTGCATGGATTAGTTGTTCATTCACCACAGCTCCTTAGTGTGCCAGGAGAACTATATATGGCCTTTGGTTTCATTCAGGGACAGGGAAACTTGAACCCATGCCTATTCATTCTCATTAAAGTAGCAGAAGTCATGTTAGAGACAGTATTGCTGCATTCAGTACTCCTGCCTTTAACGCTTCTGACGCTTCCTGAAAGCAGCCCCAGCTCTCCATATGGCAAAACAAAGGCAACCTTATGCAAAGCCTTCTCAGGGAACCCTCAGAAAGGTTTAAACTTAGGTTCACAGTTTTTAGAGAATAATGTCCTCATTGCTCCCTCTGGCACTAGCAGTTTGTACCAGGAGATCTGTTGGCTACTGTTACCCTAGGGTATGGCAATGGTATGTAGGCAATGAAAAATCTTACAGTACTTATTATGGAAAACCAACTTTTTTATTCAGTAAGCATTCCCCTGTGTTGTAAGGTTTTTAAAAGATTGTGGAAGTATGAAAAAGTTTATTATGACAGATGTGCCAGCTCCAGCTGTTTTGTGGAGAGTGACCCTTGGATTTTCGTATGCCCCCATTATATGATGATACCTTGTAATGATTTAATTTTAGCATCTGCTTTTCTTTTCTTTAAAATTTTTTTTTGCCTTTTATGGGGTTTGTTTACCAACCACCACTCTTTTTATTTTTATTATACTTTAATTTCTAGGGTACATGTGCACAACGTGCAGGTTTGTTACATATGTAGACATGTCCCATGTTGGTGTGCTGCTCCCATTAACTCATCATTTACATTAGGTATATCTCCTAATGCTATCCCTCCCCCCTCTCCCCACCCTACAACAGGCCCTGGTGTGTGATGTTCCCCACCCTGTGTCCAAGTGTTCTCATTGTTCAGTTCCCACCTATGAGTGAGAACATGCAGTATTTGAATTTCTGTCCTTGCGATAGTTTGCTCAGAATGATGGTTTCTAGCTTCATCCATGTCCCTACAAAGGGCATGAACTCATCCTTTTTTATGGCTGCATAGTATTACATGGTGTATATCTGCCACATTTTCTTAATCCAGTCTATCACTGATGGGCATTTGGGTTGGTTCCAAGTATTTGCTATTGTGAATAATGCTGCAATCAACATACTTGTGCATGTGTCTTTATAGCAGCATGATTTATAATCCTCTGGGTATATGCCCAGTAATGGGATGGCTTTATCAAATGGTATTTCTAGTTGTAGATCCTTGAGGAATCACCACACTGTCTTCCACAATGGTTGAACTAGTTTACAGTCCCACCAACGTATAAAAACGTCCCTATTTCTCCACATCCTCTCCAGCACGTGTTGTTTCCTGATGTTTTAATGATTGCCATTCTAACTGGTGTGAGATAGTATCTCATTGTGGTTTTGATTTGCATTTCTCTGACAGCCAGTGATGAGCATTTTTTCATGTGTCTGTTGGCTGCATAAATGTCTTCTTTTGAGAAGTGTCTTTTCATATCCTTTGCCCAATTTTTGATGGGATTGTTTGATTTTTTTCTTGTAAATTTGTTTAAGTTCTTTGTAGATTCTGGATATTAGCTCTTTCTTAGATGGGTAGATTAGAAAAATTTTCTCCCATTCTGTAGGTTGTGTGTTCTCTCTGTTGGTAGCTTCTCTTGCTGTGCAGGAGCTCTTTAGTTTAATTAGATCACATTTGTCAATTTTGGCTTTTGTTGCCACTGCTTTTGGTGTTTTAATCAGGAAGTCCTTGCCCATTCCTATGTTCTGAATGGTATTGCCTAGGTTTTCTTCTAGGGTTTTTATGGTTTTAGGTCTAACTTTTAAGTCTTTAATCAATCTTGAATTCATTTCTGTATAAGGTGTAAGAAAAGGATCCAGTTTCAGCATTCTACATATGGCTAGCCAGTTTTCCCAGCACCATTTATTAAATAGGGAATCCTTTCCCCATTGCTTATTTTTGTCAGGTTTGTCAAAGATCAGATGGTTGTAGATGTGTGGCATTATTTCTGAGGGTTCTGTTCTCTTCCATTGGTCTATGTCTCTGTTTTGGTACCAGTACCGTGCTATTTTGGTTACTGTAGCCTTGTAGTATAGTTTGAAGTCAGGTAGTGTGATGCCTCCAGCTTTGTTCTTTTGGCTTAGGATTGTCTTGGAGATGCAGGCTCTTTTTTGGTTCCATATGAACTTTAAAATAGTTTTTTCCAGTTCTGTGAAGAAAGTCATTGGTAGCTTGATGGAGATGACATTGAATCTATAAATTATCTTGGACAGCATGGCCATTTTCACAATTTTGATTCTTCCTATTCATGAGCATGGAATGTTGTTCCATTGGTTTGTGTCCTCTTTTATTTCGTTGAGCACTGGCTATGAAGAGGTCCTTCCTATCCCTTGTAAGTTGGATTCCTAGGTATTTTATTCTCTTTGAAGCAATTGTGAATGGGAGTTCACTCATGATTTGGCTCTCTGTTTTTCTGTTATTGGTGATTTTTGCACATTGATTTTGTATCCTGAGACTTTGCTGAAGTTGCTTATTAGCTTAAAGAGATTTTGGGCTGAGACGATGGGGTTTTCTAATTATACAATCATGTCATCTGCACACAGGGACAATTTGACTTCCTCTTTTCCTACTTGAATACCCTTTATTTCTTTCTCTTGCCTAATTGCCCTGGCTAGAACTTCCAACACTGTGTTGAATAGGAGTGGCGAGAGAGGGCATCCCTGTCTTGTGCCAGTTTTCAAAGGGAATGCTTCCAGTTTTGCCCATTCAGTATGTTATTAGCTGTGGGTTTGTCATAAATAGCTCTTATTATTTTGAGATACGTCCCATTGATACCTAGTTTATTGAGAGTTTTTAGCATGAAGCGCTGTTGAATTTTCTCGAAGGCCTTTTCTGCATCTATTGAGATAATCATGTGTTTTTTTCCTTTGGTTCTGTTTATATGATGGATTACATTTATTAATTTGCATATGTTGAACCAGCCTTGCATCCCAGGGATGAAGCCCACTTAATCGTGGTGGATAAGCTTTTTGATGTGCTGCTGGATTCAGTTTGCCAGTATTTATTGAGGATTTTTGCATCGATGTTCATCAGGGATATTGGTCTAAAATTCTCTGTTTTGTTGTGTCTCTGCTGGTATCAGGATGATGTTGGCCTCATAAAATGAATTAGGGAGGATTCCCTCTTTTTCTATTGATTGAAATAGTTTCAGAAGTAATGGTACCAGCTCCTCTTTGTACCTCTGGTAGCATTCGGATGTGAACCCGTCTGGTCCTGGATTTTTTTGGTTGGTAGGCTATTAATTACTGCCTCAATTTCAGAACCTGTTATTAGTCTATTCAGAGATTCAGCTTCTTCCTGGTTTAGTCTTGGGAGGGTGTATGTGTCCAGGAATTTATCCATTTCTTCTAGATTTTCTAGTTTATGTAGAGGTATTTATAGTATTCTCTGATGGTAGTTTGTATTTCTGTGGCATCGGTGGTGATATCCCCTTTGTCATTTTTTATTGCATCTATTTGATTCTTCTCTCTTTTCTTCTTATTAATCTTGCTAGTGGTGTAACAATTTTGTTGATCTTTTTGAAAAACCAGCTCCTGGATTCACTGATTTTTTCTGAAGGGTTTTTTGTGTCTCTATCTCTCTCAGTTCTGCTCTGATCTTAGTTATTTCTTGCCTTCTGCTAGCTTTTGAATGTGTTTGCTCTTGCTGCTCTAGTTCTTTTAATTCTGATGTTAGGGTGTCAATTTTAGATCTTTACTGGTTTCTCTTATGGGCATTTAGTGCTATAAATTTCCCTCTACACACTCCTTTAAATGTGTCCCAGAGATTCTGGTATGTTGTGTCTTTGTTCTCATTGTTTCAAAGTACATCTTTATTTCTGCCTTCATTTCGTTATGTACCCAGTAGTCATTCAGGAGCAGGTTGTTCAGTTTCCATGTAGTTGAGCAGTTTTGAGTGAGTTTCTTGATCCTGAGTTCTAGTTTGATTGCACTGTGGTCTGAGAGATAGTTTGTTATAATTTCTCTTTTACATTTGCTGAGGAGAGCTTTATTTCCAACAATGTGGTCAATTTTGGAATAGGTGTGGTGTGGTGCTGAAAAAATGTATATTCTGTTGATTTGGGGTGGAGAGTTCTGTAGATGTCTATTAGGTCCGCTTGGTGCAGAGCTGAGTTCAATTCCTGGGTATCCTTTTTAACTTTCTGTCTCATTGATCTGTCTAATGTTGACACTGGGATTTTAAAGTCTCCCATTATTATAGTATGGGAGTCTTAAGTCTCTTTGTAGGTCTCTAAGGACTTGCTTTATGAATCTGGGTGCTCCTGTATTGGGTGCATATATATTTAGGATAGTTAGCTCTTCTTGTTTAATTGATCCCTTTACCATTATGTGATGGCCTGCTTTGTCTCTTTTGATCTGGTTGGTTTATAGTCTGTTTTATTAGAGACTAGGATTGCAACCCCTGCTTTTTTTTGTTTTCCATTTGCTTGGTAGATCTTCCTCCATCCCTTTATTTTGAGCCTATGTGTGTCTCTGCACATGAGATGGGTCTCCTGAATACAGCACACTGGTGGATCTTGACTCTTTATCCAATTTGCCAGACTGTTTTTTAACTGGAGCATTTAGCCCATTTACCTTTTAGGTTAATATTGCTATGTGTGAATTTGATCCTGTCATTATGATGTTAGCTGGTTATTTTGCTCATTAGTTGATGCAGTGTCTTCCTAGCATTGATGGTCTTTACAATTTGGCATGTTTTTACAGTAGCTGGTACTGGTTGTTCCTTTCCATGTTTATTGCTTCCTTCAGGAGCTCTTTTAGGGCAGGCCTGGTGGTGACAAAATCTCTCAGCATTTACTTGTCTGTAAAGGATTTTATTTCTCCTTCACTTACAAAGCTTAGTTTGGCTGGATATGAAATTCTGGATTGAAAATTCTTTTCTTTAAGAATGTTGAATATTGGCCCCCATTCTTTTCTGGCTTGTAGGGTTTCTGCCAAGAGATCAGCTGTTAATCTGATGCACTTCCCTTTGTGGGTAACCTGACCTTTCTCTCTGGCTGCCCTTAACATTTTTTCCTTCATTTCAACTTTGGTGAATCTGACATATGTTTTGGAGTTGCTCTTCTCGAGGAGTATCTTTGTGGTATTATCTGTGCTTCCTGAATTTGAATGTTGGCCTGCCTTGCTAGGTTGGGGAAGTTCTCCTGGATAATATACTGAAGAGTGTTTTCCAGCTTGGTTCCGTTCTCCCCATCACTTTCAGGTACACCAGTCAGATGTAGATTTGATCTTTTCACATAGTCCCATATTTCTTGGAGGCTTCATTCATTTCTTTTTACTGTTTTTTTCTCTAAACTTCTCTTCTCCCTGCATTTCATTCATTTGATCTTCAGTCACTGATACTGTGTCTTCCACATGATCAAATCAGCTACTGGGGCTTGTGCATGCATCACATATTTCTCATGCCATGGTTTTCAGCTCCATCAGGTCATTTAAGGACTTCTCTACACTGTTTATTCTAGTTAGCCATTCATCTAATCTTTTCTCAAGGTTTTTACCTTTCTCGTGCTGGGTTTGAACATCCTCCTTTAGCTCGGAGAAGTTTGTTATTACCCATCATCTGAAGCTTTCTTCTCTCAACTTGTCAGTCATTCTCCATCCAGCTTTGTTCCATTGCTGGTGAGGAGCTGCGTTCCTTTGGAGGAGAAGAGGGGCTCTGATTGTTAGAATTTTCAGATTTTCTGCTCTGGTTACTTTTCGGTTTTATCTACCTTTGGTCTTTGATGATGGTAACATACAGATGGGGTTTTGGTGTGGATATCCTTTGTTTCTGTTAGTTTTCCTTCTAACAATCAGGACCCTCAGCTGCAGGTCTGTTGGAGTTTGCTGGAGGTCCACTCCAGACCTTGTTTGCCTGGGTATCACCAGCAGAGGCTGCAGAACAGCAAATATTGCAGAACAGCAGATGTTGCTGCCTGATCCTTCCTCTGGAAGCTTTGTCTCTGAGGGACACCTGGCTGTTTGAGGTGTCAGTCGGCCCCTACTGGGAGGTGTCTCCTAGTTAGGCTACTCGGGGGTCTGGGACCCACTTGAGGAGGCAGTCTGTTTGTTCTCAGATCTCAAATTCCGTGCTGGGAGAAGCACTACTCTCTTCAAAGCTGTGCGACACGGACGTTGAAATCTGCAAAAGTTTCTGCTGCCTTTTGTTCAGCTATGCCCTGCCCCCAGAGGTGGAGTCTATAGAGGCAGGCAGGCCTCCTTGAGCTGCGGTGGGCTCCATCCAGTTTGAGCTTCCTGGCCACTTTGTTTACCTACTCAAGCCTCAGCAATTGTGGACACCCCTCCCCCAGCCTCCCTGCTGCCTTGCAGTTCGATCTCAGACTGCTGTGCTAGCAGTGAGCCGGGTTCCGTGGGTGTGGGACCCTCCGAGCCAGGCATGGGATATAATCTCCTGGTGTGCCCTTTGCTAAGGCCATTGGAAAAGCTCGGTATTAGGGTGGTAGTGTCCCGAATTTCCAGGTACCTTCTGTCACAGCTTCCCTTTGATAGGAAAGGGAATTCCCCAACCCCTTGTGCTTCCCGGGTGAGGCGATGTCCTGCCCTGCTCCATGAGCTGCACCCACTGTCTGACAGGCCCCAGTGAGATGAATCTGGTACCTCAGTTGGAAATACAGAAATCACCAGTTTTTTGTGTCGCTCATGTTGGAAATGCAGAAATCACCAGTCTTTTGCATCGCTCATGCTGGGAGCTTTGGACTCGAGCTGTTCCTATTTGGCAATCTTGGAACTTCCTAATTTTAATATCTTTATACTTTGCAATTAGGTTACCTCTTTGTGAAATTAAAAATTACATTTACTTTAGATTGTTAAGAAGTAGTGTTACTTGGCTGGGCGTGGTGGCTTACGCCTGTAATCCCAGCACTTTGGGAGGTCGAGGCAGGCGGATCACAAGGTCAGGATATGGAGACGATCCTGGCTAACACAGTGAAACCCCATCTCTACTAAAAATACAAAAAATTAGCCAGGCATGGTGGCAGGTGCCTGTAGTACCAACTACTTGGGAAGCTGAGGAGAGAGAATGGCGTGAACCTGGGAGGTGGAGCTTGCAGTGAGCCAAGATTGCCCCACTGCACTCCAGCCTGGATGACAGAGGGAGACTCCATCTCAAAAAAAAAAAGAAAAATAGTGTTACTTTACAAACCACTATGAAAAGCAAAATAAGCTGCTAAGCCTTATGACCTGCTTGTTTATTGTCAGATATACAAAATGTACAAAAGCATAGAGGGATGGAAAATTGTACTTTTTAGCACTGCTTAGTTTTCTTTGCTTTATAACATTTGATTTAACTCTCTCTTCAACCTTTATGCTTACTCTCCTTCCCTCTAGTTTGTGAATAGCACAATGGAAGAAGCTGGACTTTGTGGGTTAAGAGAGAAAGCAGATATGTTGTGTAACTCTGAATCACATGATATTCTTCAACATCAAGACTCAAATTGCAGTGCCACAAGTAATAAACATTTATTGGAAGATGAAGAAGGCCGTGACTTTATAACAAAGAACAGGAGTTGGGTGAGCCCAGTGCACTGCACACAAGAGTCAAGAAGGGAGCTTCCTGAGCAAGAAGTAGCCCCTCCGTCTGGTCAGCAAGCTTTACAATGCAACAGGAACAAAGAAAAAGTCTTAGGTAATAATCTCTGCTCTGTGGTTGGATGTTGTCACATACTGGTCTTTTTGTTTTACATTTTCTGCAGCATGAGTGATTATGAACTTGGCCTGTTTGGAGGTAAATGTTGCCTGGTAAACTTGTTTCTTCACTTGGTTTAGTCCACCTATCATCTCCAGTTATGTGTAGGGAACAAAAATAGCAAAATACGAAGCCCAGTTATAAGAAACTTAATTATTTCTCTGTGTAACAAGAACTGAAGTTTTAAGAAAGTTTGAGGCCAATATGATGTAATTAGTATTTGATTTACCTTGCTTTTTGTACCTTTGAAAATAACCTAATAGTATGAAAACAATATGTATGCTAATTTTGCTTAAAAGATTATACACTGAAATTTAGAGAGGATATAATGTTATCTGTAGTGTAGAAAGAGTTAAATAAGACTGATTTTTAGAATTTGTTTTATCCCTTCCACTCTTAGCTTGACAATTAGGATTAAGAATATGATATGTCAAATTTCATGACTGAAATCTGAAATGCCTTAATAGTTGCCCTCAGTGTTTCATCCTTATACTAACATTTACATTGATATATATGACTTATATGTGACACTGAAACTTGGAATTTTTATTCTTAATCCATTTTCTGTTACCCTGGAAGACAAAAAAAAAAGTATGGTAATATATAAAGTAATTGTAATTCCTTGAAAATAAGACAGATATCTTCAAAATTGATAGCCCCAATTATATGTGTAAAATATAGCTTGAGGTTAAAATTATTTAAAAAGTTTTAAATGAAAATCTTTATGAAAATGTCAGTTATATTATAGTTGTTTCTTACACATACACATTCAATAACAATATTTATTTATTCTTTTTTCTAGAGAGACAAGGTCTTTCCCTGTCACCCAGGCTGGAGCGCGGTGGTACATTCATGGGTCATGGCAGCCTTAAACTCCCTGAGCTCGTGATCCTGTCTCTTCAGACTCTAGAGTAGCTGGGGCTACAGGCGTACACCACCACACATGGCTAATTTTTTATTTTTCTTTTGTTGTAGAGATGGGCTGTCATTCTCTTGCCCAGGCTGGTCTTGGTATACTGTCCTGTAGCAGTATATTTTGGCTACCTGTACTGGCATTGGCTTTTCCAAGTGTCAAGATTACAGGTGTGAGCTAGTATACCCTGCCCAGTGTTTCTTTCTTACTTGGCTTTGGTGTGAATGAGAAAAGAATTTAGTACTAAAATTTTATGTGCATACAGAAGCATTATTTGAAGTCAGCCTGTTTTCCCTCAACCTCTAGTACTCTGTAAAGTATACCAAAAGTCAAGGTTTTAAAGAACTGTGTTACATATTAGAGAGAACAAATCAAAAGTTACCTATCTCCATCGTTACCAGTAGAACATTAGTATGTATTTTGAAGCACCATTTGACTCTTTCTATTTCAGCTACTTGCTTGTCCCTTGCAAAGTTATTATAGTACTCTTTTAAAACTTTTCTTCAAGGGAAGAGCTATTTTGACTTCCTTTTCTTTGATCTAAACCTAACACCCAGAATATGCTTAGCAGATCATCCCAAAACAATCATAACTTGTTTAAATTGTTCATAGCAAAAGTTACATATTATAAAGAGTTATGAGTGTCTTAGGCAGTGAATAGTAACTGAATATCCTTTTATAGTTGTCCTTCACTAGCAGGAAGCCTTATTCCCTGCCCTTTTACATATCTTAACTTAGAATGTTACTGTCTAAATAGTGGTTAGGCAAGAGTAGTTCTTAAACGTGCAGTAATTATCTTGCACTACATTTAAGGGCTAAATAGCTAGTAGTGGTGCTTGATAATTGAAGAAATTTGTACAGCTGGAGGAAGTACCTGCTAAATTTTCAAAAGTTACCTGAATTTAATAGGTAAATCTGTTTTTAATTAGAGCTATATCATTTTACTCTGAATGTCTTAACATAGAAGTTTACATAAAATTTACAGATTGGATTGATTTCAGCCTTCTTCTGGTACTTTTTAAAATCTTATTAATCATTAGGAAAAGAAGTTTTATTATTGATGCAAGCCCTAAACACTCTTTCGACTCCAGAGGAGAAGCTGGCAGCTCTCTGTAAGAAATATGCTGATCTTGTGAGTATTTATTTAATGGAGCAAGGAACACAGAAAATAAAATCTATGTGTGCTTGATAAGATTTTTAAATATTATTTTGATGTAACTTTAAATGTAAAATGATATTTTATCTCAAAATTGAAAACAATCTCCTTTCTTTAGTACTTATGATTGGTGTGTGTGACTTCATCTTATGAAATGATGTATAGAACATAATAATACTTTTTTAAATGTGAAATAAATTTCCTAAAACTTAATATGCTAGATCAGCAGTTTTTTTTTTTTGTATGCTTAAGATGCCTGACAATTGGGAGGAAGTGGTTTCTGTATTTAAAATTTTCCGAAGGAATTCTGCAGATTCAAGCTCTAACCATTCTTGATTAAAATTGTGAGTTAGATAAGATTGTTTAGTAAAATTGTACTATGGCTCAGGAAATATTTATTTAATATCTACTGTATGCCAAGCATTGTTCTTTTTTCCATCTTCCAGGGAAATTCACCTCTTCTATAGAAGAGTTTGTTTTGAACTATACGATTTGAAACAAAATTCTTTTTTTGGAGACTATGGAAACATTCTCAACAGGGAAACCCTACTAGACTTTGTAAAGCAAATAATGGAAAAGATACAGAACTTTTTGAAGAATCATGGGAAATTTTTATAATTAAATAAATGCTAAAATTCTGTTTTGTGAAACATTTATGGGAATTATCACTGACAGTTTTTGTACACTTTCAAATAGTGTTAAAGCAGCAACTCCATGTTGTAAATGCACAAAACAAATATTTAGTTAATAATCAACTCCAAGAATAAAGCTGTAACAATAATAGTTACTATTCTCTCATGTGGTCCATATTTACCTCCACTTAGCTGGCATCTTCAAGTGCCACATACTTAGCAGCAGCCTGGCACCTTCTGATATTTTGAGAAGCAGGAATCCCTGAGCATAAATGTAAATAGCTTAGAACTGTCCAAAAGCAAAGACAGCAGAAAATAAAATTGTTGCTTGCTATGTTCAGGAAAGGAATGCTTCCATTGGATATGGAAGCCAGTCTCAATTGTTACATCAGCCTGAGGAAACTCATGCGAGAAATGCCAGAAAAAGAAGACAGCAACAAAGAAGATAAAAGAAAGACTGACAAAAGCATTGAATTTCTGGTAGAAAAAGCAGTGTACTAGAAGGTTAGGAGATTTCCTAGCTGTCAGCCATGAAAGGGTTGGGGAAGAAAGAGCAATTTGGTTGCATACTGTAGCATGGTCATCTAGGGTGGTCCTCAAACACATAGAAATCACACAAGAATTGTCAAATTGAAGATTTGGATTTAGTAGATCTGAAAACGCACTTTGTAAAATTGGCCACAGTAGAGGTGGAAGTGACTGAAATACTGCATTATTTATTTATTTAATTAATTTATTTTAGTCAGAGTCTTGCACTGTCGCTAAGGCTGGTATACCATGGTTCAGTCACAGTTCACTACAGTCTTGAACTCCTAGGCTCAAACAATTCTCCTGTATCGGCCTCCTGAGTACCTGGCACTACAGACATGCACAAGCATGCATGGCTAATTTTAAAAAAATTTTTGTAGAAATGGAGTCATGAACTCCTGGGCTCAAGTGATCCTCCCACCTCAACTTCCCAGAGTGTTGAGTGAGATTACAGTTATGAGCCACCATCCCTGGCCAATAAAGGTGTTTTTAATACCTATAAGAATATTGCCTGCAAGGATGTTTGATAGGTTTCTTGATATTTCATTCTCTCTTGAAATGTTTGCTTCGTCAATTTTTTATTTTTCATAAAAGCTTTACTCAAGAATTAGGATGACCACTATGTTATCTAGTAGTATAATTTGGAATCATTTATTATAAATCTGAAACTGACTTGACTGATGAATCTTGAGCACTGCTTATTGTGTTCTAATTTTGGTAGCTGTTTCAATAAAGTAGCTCTTGTAGAATAGGAAAACTATATCATTTTAGTCTGAAATAAGCTTTTGATTAAAAGGTTACTTTTTCCTATTAATAAAAAATGGAGATTAAGATTGCTTTTCTTGCTACACAAAATTATTTACATACTTTCCTGTCACTAGAAAAGAGGGGAACATAAAATGTTCCATGGCTGTAATTGCAGTGCTTAGAGCTATAACTCAGATTACTATACTTCCTAAATGTAAAGTGGTTATTAATTTTAGCTGGAGGAAAGCAGGAATGTTCAGAGGCAAATGAAGATTCTGCAGAATAAGCAAGCTCAGATTGTCAAAGAGAAAGTTCACTTGCAGAGTGAATACAGCAAGACCATCTTGGCAAGAAGCAAGCTAGAATCTCTTTGCAGGGAACTTCAGCAAAATTAATGTCAAAATAAGACATTAAAGGTTAGTTGGTTTATTTTACTGTATTTCAGGAACTACTTAGGCTGCTTTTATAATCGCCTTGTAACTACTTGAAATAAATTCTTGCTCTATGTCTTTTAATGGGAATTAGTTGCTATAATGGCTTCTTGTTAACTGGCTCAGGTACACTTGTGCTGGTAGATCAGATTCCTAAGCAGACAACTTTGTAGACATCTTAACACAGAGATCCCTTGCTTTTTGTTTTGCTTGAGCTGATGCTGCCTGTGAGGTAACTCTCTAAAGACTCACTCTATGTAAATTTTGGTTTCAGATTCAAGGATAAGCTCTACCTTAGTCTACTGTATACTTGATCACAGGGAATCTAGATGACATTGGTTTTTATGTTCACAGCTCTCCTGCTTAAAAAGCTCACAGTTGCCAGATATTTTTGTTGGCTTTTGGTGTAGTTGGTTATCATGTCCTTTTTTGGTAATGAGTGAAAATCTTAGCTGAAATGAAGAAACTGGTAGCCATAGTCAGTGTGAGTTTGAGAAAGAAAAACACACTGTAGAGCTCTACTATAAAAGTTAATAGGATAGATTGTTAAACTACATTCTGCCATCTTTGGCTATTTGGTTGCTAAATACTTTAGAATATTACTTACAGCTAGGCTGATTATAACAGAAGAAGGATTAAGTATGACAGCTTGTCTCAATAATGGAAGTAAAAAGCAGAGATCCTGGAAAGAATCTGCCATCCATCAGAGGAATTTGTCTGACTTTGTGGTATTGCTAGGGGGTGTATGGTTGGAGTATTATTTTGATGGTGCTGGATCACCCTCATCACAGTAAACTCAAGAACATAGGACAGCTTGTGAAATAGGTTCTTACTTGTAAGGTTTGTATTTATTTTTCTTGCTTTTGAAATCTTGGATTTAAATATAATAAAAGTAGATAGCACTGTCAATATTTAGACTGTACTGATAACTGTTTAGGTAAAGGTCTGTTGACACTTGTATCCTAGTAAGACTTTGAAAGTAAACTTTGTAAAATAATGATTTAGTTTGTCCCTTCCCTCTTATAAAATTGAAAGTGTAACTCAGAAAGTAGGCTGTAAGATCTTCAGGCTGATGTAGGATGGTATACTGCCTAACCAGTGAGGATGACTTTTGGGAAAATAATGTGGAAGAAACTAACTGTGGAGCAGCATCTTACTTATATTTAATTATAGTATAGTGAATATCTGGATCAGCAGATGATACTTATTTTATAGTAGGGCATTTGCTTTTCTCTAATTATCTACTTAGAAAAAGCTGCTTGCTTTTAAATGAGAGATTTCTGGTCATAAATAAGGGGGAGGAATTATAGTTTAAAAGCAACACCTCATGGGAGCAATAAATGAACTCACATAGCAGTAGCTTCTTTTTCGCGAGCTTTATCTGTAGGTCTGTACTTTTAACATACATTATTTTGGATAATAAGGAGGAACATATGCAGCAGAAAAAAGAGGAGGAAGAAGTTCTTAAAGAAGTAACTGCACATTTCCAAATTACTTTAACTGAAACTCAAGCCCAGCTGGAACAGCATGAAATACACAATGCCAAACTGCAGCAGGAGAACATGGAAATGGGAGAAAAGCTAAAGAAGCTCACTGACCAGTATGCACTGAGGGAAGAGGTAAACGGCGTTTGGTTTGTTTATAGACAGCTGCTCACCAGTAGCAAAAGCTACACCCTACCGTAAAGTAAAAACTCTTTCACAGGACAGTATTTTAGAACTTTTGTGTATGCACAGTGGAAATTACATGTTTATTAGGAAAAGAGTAGAAACCTGTAAACAGAATGACTAAATTGGAGCATCACTTGGCCCAAGTGTCAGTGGAGTAGGATAAGTAAAGGGATTTCTAGGAGATGTGTACCACTTGTCTCCCATATGATGCTACAAGATTGTCAATATAGCATACAGATATTTTTCTCTTATGCAGTCTAATAATACAGATTTGTTCCCTAAATACTCTGTATCTCAGATTTCTGTGACAATCTGAACAATATAAATAGGAGAATTGTGCTATTTGTGAGAATAAGGAACCTACTAATTACCCATCACCAAGTCACATTGTTTGTGTAATCAATGAAGTAAAAAGTTTGTGGAGGACTCAATAGTTGTCGAACCTAGTCATTGGAGTTATTTTATAAATTGATGTGGAAGTTGTATGATGGCTAAATAAAAAACAAATAGGTGATAACCTGCTTATTTGTTTTTATTTTTTCTTTACTTTTAGAGGTCTATACATAGGGTAAGATTTCAATTTTCAAAGGATGCATCCCCTTCCTTTATTATGCTTTAAGCTAGTAAAATATATATTTAAATCCTTACTTAGTAGATTAAAATTGGAAATAGAAAGTGACAATTTAAAAATTAATAAAACAGTAAATATTACTTTATGCATATCAAAATGTTATTTTGAGTTACACCTTTTCATGCTACTTTTGAAAACATTTTTCTTTAAGATTTTGAGTATCTTTTAAACCATTTTCCTCTATGTTTCAAGAACATTTCAAACTTATTATGGAAGCTGCAAACTTATAGTAGAATATATCACTTGGCTTTAGCAATTATTTACTTTTGTTTCTAGCAACTCTTGTTTCCATCTATTTTTAAGCAAATCCAAGATATTATATCATTTTATTTATTACTATTCAAATATGCATCATGAAATAAGATTCTTTTTAAGCCATAATCACTGTACTATTTTTACTCCAAAAGGTTAAACAATTGCTATGTAATCACATACCTTCTCACTGTACTATTTAAATATCTGTTACTTCCCTTTTCCTTCAGGTTGTTTACATCAACATCAAAATAAGGTTTATACATTTTATTGTTTTAATATGTCTCAAGTCTTTTTAGTATATAAGCTTCCCCCCCCTCTTTTTTTTCCTTGGAATGTATTTATTAAAGAAATTTTTTAGGCCTATATAGTGAACTTTTAAAATTAAATTTGTTTTATATTATAAAGCATATTATGAATATCATCAGTTTTTTTAAAAGAATCCTTTAAATTCCATTGTTTTAAATAATGGTATTAAAAATGATTAATTTTATTTTATTTTTTATTATTTTACTCTTTAGGATTTATATTATTTTAACTGTATTAAACTCTCCAAATTTGCTATAGAAGTAGCAGATTGGGAGAGGACATGTGTTCAAGTTGTACTACTTGTATGTCTTGTTTAGATATTACAGTCTTTTTCTTTTATCAGAAAATAATTGAATAATGATAAAATCAGTTGCAGATTAAGACAGATTATCTGTTGCAGTCTTCTCAAAACTTAATTTAAGTACATTATTTTCAGCTAGCATTTCTTCCTTCACATAGAACCTCCATGTGTGGAGGGATTTCCTAATGAGTCTATTGTATGTACAATAGCACTTAATGACATAGCTTTTAAATAATAACAGGATTTTACCAAATGTTTAATATGTGCCAGGCATCAAGCACCTTACACAGTTTAATTATTGCATAGATTTGGACAGCAACTCTGCAAGTTAGGTATGGTCATGAACCTTTGCAGATAAGGAAACTGTGTTTCACAAGGAGAAGAAATTGTCCTGGATCATACAATAAGCTAGGATTTGCTCCAGACCATTTTTTTCATTTTATCAGGCTACCTACAATTAAGGAATTTCAGAAGATTTTGTGAACAAAAAATGTCCAGGAATTATGTGTGTAATAAATGAATTTGATATTTTGATCTCCTTATCCATCTTTTTCTTGATAAAATATCAGCTTTTTTTTTTCCAATGTAGGGCAGAAGCAAGAAGTACAGATATTTTGATGGGGACAGCCCACGTCTGATAGGGTGGGACATGGGGCAGCAGTTAGAGGGTTGTGCTCTTTCTAGTGTGGGATAGTTTGCAAGATGATATGTTGTAGCCACTTCTGCAGTGACGGGGACAGAAGGAGTCAGTGTTCTTAACTACAGTGGTAGCAGCAGAAAAGAAGGGTAAGCAGGGTTCTAGAAATTTGTGTTATGTTTTCTCCCCACTGTATTTATTTCTTTGGTTAGTGGTGCAAGAAATTCTGTTTTCCTGTAGCAAATTAATAAAGCGTTCAAACATAAGGAATTACGACAACAGCTTGTAGATGCCAGACTTCAACAAACAGCACAGCTGATAAAAGAAGCTGATGAAAGACATCAGAGAGAGAGAGAGTTTGTAAGTTCTACTTCTTGGAAAAAAAAAAAAGATCGCCAAAATTGTAACCAAAGCCATTTAAAACAAACTCCTCACTTAACATAGTGCCAGGGCATGCAATTTTGTTTCTTACTCTCTGGATGTGGGATATGCGAGTGTGTGTGTGTGTGTGTGTGTGTGTGTATTAAGCTTTCTGTTTCTGATGAAATTTTCATATGAAATTTACTGGAGATAAGATTAAATTAGTGGAAAAACAAGATAATTTTGCTTTCTATGTAGTGGTCACCAAGTTAAAGAATTGTGCCAGTTATTAGGCAAGATAGGCTTTGAGATTTAGGGACAGTTAAATTTTACACCAACTTAGTGAACATGAGACTTCTACCTAGTGTTACATTTCATTTTTAAATAAGCAATTTAAAAATTGGTAAATGATTTGTTTACTTTGATTATATTCTGGTATAATTTTCTGACAAAATTATCTGTGTCTTGGTCAGCATTGTTGCTAGAATATGTATTCAGATTTTGTCTGTCCATAATTGAGAACACAGAAAAAATCTAATTTGACTATACCCATTTACCCCCATGGAAATGAAACTATATTCTATGAATGAAAAATGATTTTAATAATGTGGTGTATTACATTTTCTTCATTCAAGTAATGTAGGCCCTGAGTAGAGCATGTTATGAATATTTAGTTCCTTAGTGTTTTCTCATTCAAGCCTCTCATATTGAATGAGTCTAGGGTTTGGAGAGATGTTTCACACAGCATGTCTCTTCAGTGCAAGCTGACAGATATCAGTGCACAATTAAAGAAACTTAATTGCACCTTTCAACTTGGAGTATAAATTTTGTATGTATCTATGTATATCTATGTGTGTATTTTGTGGTTTAAGGCTTATTTACATAATATGTGACATTTTACCTCAGAAATTCAGTGACTGAATTTCACAGCTGCTTCCCATGCATCTTTATTATCTATGTTTCTGAAAAACTCAAATACTAACTAATCTCTTTTCTTCCCTTAGCTGTTCCTTTCCTGTGGTTTTAAAAAAGTGACCAGAAACTAGGTCTCTATTTTCATTGCTTTGCTGCATATTCTTTTAACCTGCTTTTATCTTTTACAGAGTTGAGGGGCTTTCTAAATAACCTAGACAATGTCAAGATTCTTAGCTGCGTTTTCTGTCTAAAAGTGTAGATGTCTAGTTATTCCTCATGTAAAACACAACATTTCAACCCTGAGTACTATAAACTTTATTATGCTTCTAGGTTACTTTTTCTCTTTAAGCAATTATTCCTACATTCCTAAGTGTTCACCAGTGGAACAGATAAGAGATAGAAGTAGTTAGAAATTGAGATAATTGGGTTGACCTGTCATTGTTGCCAGGATAATTACTGGAAGATTAAGCCTATCTGTTAGACATTTTGACCATGTTTATAATTGTTGTTAGTATTCTGTCAGAATGTATCTGTTTTCTAGTTATTAAAAGAAGCAACAGAATCGAGGCACAAATATGAAGAAATGAAACAAGAAGAAGCACAACTGAAAGAGCAGGTAACTTAACAACAGAGAATAGCAGAATTTGTGTCTTCTTGTTCCCAGCCACAGACTAGAACAGAGGATTTGATTCTTGTCCTCTTGGAAACTTTCTCTTCTTTTAGGGTGACCAATTAATTCTGATTTGCCTTGATTTTTTTTTGGCATTTTTATGGCACCATAAAAACCATAAATGATTTGTATTCATTTTGGCAACCCTAGTTCCAGGTTGATTGTGATGGCTGGTTGTGATGGCTATTTTGAAAGTTGGCTTTCCTCTGTCCCAGATATTTTCTCTAAAACCTTTATAATTTTGTCTTATGGCTAGCTACATAGAATTTTAAAATATTACAAATGGCCAGACAGTCCTACTTCACCATAAGATTTTGTGTGTGTGTGTATGCTTTCTAAAAAAATATTGGGCTCTCTCCATTTTTCAGTCTGGACCCCTATAGTGTCCCATTCTAGTCTTTGTGTGCTTTTATTGTTTGAGATAAAGGAAACAGATGCTGTATGTTCACTTTCTAAGGAAAGATATCAGAAATGTTGTGCAGAAAAAACATAGATATGTGTGATTTTCCAGAAAATTGCAATGGAA